>NC_000010.11:93627943-93930974 GCF_000001405.40 Homo sapiens | reverse complement strand
TTTATCATTTTTTATTGTGTCTATTTGATTCTTCTCTCACTTCTTCTTTAGTCTTGATAGCAGTCTTGATAGTCTTGCTAATGGTCTATCAATTTTGTTGATCTTTTCAAAAAACCAGCTCCTGTATTTATTGATTTTTTGAAGGGTTTTTTGTGTCTCTATCTCTTTCAGTTCTGCTCTGATCTTAGTTATTTGTTGCCTTCTGCTAGCTTTTGAATGTGTTTGCTCTTGCTTCTCTAGTTCTTTTAATTGCAATGTTAGGGTGTCAATTTTAGATCTTTCCTGCCTTCTCTTGTGGGCATTTAGTGCTATAAATTTCCCTCTACACACCGCTTTAAATGTGTCCCAGAAATTCTGGTATGTTGCGTCTTTGTTCTCATTGGTTTCAAAGAACATCTTTATTTCTGCCTTCATTTCGTTATGTACCCAGTAGTAATTTAGGAGCAGGCTGCTCAGTTTCCATGCAGTTGAGTGGTTTTGAGTGAGTTTCTTAATCCTGAGTTCTAGCTTGATTGCATTATGGTCTGAGAGACAGTTTGTTATAATTTCTATTCTTTTACATTTTCTGAGGAGTGTTTTACTTCCAACTATGTGGTCAATTTTGGAATAAGTGTGATGTGATGCTGAGAAGAATGTATATTCTGTTGATTTGGGGTGGAGAGTTCTGTAGATGTCTATTAGGTCCGCTTGGTGCAGAGCTGAGTTCAATTCCTGGATATCCTTGTTAACTTTCTGTCTCATTGATCTGTCTAATGTTGACAGTGGGGTGTTAAAGTCTCCCATCTTTATTGTGTGGGAGTCTAAGTCTCTTTGTAGGTCTCTAAGGACTTGCTTTATGAATCTGGGTGCTCCTGTATTGGGTGCATATATATTTAGGATAGTTAGCTCTTCTTGTTGAATTGATCCCTTTACCATTATGTAATGTCCTTCTTTGTCTCTTTTGATCTTTGTTGGTTTCAAGTCTGTTTTATCAGAGACTAGAATTGCAAACCCTCCTTTGTTTTGTTTTCCATTTGCTTGGTAGATCTTCCTCCATCCCTTTATTTTGAACCTATCTGTGTCTCTGCACATGAGATGGGTCTCCCAAATACAGCACACTGATGGGTCTTGACTCTTTCTCCAATTTGCCAGCCTGTGTCTTTTAATTGCAGCATTTAGCCCATTTACATTTAAGGTTAATATTGTTATGTGTGAATTTGATCCTGTCATTATGATGTTAGCTGGTTATTTTGCTCGTTAGTTGATGCAGTTTCTTCCTAGCCTCAATGGTCTTTACAATTTGGCATGTTTTTGCAGTGGCTGGTACCGGTTGTTCCTTTCCATGTTTAGTGCTTCCTTCAGGAGCTCTTGTAAGGGAGGCCTGGTGGTGACAAAATCTCTCAGCGTTTGCTTGTCTGTAAAGGATTTTATTTCTCCTTCACTTATGAAGCTTTGTTTGGCTGGATGTGAAATTCTGAGTTGAAAATTCTTTTCTTTAAGAATGTTGAATATTGGCCCCCACTCTCTTCTGGCTTGTAGAGTTTCTGCTGAGAGATCCACTATTAGTCTGATGGGCTTCCCATTGTGGGTAACCCAACCTTTCTTTCTGGCTGCCCTTAACATTTTTTCCTTCATTTCAACCTTGGTGAATCTGACAGTTATGTGTCTTGGAGTTGCTCTTCTTGAGGAGTATCTTTGTGGCGTTCTCTGTATTTCCTGAATTTGAATATTGGCTGCCTTGCTAGGTTGGGGAAGTTCTCCTGGATAATATCCTGCGGAGTGTTTTTCCACTTGGTTCCATTCTCCCCATCACTTTCAGGTACACCAATCAGATGTAGATTTGGCCTTTTCACATAGTCCCATATTTCTTGGAGGCTTTGTTCATTTCTTTTTACTCTTTTTTCTCTAAACTTCTCTTCTTGCTTCATTTCATTCATTTGATCTTCAGTCACCAATATGCTTTCTTCCACTTGATCGAATCAGCTACTGAAGCTTGTGCATGCATCACGTAGTTCTCGTGTCATGGTTTTCAGCTCCATCAGGTCATTTAAGGTCTTCTCTATGCTGTTTATTCTAGTTAGCCATTCATCTAATCTTTTTTCAAGGTTTTTAGCTTGTTTGCGATGGGTTCGAACATCCTCCTTTAGCTTGGAGAAATTTGTTATTACCGATGGTCTGAAGCCTTCTTCTCTCAACTCGTCAAAGTCATTCTCCATCCAGCTTTGTTCTGTTGCTGGAGAGGAGCTGTTTTCCTTTGGAGGAGAAGAGGCTCTCTGATTTTTAGAATTTTCCGCTTTTGTGCTCTAGTTTCTCCCCATTTTTCTGGTTTTATCTACCTTTGGTCTTTGATGATGGTGACGTATAGATGGGGTTTTGATGTGGATGTCCTTTTTGTTTGTTAGTTTTCCTTCTAACAGTCAGGACCCTCAGCTGCAGGTCTGTTGGAGTTTGCTGGAGGTCCACTCCAGACCCTGTTTGCCTGGGTATCACCAGCGGAGACTGCAGAACAGCAAATATTGCAGAATGGCAAATTTTGCTGCCTGATCCTTCCTCTGGAAGCTTGGTCTCAGAGGGGCATGTAGCCATATGAGGTGTCAGTCGGCCCCTACTGGGAGGTGCCTCCCATTTAGGCCCACTTGAGGAGGCAGTCTGTCTGTTCTCAGATCTCAAACTTTGTGCTGGGAGAACCACTACTCTCTTCAAAGCTGTCAGACAGGGACGTTTAAGTCTGCAGAAGTTTCTGCTGCCTTTTGTTCAGCTATGCCCTGCCCCCAGAGTTGGAGTCTACAGAGGCAGGCAGGCCTCCTTGAGCTGTGGTGGGCTCCACCCAGCCACTTTGTTTACCTACTCAAGCCTCAGCAATGGCAGACACCCCTCCCCCAGCCTCACTGCCGTCTTGCAGTTTGATCTCAGACAGCTGTGCTAGCAGTGAGCGAGGCTCCGTGGGTGTGTGGGACCCTCCAAGCCAGTCATGGGATATAATCTCCTGGTGTGCCATTCGCTAAGACTGGTGGAAAAACACAGTATTAGGGTGGGAGTGTCCCAATTTTCCAGGTACCATCTGTCACGGCTTCCCTTGGCTAGGAAAGTAAATTCCCCCACCCCTTGTGCTTCCTGGGTAAGGCAATGCCCCACCCTGCTTTGGCTCATGCTCCGTGGGCTACACCCACTGTCCAACAAGCCCCAGTGAGATGAACCCAGTACCTCAGTAGGAAATGCAGAAATCACCTGTCTTCTGCGTCGCTCACACTGGGAGCTGTAGACTGGAGCTGTTCCTATTCGGCCATCTTGGTACAACCGAGACAGACTCTTAAACTAATAATTAGAACACCCACTAGAACAATTACTGAGGTAAGAACAGGGCACTCCAGAAGGAGAAAAGGGGAAGAAACTCACTGTAACTGGGAGGTGAAAGTTTTTTGCTTTTTGTTTTTTTGAGATGGAGTCTTGCTCTATCACCAGGCTGGAGTGCAGTGGTGCGATCTTGGCTCACTGCAACCTCTGCTTCCCGGGCTCAAGCAATTCCCCTGCCTCAGCCTCCGAAGCAGCTGGGACTACAGGTGCCCGCCACCATGCCCAGCTAATTTTTTGTATTTTAGCAGAGATGGGGTTTCACCATGTTGGCCATGATGGTCTTGATCTCCTGACCTCGTGATCCGCCCACCTCGGGCTCCCAAAGGGCTGGGATTACAGGCATGAGCCACTGCGCCTGGCTGAGGTGAAAGGTTTCAAAGAGAGGTGAGTCTGAAAGAATAACTTGGAGGTGGAGAGAAGAGCCTTTGCCAAGCAGAGATGCTTCAAAAAGCTTGTGTGCTTAGAGACTCGGCTCTCCCCCTCTGTATTCACTATGCTTACGACATCACCTGTGGGCTACTTATGAGAGTGAATCTTTACAACGGCACATATGGGCTACTTATGAAAGTTAATCTTTTTTTTTCCTATACAGCTAATTTTCATTCTTCCTAGCAATACAGGAGGTCAGGGAGAAGGACTGGCAGGAAGGTTAAATTTTCTGTGGTCACACTGGCCTGTCAATACATGAAAGGTATAATAAAACAAAACACTGAGTGCCATAACATGTCTAAATTATAATTAAATACCTTGTAATCCATGCCAAGTTCTTCCCTTTATGGGTATAAATACATAATGATGATCTAGATTTATTTTGCTGGCATCTGACCATAATGAAATCAACTTGCATCGCTCTCATTTCCTTAATCCACTTCTAAATTCCTGCTAGGTAAGTCACAAGTTGGCTGGCATGTCTATGAGAAGAATAGATTCCTGGCTTGTTCTGGGTTTGCATGTGGCTGGCTTGGCTGGGGGAAACCTGTACCCCAGTAGGTGGTCTATTCCTATCTTTCTTCTCAAGGATCTGTCTGGGTTCTAGGTCTGGACCATTCACAGCTGAGTTCATTCTCTCACCATCCCAGGTGCCTGGTTGTGACAGGAAGAATCGGGTTCCTGGTCTGATTTTCGAGCCTTGCTCCTTGGACGAGCGGTGGGCATTTGTCTGGTTTGTTAATGGCCCTCTGCTTGCTCTACCCAGGCACTCTGGGGATGGCTGTAGAAAGATGTAAACTGAAAAGTTCTTCTGGCCCCCCTGGCTTCTTTGATCATCATCTGCTCATTTATTCAAAATTTCATTTTTAAATTCTGCAAGGATGATGTCTGCTAATGCCTAGTGCTGACACTGGCCTCAACCAGGACACAGAATCCTCTTGTTCCCTTAGGTTCAACATACACTGACTCAGGACCCTACAAGTGCTTGGAACAGAGTGTTCTCCTCAAATTCACCTACAATAAAGGTGATCCCCAAAAGCCCAGAAACCAGTAATTAAAAAGGAGCAAGAAACTGGGACTGGAATTGTTTGGGACAGGAAACTTAACATTTCATTTGTCTGTACTATGCAGTGTTTTGTTTTGTTTTTTCTAAACAAAGCATACCTATTAATTACATGAAAAAGAAAAAATAAATTCATTCTGAATTTTTAGCCTGGAAATGAAGTCCTTTCTTCAGATTAGGTTAGCATCAAAGCCCCTCTGGTGGCTTTCTTCAGAGGCTGGCAGCAGGACTCTTTTTCTCTGACTGTCGTCACTTGCCTTTTCTCATACTTAACTCTAAGAGCTTCTTTTCTTTTTCCATGCAGATGTCAGAAAGGAAAAAAAAATGTATAACAGAGGGCATCTCCCTACTGGAGGTGAGTACTCACTGGGAGTGAGATCATGCAGTGAAGTGGCTGAGAACACAGGACATAGGGGTTAGGCTGATGTGACAAAGAGGTCCTGACAAGCTACTTGTGGCTCAGCAAGACCTCAGAGAAGAGCATCCTTCACCTTGGCCCTGAGTGGCCTTTGCTTTTCCTTTCTTTAAAACAATAATAATCTCTAACACTTATTAGGGATCCGCCATTGTGCTAAGCTCTTTAACTCCATGATCTCATTTAATTCTTGCAATGTTCCTGTAAAATGGAGACTAGTAAAGCCATTTCACAGATGAGGAGACTGAAGCTCAGAAAGGTGATATTATCTGCCCAAGAGTCACCTAGCTAGTTAGAGATAGATAGAGCTAGAATTCAAACCCAGCATGGTCTGACTCCAGAACTGAAACTGTTAACCACCATGCCAGACTGTTTTTTCCAGTATAATGCACTTTTTACATGTGTACTGAAACATTATGAGGTGTTCAATAAATCCAATTTGAAAATATTCATTGGCCTGGCGTGGTGGCTCACGCCTGTAATCCCAATATTTTGGGAGGCCAAGGAAGGTGGATCATTTAAGGTCAGAAGTTCAAGACCAGCCTGGCCAACATGATGAAACCCTATATCTACTAAAAATACAAAAAGTAGCTGGGCGTGGTGGCACATGCCTGTAATCCCAGCTACCTGGGAGGCTGAGGCAGGAGAATTGCTTGAACCTGGGAGGCAGAGTTTGCAGTGAGCCGAGATCACACCACTGCACTCCAGCCTGGGCGACAGAAGAAGAGCCTGGGTGATGCAGGGGGACTCCGTCTCAAAAAAAAGAAAAAGAAAATATTCATTAGCTGGGGGGCATGGTGGTGTATGCACCTATAGTCCCAACTACTCAGGAGGCTGAGGCAGGAGGATCACTTGACCCAGAGTTTGAGGCTGTGGTGCTAGCTGTGACTTCGCCATTGCACTCCAGTCTGCAAAACAGAGTGAGACTCTGTCTCAAAAGAAAAAAAATAAAAATAAATCAGATACTTGGTGCTATCACAGTCAAGCATTTACTTAAAGTTTCAAAACCATCACTTTTCATTTGTTTTACAGGTTAAGTAAAATAATGTTATATTTAAAATTTCACCCCTGGAATTTTATCTGCATTGTAAGGTTGGTACAATTATGTTTCTGCATTGCCATATTAAGCTCAGTTAACTCAATTTGAAGCTATTTAGATTTTCTGATTTTAGTAGGATTTGTTAGGTAATTATACATCTATATCTATGCCTGTCTAGCTGTCTATCAATACACCATTTGGCTTCTAGTTCTTAGCTTACTTATTTTACTTCTACTGAAATACAGTAACATTTATAAAATTAAAAGCTAGGCCAGGCATGGTTACTCATAGCTGTAATCCCAACACTTTGGGAGGTCGAGATGGGAGAATCATTTGAGGTCAGGAGTTCAAGACCAGATTAAGCAAAATAGACCTGTCTCTGCAAAAAAATTAAAAATTAGACAGGTGTGGTGATGTGTGTCTTGGTCCTAGCTACTCTGGAGCCTGAGGCAGGAGGATCACATGAGCCCAGAAGTTTGAGGTTAAAGTGAGCTCTGATTGTACCACTGCACTCTAGCCTGAAAGACAGAGAGAGACCCTATCTGTAAAAAAAAGGCTGGGCATGGTGGCTCACGCCTGTAATCCCAGCACTTTGGGAGGCTGAGGTGGGCGGATCACAAGGTCAGGAGATCAAGACCATCCTGGCTAACACCGTGAAACCCCATCTCTACTAAAAATACAAAAAATTAGCCGGGCGTGGTGGCGGGCGCCTCTAGTTCCAGCTACTCGGGAGGCTGAGGCAGGAGAATGGCATCAACCCGGGAGGCGGAGCTTGCAGTGAGCTGAGATTGTGCTACCGCACTCCAGCCTGGGCGACAGAGCAAGACTCTGTCTCAAAAAAAAAAAAAAAAAAAAAAAGTAAAAATAAAAGGTAAACCATAAGCACTCAAACTTTATAAAAACTCTCTTATAAGTATAAGGGGTCAGACAGGCAGGACACCAAAATTATAAGAGCTAAAATTATATATAATATAATATAATCATGGCAAAGCAGCTTGTATGTTCTCTTGCTATTGTACAGTTTGTCATTACGATGTCATGAGCACCTGCACAAAGCAGATGGACCTGAACATTATCCAACATTTCCTGCAGGGCAGCCCCCGGGGCTGTGAGAGCATGCTTATTTTAACAATTTGTTGTGAGTGGTCCTGAAAAGTTCCTGAATTTTTTGAATAGTTTAGAACTACAACCTTCATAATCAGTTTACAGGAAGTTCGAATAATTGCTCTAAGATGGCAGAAGTTTCACTCCACATTGTTTACCAATATGATTTAATCTGGCCGTTTAAATTAACATATTGATGGTCTGAAATATATATACATGTTGTTTTTACTATTGTTTTCAAATGAATGAGGTATGTCTTTATCTTCTGACATGAAAAATTTTCGTGATATACTGTCTAGTGGGACAGAAGTTTCGGGACAGAATGTACCATATGATTCCATTTTGTAAAAATTAATCAATCAATTAAACAAACAAATCTATATGTATCTATCGAAAAGAGAATCCAGCTAGGCATGGTGGTGTACATGTGTAGTCCCAGGTACTTAGGATGCTGAGGCAGGAGGATAGCTTGAGCCCAGGAGTTCAACGCTGCAGTAAGTTCATACTACTGCAGTCCACTCTGGACTACAGAAGGAGAGCTCGTCTCTAAAAAAATGGGAAAAAAAAGAGGAGAAAAATAAAAGAAGAATCCACTCTACTACTTAAAGGTCAGGGGAATTGAGCCTTCCATTTATATTTTACATTTCTGTGTTGCTAATTTTTTAACTATATGGAAGTTTATTAATGATGCAATCCCTGATTTAAGATACAAGAAATGCATCAGAAATCCAGATGTCAATGTCCTATACAGATTCTTGCTTTGAAAATATGTTCTGAGAGCAATGTGATTGCAGTCCTTGGAAAATCTTCTCTGACTGTTGCTGCAACTTTACTTATTTATTTTAAATCTGTACATATTTAATGCATACAGCTTGATGAGTTTGGAGATAAGTATACATCCATGAAACCATTTCCACAATCTATGCCATAAACATATCAATTACCTCCAAAAGTTTCCTCCCACCCTCATTATAATTTGTGTTAAGAACACTTGACATTGATCTACCATCTTAGCAAATTTTTAAGTATAAAATGCAATATTATTAACTCTAGGCACTATGTTGTACAGATGTCTAGGACCTATTCATGTTGCATAACTGAAATTTTTTGTGCCCTTTGACCAATAGTTCCCCATCTTCCTTTGCCATATGGCCCTGGCAACCACCATTCTACTTTCTGATTCTACGAGTTTGACTATACCTGATACCTCATATAATTGGTATCATGTAGTATTTGTCCTTCTGTGTTAGGCTTATTTCACTTAGCATAATGTGCTCCAGGTTCATTCATGTTGTCGCAAATGGCAAGATTCTTTCTCTTTTAAGTCTAAATAATATTCCACTGTATGTATATATACACCACATTTTCTTTATCCATTTGTCCTTTGGAAATTTAGGTTGCTTGCACGTCTTGGCTATTGTGAATAATGCCGCAGTGAACACAGGAGTGAAGATATCTCTTCAGTATACTGATTTTGATTCCTTTGGATATATGCCCAGAAGTGGGATTTTTTAATCATATTATATTTTTAATTTTTCAAGAAACTTCCAAACTGTTTTCCACTGTGGCTACACCAATTTACGTTTCCACCAACAGTGTAGAAGGATTCCCTTTTCTTTACTTTCTCGCTTGTTGAATTTTTAAAGTATCACCTTTGAAAGATAAATACAGTATTTTTTAAAACAAAAATATTTCTCCAGGCATGGTGGCTCACGCCTGTAATTCCAGCATTTTGGGAAGATGAGGCAGATGGATCGCTTGAGCCCAGGAGTTCGAGACCAACCTGGCCAACATGGTGAGACCCTATCTCTACAAAAAATACAAAAATTAGCTGGGCTGGTGTCATGCTCCTGTGGTCCTAACTACTCGGGAAGCCGAGATGGGAGGATCACCTGAGCTTGGGAAGTTGACACTGCAGTGAGCTGAGATCAAGCCCCTCCACTCCAGCCTGGGTGACAGAGTGAGAACCTGTCTCAAAAAAAGAAAAAAAAATCAAGAAACGCAAGCCACTGGTTTCCACAGCAAGTCTTGACCATAGCTCCACACCACAAGGGGGTGCTGTGGGATTCTGAATGAGTCACATCACTGGCACCTCAGTTTCCCCTCTGTAAAACGAGGATAACACCCCCCTCACCGGGAGGTGGCGGAGCTGAAAAGATGTGGCTGTGAAAGCGAGTGGGTCTGAGTGGGTTCTGGGAGACTGCCTTTAATTTTCCTAAATTTGAATGGGGGTTGGGATAAGGTGAGACCAAAGAATCCCTGTTCTGGTCGATTATGTTTCTAAAACTAGAACTAAGAATTCAGTGCTTAGCTTCCTCCTCTGACCTAAGTCTCTTCTCACACTCCTATTCAAAGTGCTGGGGTGGAAGGAAGCTTGAAGTCACCCTGTCCTCAAAGAATCTGACAAAAGTTATGCACCTGAATCCCAGAAAACTGCATGGAAAGCTGAATTTTAAATATAATTCCTGGAGATTCCCAGGCCCACGTGAAGGATCCTTCATTGATTTAATTCAGGCACCTTATTTTACCCAGGAGAACAAAATTTAGAAATTAAGGCCACTGAACCTGGCTGTTAATGGCTCACAGATTCCCCATCCCCAAGAATTGCTCTGGGTATAAGACCCACCTACAATGCAGTGGTGTGATTTATGCTCCTGAAAGCACATCCTCTGCCAGGTGCAGTGGCTCAAGCCTGTAATCCCAGCACTTTGGGAGGCCCATGAGGGTGGATCACCTGAGCTCAGGAATTCGAGACTGACCTGGGCAACATGGCAAAACCCCATCTCTACAAAAAATTTAAAAAGTAGCCTGGTGTGGTGGCAGCTACTTAGGAGGCTGAGGTGGGAGGATTGCTTGAGCCCTGAAGGCAGAGGTTGCAGTGAGCTGAGATTGTGCTACTGCACTCCAGCCTGGGTGACAAAGTGAGACCCCGTCTCAATACATACATAAATTTAAAAAAGTGCATCCTTGCTTGCCTCTTTCCCCCTCCCTGGTCTGTTTTCCTCATGAGCTTTTCCTGAAGAGCATATGCCCAGTAAATCACACACACCTCAACCTCTGTCTGGGGCTCTCCTAGGGAATCTGACCTCATACTAGTACCAAGTGTCACTGGCATCATTTTATAGATTCCAGACATTGATAACATGTGATGACAATACACTGATAAGATATCTAACTGCTCTCTTCACTTTATAAAATCATGCTTGGGACCTCAGAGATCATTTAGTCATCTTAGAGGTGAGGACATGTATTATATATATGTAGATATATACTTTATATTATTTATATATTTATTCTCCTGCTTTTTCCACTTAATATCATAACATGACGATTTCTCTTTACTTCTTTTTTTGTGGCTCCATTTGGTAAGCTTTGTAAAAAGAACTTGTATTTGGGGCCGGGTGTGGTGGCTCACACCTGTAATCCCAGCCCTTTGGGAGGCTGAGGTGGGCAGATCACCTGAGGTCATGAGTTCAAGACCAGCTTGGCCAACATGGTGAAACCCCGTCTCTACCAAAAATACAAAAAAATTAGCCGGACATCATGGTGGGCACTTGTAATCCCAGCTACTCGGGAGAATGAGGCAGGAGAATCGCTTGAACCCGGGGGGCAGAGGTTGCAGTGAGCTGAGATGGTGCCACTGCACTCCAGCCTGGGTGACAGAGCGAGACTCCATCACAAAACAAAACAAAACAAAACAAAAACAAAAACAAAAAACTTTTAAGTTCAGGGGTACATGTGCAGATTTGTTATATAGGTAAACCTGTGTCTTGGGAGTTTGTTGTACAGATTATTTCATCACACAGGTGTTAAGCCTAGTACCCATTAGTTATTTTTCCTGATCCTTTCCCTTCTCCTACCCTCTACCCTCTGGAAGGCTCCAGTGTCCACTGTTCCTCCTCTATGTGTCCATGTGTTCTCAACATTTAGCTCCCACTTATAAGTGAGAACGTGTGGTATTTGGTTTTCTCTTCCTGTGTTAGTTTGCTAAGGATAACGAGCTCAAGCTCCATTCATGTTCCTGCAAAGGACATGATCTTGTTTTTTTATAGCTGTATAGTATTCCATGGTGTATATGTAGCACATTTTCCTGACACAGTCCACTATTGATGGGCATTTAGGCTGATTCCATGTCTTTGCTGTGAATAGTGCTGCAATGAACATATGTGTGCATGTCTTTATGATAGAACGATTTCTATTCCTTTGGATTTCCCTTTACTTCTGTCTTTATAAAGATACTTGTGAAAAGATGCATAATATTCTAATCTATGAAGGTAGCTTTTTTAAACCTAATATACTCAAATGGAATAGTTATTTGTATTTTTATTATTATAAATTATAAAAGGGAATGTCTTTATGTAAATATTTGTTTCTGTGTTTCAGGGGTTTTTTCCCTTAGGAAAAATCTTCTAGAAATAGTTACTGGGCCACAGGGTATGATATGTATTGCAAATTTTTCAAAAAATTTTTACCAACTTAACATTCCCAACCACAATGCTGTCTGGCAATTTGAACCCTCTTGCCAATATCAAGTGTTATTTTTATAAAAACAAACCCCAAACTCTGACTTAAAGTGAAAAGAACTCACTGCTCCATTAATTTATCTTTATTTACAGTAAAGTTGATTTTTTCATATATTTATTAGCCATTTATTTTTCCTGTTTGGGGGCGTTTTCCCCCTTGTGTAGGGCTTTACTAATGAATTTGTACAGTTTTTGACAGCCACTCTGAAAAAATATTATACTAGTTGTGGACTTTGTTACTAAGCCCTTGATTTAGAGATATTTATGCTATAATTTCTCCAGAGCAACATTTTTTACCTGTTCTGTGGCAAAGTGTATGGGGAAAGATTTGAGTCTGGAGAAATTCCATTAGTAATTAACACTCAACCAAATTTACCTCCCTCGCTACAGGCAAGACGGAATGTCTTTAAGAGAGGATTTCTAAACATAAAATGTAATGTGATAATTAAACAAAATATTTAAAGTGGAATGGAGGCAGAAATGAAAACAACCAGAAAACACTTACATATTTATGAAAAAACACAAAGTGGGCAGATGACATTGTTCAAAATGCTAGGGTTAGGGCAATGTAACCCATGTGCCTCGAAGATACTAACAAATTCAGACATCCCTAATGTTAGGTTTGTCTTAGGATTTCAACTTGTGGTTTTAAAAATGTTTCTCATTTGGTTGTTTTCTTATTTCAGAAATAAAGTTGACACTAAGAAAAATCCAATTGGATAGATAATCAACACTGCAAGTCAAGCAAGTGTTTTAGCCTCCTTCTCAGTGCAGTGTTATCATTTATCTGTTTTCATGATTAAAAAAATTAAGTGCTGACAGTTTTTCAAGAGACAAGATTAAATTCTGTACTGAAATTCTTCAAGCTTGAGCTCTAGCCAGAGGTGAACTTTATTTTGGAAAATCTGAGAAAATAAGCTCCATTAATTCTGAGGTGTGGAAAGAAAGATCTTGAAATACCCCTCACTTCTCCAGACACATTATTTAACCTAGCACATTCCTTACAGCAGCTGTTCCAAATCTTTTCCACTTTCCCCAAACCCTCCTAAGCCGTATGGAGAAGGCAGATGCTGGGTGACCTTCCTTGTCCAAGCTCCTCCCATCTCCAAATGCCCCCATGTCTACTCCCACTGAATCATAAATTCTTTTAGGACAGCCCACTGTCTTTCCTTTACACTCCCCTTCTCCTAGTCCAAAACGGAGTGCCCTGTTCATAAGAATGGTTCACTAAGAGTTTAAAAAGGAATGATTGGGGCAAAATCAACTTAAACAACATGGATCCTAGATTTTGCTGGTAGTCAGACCCTGACTAGAGTCAGTTTCCTTGGAATAATGAACTAAGGCAGGAACACAGCAGAGTGCCCCATACAGGCCTAAGTTAGAACCTGGTCCTACCACTCATTAACTGGGTGATCCGGGACAAATTAACCTCTCAACCCCACTCCCCCTCATTCTTCAGATACTTCATCTCAAAAAATGAGGAACATAGAAATTCCTGGCTCTTAGAGCTCTTAGGAGGATTAAATCAGAGAATGGAGTTGGTGCAGAATGTACCAGTTAATAAGCGCTCAAAATAGCTGTAATACATGTTGTCATATATCTTCAATATATCAAACCTCTGAATAATTTGCCAGGTTTGCAAACTGTTTTCCTAATCTCTTTCTGCCTTATGCAGGCAAACCTCAGTTTAAAAAAAGGAAAGAGGGTGTTGAAGGAGAGCTGATGGGAATTGTTTCTCAGCTCCTTCACCCTGATTTTAGAACTTTGATCTACCTCTGAAGCCAGGAAAACCTGCACCTCCCCCACTCCAGGATGGAGGACAGAACACATGACCTCTGCTTTACTTCGCCATCGGCTCTATGTACCGCGACTCCCTCTCCGATTCTAGTAGTCCCTAGCTCAGTGCCTGGCGTAGGGTGGCGCGCAACAGTCTGCACAGTTGAGTTGCTTAAATCCCCACGTCCCTTCTCACGAATGGACTCTGGGCAGAGTTGCTTACTTCTGTACCTGCCTGCTTGCATCTTAGAGATCATTTTTGTTCTGCAGACTCTAAAGCTCTTCCTCTGATTCCTATCAGAGCATAACTCAATCACAAAGATTTCAGGGCGGACTATTCCATATGCATTGATTATTTGTCGGTTCACTTAGTAAACATTTATTCAATGCCTACTGTGCTTTTTAAAAAAAGAAGAGCACATGTTTAGCTATAGAAGAACTTGTTTGCTTTTTTCCCCCTCAGATCCTTTAAACTCCGGTGAGGTTACCTTTCTCTTTTTGAGGCTTTAAAATAATGTCTGACTATAGTGACATCTACTGGTAAAACTGAGCTCTAAGCCAAGGGAATCATAAGCACCTAGCCTGTTATTTTGACAGTTCTTTTTTCCCTAAGTGTGGTCCAGGCGGATGTCCAAATCAACATTCTTTGATAATAAGAACTACTAAACCACTTCATTAAAGTCACTTTCCTGCTAATGATTTCTGAATCTTAAAAGCTGTTCTGTTTAAAATACTACCGCTATCCTTGCTGAAAAATCACAGACCAAGATGCCAGGCAGCCTTTTGAAAGGACCATACTTAAGAAAGTGCACAGAACCTTAGAAAGATATTGCATTAAAGTAACTCATATTGAATTGAATGGCTGCAAGCCCTGGCTAACACAGCATTGCTATGAACTGATGGATTCCAGGACATTTCAGTTCACGAATGAATTATTATTTAAAAGTTAATTTGTATGCCATGTGGCAGATACGATAACAAAGAGATGAGGTCACCGGATTCTTCTATTAAAGAAGTCATTGGTCAGGTTTAGGATTTTATTTTACACATAATGAAGTATTCAGTTGTTAAATTCTCAAGGTATCCATCAACAGGACATTTAACACAACATAAATACTGTGCATTTGCTGAAAAGAAAAGCAGGAAGGAATAAGAAATAATGCTTTTATAATATTAGTAAATTATATTTTCTAAAATGGAAAAATAAAGCTTTTTTAAGAATAGATTTTTAATTACCTTGAATTCTGGGAGAGAAACAACTATATAATTCTCCAGTAATTTGTTGCTAGCTTGCAAAATGTTAACTACGTCTGCTGGTGCCAATGAGTTTTATCAATCAAGATGCGTTTGGCTAGATGTCCTCATGGCAGCAAGAGGCTGAAGCAGCTCTAGCACCACCTCCTTACACAAACAGAAAACACTCTTCAGAAGCCTCATTGTGAGAACAAGCAACTCTTTCCCAGAGGTGTTGCCTGCAGACTGCCTCTCACGTATCATTGGTCAGAACTGGTTACTTTGCCCCTTTCTAAGCCAATCACTGGCAAGAGGATTGGAATGTTTGGTTTAGAGACTAATTGAAATTCACCCCTACCTTAGCCCCTCCTCTGGGTTTGGGTTGGGTGCACTTTCATCAGCGCGTGGCACGAGAACTTAAAACTGGGGAGATTCAAGCAAGGAAAAAGGGAGGAGGTTGAATTTGGGTAAGGAAACAATGGTGTCTACTACAATCAAGAGGTGAATGTGTGGGGAGGATAATGAGGCAGATGTGGGTCTCTAGAAATCTGCGTCGGATGGGAAGAACGAGGGTGCCAACCCAAGAGAAATGCTGGAGCGAGAGAAATGTTTGTTTGATTTTGTTTGGTGTGAATATAGAAGAGATCTGAACATATCTATAAGCAGAAGAGGGGTCAGTAGAAATGAAGAGTTTGAGAACTCAGAAAAACAAGTTCCCGGAGCAGATGAGAAAGAATGGAATCTCCAGTCAGGTACCAGACTTTGGGATTTGGAAGACCAAATTTCAAAAAAATGGCTGAGTCCATCAGAAAATTGCCAACTTTTAATTTCTTTGATCAGGGGCTTTAAAAAAAAAGTTAACAATTCTTAATTAAAGTTACTTTCGATTACAATTAATTGAAGGTAATCACAATTAATTTCCATTTATTTATCAGTTTCTGGATTTTAAACATTTTTCTTGTTAACTTTCTCCAGTTTTTTTTTTTTGGCTATCAATTACGTTATTGTGAAAATCTGAATAAGGTTGGCATAATAGATGATAGCACTGTATTGATGTTAATGTTCTGATTTTGCACATTTTACTATGCTTATTGAGAGAATGTCCTTTTAAAGGAAATATACACTGCAGGACTGTAGAAGTGCGATGGTCAATTTTATGTGTCAATGTGGCTAGGCTAACGGCACCCAGTGGTTTGGTCAAACACCAAAATAGATGTTGCTGGAAAGGTATTTTTTAGATGTGATTAACATTTAACTCAGTAGACTTTGAGTAAAGCAGATGGCCCTCCGTAATGTGAGTGGGCTTCATCCAATCAATTGAAGACTTTAAGAACAAAGACTGAGGTTTCCGAAAGAAGGAATTCTCCTCAAAGTTGCAACATAGAAACCCTGCTTGAATTTCCAGCCTGCTGCTCTATGGAATTCAGACTCAAGATTGCAATATTGACTTTTACCTTAATTTTCCAGCCTGCTAGGCTGCCCTATGGATTTCCGACCTGCCAACACACACAATCCCATAAGCCAATTTCATAAAATATATGTCTACTTTCCTTCTTCTCCTCCTCCCTGTACGTTCTTCTTTCTCTTTCATCCATTCATATATATATATTTTATATATATATATTTTATATATATTTTATATATATACATGTTATATATATATTTTATATATATACTTTATATATATATTTTATATATATACTTTATATATATATTTTATATATATACTTTATATATATATTTTATATATATATATATATATATATATATATATATATATATATATATGGAGAACTGTGACCCCCGACTATACAGGGGTAAATGGCTTCATGTTTTCAACTTACTCTCAAATATTAACTCTAGGGGAATCTGGGTAATGGGAATTCTTTGTACAATTCTTGCAGTGTTTCTGTAATTCTGTAATTCTGAAATTATGTCAAATTAATTATGTCAAATTAAAATTATGTCAAATTATGTCAAAATAAAAAGTTAACAGCAACATTTATTTGAAAGCCAGTTTGGAACATAGCTTTTCTCTTATATATAAGCATATAAACTTGGCTACATTCCTGAGGTAGCTGACAAAGTCCAATTTAACACATAATGTAGCTGAAATACTGTGCCCTCCCACAGGGATTAAATAGGAAGAAAGCAAGACCGTTTTAACGGTGATTCAACCAGAAGGGAAAACACTGAGATTGAGTAACAAATTTTAATTCATCTTTACTTGGGTGGAAAAACGATTGCACAGTTTAATATTCAACTGCCAATGTGGAAAATGGGGGAAAAAAACAACAGCTGGTGGGTTGAGGAAAGAATGGTTGATAAAGAAGAAACAAGTGCTTGGGTGTACCTAGAGAGGAAGGGAGGAGAGTTTTAAGGGAGGTTTTGTTTGATTTGGTTTGATCTGAAGAAATTTGAGCATATTTATACACAGAGGATGGAGCTAGGGTTGAGTGAATAGTTGAAATAATATCAGAGAGAAACAAATGGGATCTTAAGCAAGCAGTGTTTTTTAAAATTTTATATACCATCAATTTGTTTTAATAGTAAAACTGGAGGACCAATATAAAGTTGTTGACTTTTATATTTGCCAAGTGAAGACTTTAAACACACACACACACAGCCACCCAAACAATGACTATCCACTATTACCATAATTTCATAAAGGGTAAACACTAATACATAAAGGCAAAATGTAAACACTTACTAGATTTAGCATGGTGTTCTTATTTCACTGAGGACTGTTTTATGGACTCTGGCTTTTTAAGTTAGTCTTGGCTGAGCATCTATAAGCACCTGTGTCTATCCTGGTAACCTGTGTGAAGCCTGCTGAAGAGGGATGTTCTCAAACACACACTTTGGATGGTGGTACATCCTCATCTCCTCCATTGTGGCTTTGGTTCTTCCGAGGGCTTGCTTCCCCTTACCTCCATAGGTGATCCAGGTAAGCCCTGACCTTGGCTCTAGGTTCCGGTTCCTCCTCCTCCAAGGGCAACCTTACAAGTGGAACTGTGGCACTCACCTCCACTGGCTTTACTGAAATTGCATGTTTATCTTCGAAGTTTTTGAATACTTTTTATCACCAATTCTGCCCTTTGTTAATGTTCAAACCCACTTATCTCTTTCTGGTTAGTGGAGCTTTACTTGTGTTTTCGCCTTGCTCATCACCTCACCATTGCTTCTCATAGAATTTTTTGGCTGGAGAAATGTATTAGCACTTGTTTCTGTTTCTCTAATTCATGTTAGATGCCTCTTACCTTAACAGGGAACAGCTGGTTTGGCTACACACCTTACTGGTGAGATTAGTGCCATTCCCCTGTGCTTTGTTTAGGACCTTTCCTGATCCACAACCTTTAGGGTAAAACTCCAAGGCAATTCATGTCCTCTTACCTGTAAATGAAAAGCATGAGATCAATTAGAAAGTGTTTGCTTTGGGTCAGACAGACTGTGTGTGTTGTGTGCTTTGTCCTCTGTCCTTTTTAGCAATGTGACTTCACACAAGTTTCTTAAACTCGCTAAGTCGTCTTTCTCATTTGTAACATAGAGAAAATAAGAATCTCAAAAGGCTTTTCCAGGGATCAAATGAGAGAAATATGTAAGGAGCTTTGACATGTGCTGGCACATGGCAGGGCTCAAGAAATAGTGCCTGCTGTTATAACCCTCCTTTCTTCCTAGCACTTTCTAGAACTATGCTGTCAAACATGCTAACTACTAGTGTCACTGAAACACCAGGGGTTCGGTCTAGGTCCTGCTGCTTGCTGCACGGAAAGGCAATGACTGAGACAATGAGTATTGCCAAGGAAAAAGGCTTTAATTGGGAGCTGCACCCAAGGAGATGGGGGTTCAGTCTCAAATTCATCTCTCTTACTGATTAAAATTAGGGGTTTATATAGCAGGGAAGACATGTTACTATGTCTGAGAAAACAGGAACTCGAGAGGCGTAAGGAAGCAATCATGATGAATGAGGGGCCTGGCGTTTCATTGTGTGGATGCAATGACGTGGTTTCAGTTCTTTGATACTTCGTGAGAGGCCTGGGGATCCTTTCCTGAGGAAGGAACTCAGATACAAACAAGGGTCAATTTCTATGTTTATCCAAAAACAACTGTCTATGGGACTGTTAGTCGGTGTCACTAGCTAGTGGAGATGGTTGCCACAAATTCCACCTGTAGTTGCTCTTGGGAGGAGGAGGAACCAAAGCCTGGAGCCAGGTCAGGGCTGACCTGAATCACCTATACAGACAAGGGGAAAAGAACTCTCGGAAGAACCAATGTCATGATGGAGGAGATGGGGATGTACAACCATCCGAAACAACTTACAGCTCTAAGTTTCAAGCTTTAAGACTAGAAGGGCCAATTTCTACATTTATCCAAAAACAACTGTCTATGGGACTATTAGGTCATTTCACTAGCC
Organism: Homo sapiens; assembly: GCF_000001405.40. NCBI lineage: Eukaryota > Metazoa > Chordata > Mammalia > Primates > Hominidae > Homo > Homo sapiens. Next base: position 93,911,645 of record NC_000010.11, on the reverse strand, counting down.
ACATGTACCCACTGAGCATCTGAAATATGGCTGGTCTCAGTTGATATGTGCAGTAACTATAAAACACACATTAGATTTTGAGGCATGGTATGATGGAAAGAATGTATCTCACTAATAATTTTTTATATTGATAACATGTTGAAACAGTAATATTTTGGATGTATTGGGTTAAATAAAATATATTATTAAAATCAATTTCACTTGTCTGTTTACATTATTTAATATGGCTTCCAGAAAACTAAAAATTATATGTGTAGCCTGCAGTGTAATTCTACTGGACGGTGTTATTTTAGAATCCTGATTTTTGTCTGTGAAATAGGTTGACAAATTGATGTATGGGATCTTTCTTCAGAGATCACTCCTGGATATGACCCCATCGTCCACCTGACATCCCTGCAGAGGATGGCATGTTGACTTTATGACTTCTTTGGCCTTAAACATCTGCTTTGTACTGTTTCTTGCTTTTCTCATGCACTTAGAAGATTAAAGATCTTAATAAGATAGAGAGATGTCATCTGAAAAAGGTTGGCCAGATAGCCCATCATATCCCCAAGGGTCGAGTCATGAAGAGATGGGAAATCTGCTTGTTAGCATATAGGTGGCAAATATTGGGTATTAATTAAGATTAATAATTAATACTTGCATTTGGGTACAAGTAAGAGAAACACTGTTTTTTGGGGGGTTTTTTTTGTTTTGTTTTGTTTGTTTGAGACAGAGTCTGGCTCTGTCACCCAGGCTGGAATGCAGTGGTGCCATCTTGGCTCACTGCAACCTCTGCCTCCTGAGTTCAAGCGAGTCTCCTGCCTCAGCTTCTCGAATAGCTGGGACTACAAGGTATGACCACAATGCCCGGCTAATTTTTTGTCTTTTTAGTAGAGACGGGGTTTTGCTATGTTGCCCAAGCTGGTCTCCTAAGCTCAGGCAATCAGCCTGCCTTCGCCTCCCAAAGTGCTAGGATTACAGGCGTGAGCCACTGCGCCCGGCCCAGAAACAAATTCTAACTTAATCACAAGTAGGGAACTAATTGGAAGGATAGTGGGGATCTCACAGACTTGATGGAAGAGCTGGACAACTGGGCATCAGGAGGGACAGGACCCAGTCTGTCTACAGGATTTCTACAGCCGGCACCCACGGCCCTTCTCTCTGGGCACTGCCACTGGACAGCTCCTTCTGCGCTTGAGACCCTGCTCATGATTCAAATTACAGAGAGAGATAAACCTGACTTGGCTGAGCTCAGGTCATGGGCCTGCCCACTTCCTAGGCCATTGGGGGTAGGATTCTGAATTGCCAGCTCCACCAAAACTAGAGACTTAGATTTCAGCAGTTCCCCAAAGGAAGGGGGTTATGGCAGAAACAATGCTTTAGGTTCACCAAATTCTGTTGCTATTGTTCTTTTCCTCTTCCTGAGCACAAAGGAAGACTTATTTCCTACCCTCCTTTTAAGTTAGGTTACAGCCAATGGCATTTGGGTAGAAACGATGTTCTCCGTCAAGACTGTTGATGTAAAATGTTGGTAAACTTGGAGGCTACCTGTATAAGAAGTCAGGATCATCAGGGGGAAGGAGCCTGGAGCCTAATCACCACTCAAAGGAGAGATACTGTAGAGACCTTGCAACTTACATCAGACTGTGAGGGAATCGAGATATAAAACTTTATTTTTTAAGACTCTTGAGATTTGGGGTGTTGTCTGTTATAGCAGCCAGCATAATTACTCTAATACAGGGATATTATTTTAGAAGAAAGGGGATGAGGGAAGCTGGGAATACATTCTATCTCTCTAGGAAGAGCAACAATAACCAAAAACATAGAGTCTTATTTGTGAAACGATACAAATTTTATTAATATACAACGGGAAATTTGACAGTTTAGGGAATCAGGTACTCAATCTTTTGATTCTCTTCTGCACTTATGGTATATGAGAAGCCAGATTATAATCACATAGTTATTTGATAACACAAATATACAAAGAACAAGGAGTGCTGATTTTGTAATGCAGTGTTCAGGGACATGAAGACTTGACTGTGTACTCATTGGGCCATGTTTCTTAAAATGAAGTTCAAGAGTCCCTCAAACCAGAGGTACATAAAGCCCAGGATAAATATGACACATCTGCCTAGGGTACCAAAGATTTGGGGAATAAAAAGCTAAATAACTGAATTGGTAATTTAAAAAAAAAAATTTACACTAAAACACACAGATATATTATTAATTAGGATGCAAAAAATTGCATGGATTTTTTTTTTTTAAAGCATGAAGCCTCCAAGAGGATTTGAGCTTGAAGTGGGCAGCTTTAGGCTTAGGGTAAGCAGAATAGTGGAGTCAGGAGCACAGGCTTGTAGTTGGACAGACCAGGGTTTTGAGAATAAGACTCTTGACACTTATTAGCTATGTGATCTTCGAAAAGTCATGTAACTTGTCCAAGCTCTATAACCTCATCAATATAATGAAAATAAACAGGCTTGTTGCAGGGACTGAAGGAGCCAGACCACAAAACTAGCTAGGACAGACACCTGAAGGATACAGTAAAGTATGGTGGTTAGTGTAGCTGTGATGGTAGCTATGCCTCCAGATTCTTCTCAGCTATTAGGGGTGCTTTGGGGAGAAAAGCTGGGAAGTCACTATCTTGGTGTATCTCATCTCTACAATGGAGCAAGCCTGCCAGAGTCACTCTCCTGTCCTTTCTCCTGAGCCTGGCCACCTTTCTTCTGATTGGCACACTGCACCTGTAGAAACAGTCTGGGGAAGTTACGGCTGAATGTGGCTGGCCCAGGGTTCACTTCTGTATATTCAGATGACTGTGTATAGCTCCATTCTTTCCTGCTTGGAGGCCGTAGGAAGCCAGCTCATGCCTAGGCTCTTGGGCAACATCTTGCTGTAGCCCACGCAAACTGATTATATAGTCCATATATGTCATGTTTGCTTCCAGTTATGACCAATGTGAGGGCTTGACAATATTTGGTGTTTCCTTGCATTGGCTAGGATTGTTTATGGCTACTGCCCAACAAATGTTAATTAGTAGATCGGAAGAAATAAAACTGAAATATATGCAGTGTTGTCATCACCTTCTATTCTTTCGCTTCTAGCTCTTGCTCTAGGAGGGGAAGGAGGAAGGAGGACATATGTATCCCTAAATCCCAAAGTCAAAAACCAACTCTTTCTCCACCACAGTGACAAATGACTCCCTGTTCTGCATTCTACCACCCTCAATTATGGAGGCAGCATGAAGTATTGGAAAGGGCAAGGTCTTTGGAGTCAGGCAGACCTCATGGCCCAACCTCATCATTTACTAGTGAGGGGACTAGAATTTAGCAGGTAGGTAACCCCATTCAACCTCTTTGAACTTCAGTTCCCAATCAGTCTATCTCCCAAGGTTGGTGAGGGAATGAGACAAAGATTAAGAAGCTCTTGGCTGGGATGAGGTTTATTCAATAAATGTTAGTGTCCTTTCCAAGTAAAAATTGTTTTGGTGCCATAGGAAAGCAGACATCTGAATCAGGGCCACACAACGCTTTCTAGGATCTTGGAGGATATAGTCCTATTAAAAAGGTGAACTTCAGTTTCATCTTTATATTCCCTTCAATCATGGAGATGTGGGAATTTAAGTATGGTCTGCAGACTCTATGAGGCAAAAGAGGAGGGAGCAAAAGGAAGTCCGTAAGGTGAGTCAGGGTGACAGCCCAGATTAAAGCAGTAAACATCTCTCTATGCATGTATGTATGTATGACATAATGTATATATGTAGCTCCCTATGTCTTTTACTCCTTTTCTTTCTCCTTTCTTTTCCATCAAGTCACCTTTTTATTTTTGTTCCACCAATTTTATTTTATTTTATTTTATTTTATTTTATTTTGACTAAGTTATTTACCCACCTGGTTCAAAATTCAAAAGGTGTAAAAGGGGATTCAGTGGAAAGTCTCCTCTCACCTCGCCCTTCAGCTGCCAAAGGCAACCAATGTTAACAGTTTCTTGCATATCCTCCTGGAATATTCTGTTTACCCTCTTTTTATACAAATGAGCACATACTCAACCATGATATGAATTTTGCTTTTTCACTTAACAATTTTGGACATTATTCCACACCCATATATGGAAAGCTTCCTTGCTCTTCTTAAATTTATTTTTAATTGCATTACATTTTATTTTGGGTATATACCATGACTTACTTAACCAGTACTCTATTGAGGGACATTCAGGCTAGTTCCATTTCTTCTTGCTATTACAAATCAGGCTGGAATAAACTTGTACATATCATTTTGCACATAAGTAAATCTGATAGATGGTGCCAAATTGCCCTTCCTAGAAGTTGTACCAATGCACACATGCTGCAAAGTACCAAAGACTTCTGACTTTTCTAAAATGCACATACAAAGGAACTAAAGCACATAAACAGGAAGTGTGTTCATCTGTTGTATCTCGTACTGTCACCCAGGCTGGAGTGCAGTGGCGCGATCGTAGCTCATTGCAGCCTTAAACTCCTGGACTCAAGTGATCTGGCCACCTTGGCCTCCCGAAATGCTGGGATTACAGGTGTGAGCCACTGTGCTGGCCTTGAAAGATAATGTAATTATATGTTAATATAAATAACACTTTAATAAAAAATAACTATTTTCCAAAAAAATTAGTGAGAAGAGTGGCATTGCTTTTTATTTTTGCAAACCTGGCTTGATAGATAATAGCTGTATTCTCCTATCTGCTTCTGCATTCAAGCTGTTGCAATTTCATGTCTAATAGCCTCTGGAAAGCTCCACTGTATACTTATGAAAGAATGATTGTGAAACAGACTAATAACATTCTTAGTATTATTATTAAAATAGTTTTGACATCGCAAACACTTTGAAAGGGTCCTGAGGACTCTGAGGTATCCAAACCACACTTTGAAAACAGTTGGTTTAGACCAACTTTATTATATTTTATTATTCTTATCCCCTATATATCTAATTTTTGTGAATTTTATCTGTCACAGGCTAAAAAAACCCCATGAAAATGTCCTACCTTTTGTTGATTTTTGTTCTTTTGAGGTGTTTTGCTTTATGTAATTGTGATTGTGTATAATGTGGTACATACATATCCAAGACAATTTTATCGTTTATATTTTTTTTTTAGTGGCTTAAAACAGTAATAACTGGTTTCTTTTTCTCACAAATCTGCAATTTGAGCAGAGCTCAGGAGGTAGGAGGAGGGCTTGTCTCTGCTCCACACAGCATCAGCTGGGGCAGCTCACCTGAGAGTTGGAGGATCCATTCCCAGTGTGCACACTCACCTGGCTGGCAGGCTCATGCTGGCTATCAGCTGGTAGTGCAGATGGGGCCAAGTGTCAGGGCCTCAGTTCCTCTCCACATGGGCCTCTTCATGTGGGCTTCTCCATGTAGCCCAGGCTTCCTCACAGCAATGTGGCTGATTTCCCAGGGGGAATATCAGAAGAAAGAAAATGTTAGTCCATTCTGAATTATGCTATTGCTTTGAATTCAATTCTAATATTATTGAGCTAGTACCTACTATAATCATAGAAAAAATCAAATATAGTTGTATTATTAGTTTCTCTCTTTCTGGTATGTTCTTGGCACATACAGCTTAATCTTAAATCATGGTCAAGTATACTTGGAACAGCGGTAAGAACAGCCAGGTTCTTATAACCTCAGATACAGGCCTTCTGGTTAGTAATGCACTCCTCTGGCCTGGCCTTTCCATGTACTTCTGCTGCACCATGGAGCTCCCAACCCTGGCATGGTACTTTCATGCTGCACCATTCACCTGAACACATTTCCTCCTGCCCAAGTCTACTTCTGCTCAACTATGGTTTTATACTTTCCTGACCCCACCCTGGCAACTAATCATGAATCTAGGTTACTTCCTTTGCTTCATCAGGCTTACTGGTATTAATCTCACATGGTTTCTAGAATCATGAAAGTTTAGTGGAAGAGACCCAGGCTCTTTCTCTAGTAATGACATTTCCTGAGCCCAGTGGAACGTTTTCCTGTGTACTGGGCATCTCTGCTACATTTACTGCCCTCCCTTGATACCAAGTATGTCTTCTCCTTACCCTCTTGCTATAAAGCCCACCCCTGAATTTCCAGGAGATGAGAAGTGCCAAGGTTCATGGGCTGTGAATTGTTTTCCCAGGTCCAGCTCCAAACTTAATGTTCAAAGAGGCTAAACCGTGGATCCATCAATGTGGATCAGAGTCCCTGATAGGTTATCTTGCAGAATTCTAGGTGAATATGGTAGCTGTATTAGATCTGATATAAGGCACCAAACGGGGCATAAAACAGCATGCTTAGGGTAGTGTCCAGGATTCATATATCCAACCTTCACCCATATAACCAAATTCTAATGCCCATTATTGACCATGGATCCATACACACCTAGATCAGAGACCAGGGTGATATCAAGAACATCTGGCTCTCTTCCCACTAGAATGCCCTCAAGAGAGTAAATATGCTTACCGAGTGCAATACGTAAGAGGCTAAAAGAACCATGCTGAGTACACAGTGCATGGGAAACACACATAAATCAGGCCCATTCCCCAGGTCAGAGCCAAGCATAATACCCATATAAGATCAGAGCTAGGGCCAGAACTGGAAAGGTGGTAACACCTGCGCATGAAAGGACTGGTGATCCTTGGCAGCCCTATATGGGAAGATCAGCTAGGAAGTGAAAGCTGGCCAACAGCACAATTCTGTGCTAGCAGGAGGGGGCCGAATGGAGTTTGCATTCTGATAGGCATGTTCCTACGGTTCCTGGTGAGGCTGCTCGGGAGTAAGGACTCTGGTATACGCCTCATTTTGAAGAGGAGAGTGAATACTCAATTCTACAGTCTTAACCACAGTTCAATACTTAATGTTTTCATCCTTCTTAATAGTCTATAAGCCCTTCTATGGCACTCATTTGCAAGAGGGACTGGGCAAGTGAGGAAAACAGGCTCAGGTGCATTAGGTGATTTGTCCAGCTGAAAAGTGATAAAACCACACTAGACCTTCAGATCCCAATCCAGTGCTTTACCCACTCTTCCAAGATGGATTATGTGGGTAGGAGAAGCTAGAGTCCAGAAGAAACAAAAGCCTAAGCTGAGCCATTGGAGGCTAACAGGCCTTAGAGGGTAAATAAGAGAAGGTAAGGACAGGGGGGAAATGCAGAGGAAGGACTCTACTGGCAAACATGGGAGCTAGTGGTAAGACTGATCTGAGTATCCCATTTGTGTTGGGATGTAGAAATCAGGTCGGAGAAGTGGGAGTAGGGCCAGATGAAAATTTGATGTGATATGGTGTGTAATAAGGCATCACTGTGGTTTCATGAGAACTAGAGTAACAGTGAAAACAGGGCTTTAGGAACATTAAGCTGGCACTGAGACAGGAATCAGAGTGGAAGAAAGAGTCTTGAAGCAGGTAACCAGTAAACTGTTGTGGTAATTCAGGTGTAAGGTGCTAAGTCTTGGGCTAAGATGGTGGCAGTGGAAATGGTGAGGAAAGAATAAATCCACAAGACAATAAGAAGACAATAAGAAGAAAGACTCTTCAGGATTTAGTAACGGATTAGCTACAGGAACAAAAAGTACAGAGTTCAAAGCTACTTTAAGTTCTCAGGATCTAGAAGAATGAAGGTCTCACTAACACAGAAGACTAATGCCTTTATTTTGGAGAGATAAACAGATTACACTGTTCATCTGACCCTCTTGATAGTACAAGTGGGTCAGACAGTTTAAACTTTGAGATTATATCCCAGCTGAATGGCTAGAGGTCAATCTCCTACAGAAAATATATTTTGAAGCATAGGGTTGAAAGGGAAATAAGTTATATATTTGCTATAATCATAACAACCAACATATAGCTTTCTTTCATATTATTTTATTAGTACTTATAAAAACAATTTATGAAAATATTTTCCTTTTCAAGATATAGAAACTACGCTCTGCAAAATATACATACCCATAGTTGTTACAATACATATCCTTGTATACACCTTGGACATTGTGTTTAAGAATCACACCCTGTAAGGGCTAGAAGAAACATTTTCTCTAACCTCAGTTATATAGTGTGACATTCAAGTACTTAAACTACATTGTTCAAACAAAACATGTCTCTAGTGTATGGGCCTAAAGGGATTTAACTTTCTAGGTGCCACTGATTCTTTCACTGTGCAAGGTAAAGAACTGGAAGAGGGTTCCCTGAGAGTTAATTCACCTTAGGTAGCTCAAGTAGTGGTTTACTGTCCATACTTTATCATGGAACTAAGGAAGGGAGGAAGGCCATGGAAATTCAACTTGGGCAGGTCTCCTCTCTATCATCCCTATCTACGAAGCATGGCCCCTATGTGATGATTTCTGAGACCTCTAGAGTTCTCAAATGCTCCTGATTCTGTAATTATCTAAGATATTTGCAGAATGATGTTTTTGCAAGTCTAAATTCCAATACTGTAAATCAGGTGGAACAGAGATGACTCACCTACATAGACTTCATTTAGGGTTTGTCAGGTGTCAAGGCAATTGATAAAATCAGCAAGCCAAAAATTCCCCCATTGGAACTATTGGAAAAGATTCTTTCTCACTAAGGCACGAACCCCAGAAGCCAAGTTCCTCTTTGCTTTGGAAAAATTATGATGAGAGGGTAGGAAAGAGCCTATAACCTTTCAACTCTGCAGGCTTAAGATAATGACAGATGCTTCATCTGACACAGTAAGAGCTGGAAGCTATTGCAACCTCACCAATAAAGGGCTCATTACAACAAGTAACCATTTATGTATACTCCCTAAGTCCTGACTAACCTCCCAAGCTTTTCTAGATATTAAATTCTCTCTAACTGCAAAGTATTGGTCTGATGAAGTTCCAGGTGTAAAACGTGCTGTTTGAATTCATGGCGTTAGTGTCATGGTGCTGCATCATGGTATGGCACTGACATTTAACATCATGCTGATAAACTAGAATTCATAGTGATTTTATTTCAATGCAGGAAACTATGAAAGTCAATCAAACATGGATTCACAAGTCTTTACATTTAATGTATAACATAAAGCATTATTACACATAATTTCATAACTATAAAAATAAGTTTAATACATTACCATATTTTAAAAAATTACTTTAAAAACATATACTCCAAAGTCTTCTATTTCATTTAGAGAATAATGGAGGTATCTATTAGGGTGAATCATATGAAACGATGGTTTTTCTAAGTTAAAATAGTAAAATCTTGGCAATTACATATGGTTCAACCTAATAAGATCCTGAGAAAATTTTATTTGGCATCACACTATAAATTCAAGGGGAATTTATAGAAAATCACATTTCTAGTGAAGAGAAAACACTTCAGGATGGAAACGTGCACACTGGTCATGCCAAGATTTCTCTTTGTGATTTAGAGATCTGAAATCTTGGAATGTTAAGAAAAATTTAGTGCAGTTTCAAAAAAAAGTGAGGACAATTAAAATTATAGTATGCTAGCTGCAGTTGCTAATGCCACTGAAACAAAACTACTAGCCAAATTTGGCAATTTAAGTGTTTTAGAGGTGACATAATAAAAATTCCAGCATTAAAATGAAAAGGCACAAATATGAGTTACAAGTATGATAATCATTTATAAAATCCTTGAAAATAAGGCCAATTCATTTGTATTATTAACACCATTAAGCAGGCACCTATTCTAAGCTTCAACTTCATCCTCCTAAATAGAATAAGGTTGCAAATGAATTATCAACATAATACTAATTATAGCAGCATTATCAATTGTCTGGAAGGCATAGTTTATAAAGATCATGGTAGTAGAACCAAGTTTCTTAGGCTCTACACTGCTAAAAGAATATCTAAAATAGCCTCCCCACCCATATCCCATCAGTACCAAAAATACATTTTAAAAATTACATAAATATTACTAGCCATAAAATGTTTTGGTTTTTCTTCAAACAATGAGCTCTCCTCTCACCAACTTGACCCCAACAACAACAACAAAAAAAACCAAAACCAAAACCAAAGCTACCAAAAAATTGTTACACCAAACAGACTAGCTATTCTTAACTAAAGACATACTATATTCAAAAATGGTACTTTAGGCAATTTATTAAATACAACCAATGAAGAAAATGCAGATTTTCCAGATGTGTGCGTATGCTGTATGTGAATTAGGTGATGGTGTACTTGAAAAAAATATGTATTTCAGCAATGATGCTTCATTTGGAACTTTGGTACCATTTACGAATGGCCGCTCCAACATTACTGGCTACTACGCAGAGAGCACCACCCACTGTCCACCACGTTGGCACATTATTAAAGAAAATAATCTGAAAGATAAAAGCAAAGACCACATCCATTGTCTTCATTATTGCTACTGGCCCTGCTTTTTCTATTTGAAGTGCTTTTGTGATAAATATCTGACCCCCCAAACCAAAGAGCCCAATGAATATGAGAAATAGCCTGTCCAACCCACAGTAAGGCAGACTCCACTCTCCTAATACAGAGAGGATGATGACACTTTCAACGAGGCCAAGTACTACATAATACCAAATGCTCAGAAAGTAGTCCACAGATTTTCCCATTTTTCTTAGGATAACTAGAGTCGATGCAGCAAATACGGCACTTCCAATTGCTGCGAATGTTCCCTTAAGGTGGCCTGAATAGCTTTCTTCCATCCCCGAAGTGTCGGAACCAAACAAAAATGGTGGTCTCACGATAAGGATCACTCCAGTGATTGTGAACACGGTGAAAAGAGCATCCCAAGGGCTATATTTTTCCTTGAGACATATCCAAGCAAATATGGACGTAAACACTGGACTGCTAAACGTGATAACTGTGGCATCAGCGAGGGACATTGTCTGGTAAGCATAGTATATAAGCATCATGGCGGTAGAACCAAGGACTCCTCTGAGAATGAGGAAAATTCGTTGACCTTTTGGGCCTATAAACCCAGTTCTGTAAATTCAAATGAAGAAATGCATATTAAATGAAATTAATATTTGTTTTTAAATTACAATTTGTAATTAAACATTATTTTAAAAGTACTAAATATCAAAAAATGAGGGAATAGTAAATTAATTATAATATCCACAAATGAATATTATATACTTTTTAAAAATAGTATTTTCTAAGTATAGTTAATGACAGTAAAGTGTTCACAGTAAAAGCAAAACCAGTGCAAGTGAATTACATGCATAGTAAAATTATAATTCAATTAATATAGATATTTATCCCACGTATATGTATATATATGCTTGCAAAAAGGACAAAAAGGAAAATAAACTAAATGTTAATCATGTTTATATCTTAATAGATAAACTCATAGGTAATTTTCTTTCTTTATATTTATTTTCTCCAAATTTTCTATAAACATATCACTTTTATGATAAATACAATGTCAAGATTCAGCTGCCCTGTGTAAGGAAACTTAGACCCAGCTAATGCTCATTCTCAATCTCATGAATTTTTCTATAAAACTTGAAACTGCTAAAATTTATTTTAGTCATTGAATATGAGACAAGTTTTCATTGTTCTCATGAGGAAAGAGTCAAAACACACTGAAAAAGAACATGTAGTGTTTGGAAAAGTATGATTACTGCTATTCAAATTCTTTTTCAATAAATATTTACTAAGTACCCACTCTGTGTAGGTTCCTGGCTAGGTGCAACTTGCTGACGTGTGCCAGGGCTAGACTTCATTAGATTATCATCTAGGCTACCCCGGGTATCTTGGAGTTAAAATGAAAGCACGGTCACATTTGGCCCATACTTTGAGAAGCAAAGAGTCTTCCATGATAATAAAACATAAAATGGGTCAAAACAGATGAGGACCAAGGATTTTAACAACATTCTTCCAGTGTCCTTCCCCTGACAATATCTTTATTTCAAAATGGGGGAGATGATTATGTTAGCATCGGTGTTCTGCTGCTACCCTTAGAAATTTCTAAAGCCCTACCATCATTTCTTAAAATAGTGTGACTTGTCCGCATTGACAGAAATTTGCAGGTATTAGCAGGTTTTCACTTTTCCCACCAAATCATCAGGATATGGAGTGAAACTATTCTAAGTGAATCCGCACCATGTTAGAGATACAAGGAGACTTTGGTGACAAGTGACTAAAGCTTTTCATTTGGGGTGTAGCCTTTTTTGCCCAAAGAGACAAAGAGCCAGGCAGCCACCAAGGACCCAACTGGTCTCGCTCTCAGGGTTCTAAATACACTGAGGTATATGGAGGTTACAATGGTTGAAGGAGGCATAATTTTAACCCAGGGAGGGTAGGGAGTTCAACAGGGAAGGAAAAGAGGAATTGGGTTGGGAGAGAACAGAGAGGGCGGAATAGAGACAATTTTCATATACTGTTACACTCTACACAAGGCACTCCACCCTATAATAAATCTTATTTGACCCTTGGAATCACCTTGTAGGGCAGAAGTCACACAGTATCATTCCCTCTAGTTTACAAAAGAGGAAACTAAATACGAAAGTAACCTTGCTCAGGGTTACCCCATCACCTTTTGAGGAATACCTAAATATTATTACTATAATCTTCTATTTGCCCTGGTAAGAAAGCAGCCCATTCTAAAAAAACTTCTGATACTAGGATACACTATTACTTCTTTTCATTCATTTTTTTAACTTCCAAACAGTAGTTATGCCAAAGGAAAGAAGGGAGGGTGATACAAGACAAGAGGAATTATACAAAGAAAGCTCTGTTTTCAAAAGGGGAGGTGGTGAAAAACAAAATTTCTTTCTCCCCACTTTGTTGGGTATGTGGTTTATGCTCATGGTAGAATCTTCTGTGGGTAGATGCTTATGACTTTTCATTAAGCAGAGCCAAGGGGCATAGGAACTGGTAAGTATATGAGATGGATAAAGCAGATAGAGTAATTATAGGCAGGTGAAAAGATATACACACATTTATTAATATCTTCTACTTTGCAGTTAAAAAATACTTACTTTCTGTATATTAAGCAAGGGATAACAACTAGCATTTGGAACACACATCGAAACGCACTAATCTCTACAGCATGGACGTCTTGCACTTTTTTAACAAATAAAGAGCCCACTGAGAAAAGGAAGGCAGACAATAATGTGTAAAACAAGCCAAGTCCAGGACAGGGTGCTTTCTTCTTGGCTTCTGAAAAAGATTAAATTCTGGTTAGTCCTTGCTTCCAAGTGTATGTGTTATCATTTTCACTTAGAAACTGAGAAAAATGGAACAGTGTCAAAGGTCAACAGGCTTTATTACCTCCTAAGCATATCATTTCTCTGGGCCTGTACCATTTTCCCCATCAATTATGAAGAACCATAGATGAGGATAACAATTTAAACCTGCATTTTTAAAATGCCGTTTCGCCCTATCAAATGGATTTCCTATGGCTCACTGAAGAATCATCCTCACTTACAAGTCAAGAAGTAGAACGCTTGCCAAGATGGTGAGAGAAATCTTTAAGAAACACTTGTCAAGATGGCAAGTAAAAAATCCTTCCAAGTGATATCTTACGCCACACCTCACTGGCGAAATTGGCTTTATGAAGAAAGTGTTCTTTTCTGGAAAATGGGTTATAATTGGGTTATACAGTTATCTGTTGATTATTTGACTTCCTCCCACAAGTCTGTGAGCTCTTCCAGGGCTGGGATCTTGCTGTCTTGTACATGCCTGGCACATGGAAGACACTGGATAAATATTCAGTGAATGAAAGATGAGAGAACTTCAGGGAAAGACTCAAGAGTCTAACACTATCGGCAACAGCATAATCTGGGAAGGTTCTCCATTTTGTTATTTTGAACTGTTAATCAAATCTATATTTAACTTTTCATGCTTTCACGACTTATCTTCCCATTCAGAGCACAAACTCCTCAAGGGGAGGGTGTGGGTTATCTAGCCCTTTGGATCCCAAGTGCTTTGTACAGAACTGCCATCTAATCCCTACTCTTGGCTCGATCTGAACGAGGAAACCAGTGCTTTCTCCAGGGCATCAAGTATTCAGTCATTAATGACAATCTGTGTGAGCTTTAAACTTGTTTAGCCACTTACTATGTCTTAGTTTCCTACACAGGAGTAGAACCTGCTTTCAGTCTTACTCCTCTGTCATTCAGAGAGCAAAAGCAGCAGGGTGGGCAGAGAATGCCCTAAAACAAAGGTCACACACTGCGGGATATATTCTTTTTTGAAATTAACACAAAAACAGGGTTGAGGGTAAGAAGGAAACACAAGTGGCCCTCATTGATTAAGAGCACAGTGGAACTGAAGGGTGAGTGGATATGAGCAACTTGTAGGAAAACTCGTATTATCATTCCAATCTAGGACTTTATAATGTGATAGCTATAAAACAGTATTGTGTAATGTTTTTTAAAATGCCCTTCTCTGATAAATGTAAACACCAGGTAACACATTTACACATCCTCAGGTTAGTGAGATGACTTTGCAAACTGGGACCAAAGTATGCTGATGCACAGGCTTTCTGGGGCATTCTACAGCCTGGCCTTGTGGTCAAAGGCACCCTTCTCTACCTCTTCCTGTTCTAGGTGCACAGCTGAAGATACTGCTTTGGAACTAGCAGTAGTCCTTCCCTTAAGATGCCAGAATCCTCATTCTGTTCTGTATCCATGTGCTTGTATACTGCAGAAATAAACTGCACACACGCAGCCCACGAGAAGGAAGCTTTAGAAGACTTCCAAGTGAAGCACCACAAAATACATGCCTTGGCTGTGGTCAGCCTTAGGGTCTGGCCTCTGAAATTTCAGAATTCAGTTCCAAATAAAACAGTTTTTCTTAAAAGAAACTCAACCCCTACATAGAAACTCCACCCTCAAACAGAACAGACCGAGAAGATCAAGGACAGAAAACATCTCCCTGCTCTGTTTCAAGTATCTTCTCCAACATAAACTTGCTAATTTTTCCCCAGGAATATTTTAACTTAACATTAAATATTTTAACTCTTTAAAAATGTAATTGCACCCCCTTGGCCCTAGTGACCTTTCCCCTTAAAACACATACACATGTATTTTCTTGCCTATAAACACTTAAGGCTCATGCTTTCCAACTGGGAAGGGACAGACATTAGAAGGCCTCGCTGCATTTGATGATTTGTTAACGAGGGTGAGGACTGGCTCCACTCAGACAAACCTCAGTTTCTTACTAAATCATTTCAATCCTGTCAATGGAGATGAGCATGACTAGCATAACTGAAAGAGGCATTTGTTTAGGTTCCATGTTCATATCTCACTGCAAGCATATCTAATAATTTGGTAACTCAAATTATTCAAATTAGGTAAGTGGCCATGGTGTAATTTCCTCACTTAGAAGAAAACTGAAAAATTACTCAGCTTCTCTATCCTCTGCTTTCAGCTGGTGATTCGCAATCCTGGTTGGGAATTAGAATCACCTGAGTAACACTTAAAACTTTAATTCCTGGGTGCAGTGGCTCATGCCTGTAATCCCAGCACCTTGGGAGGACAAGGTGGGAGGATCTCTTGAGCTCAAAAGTTTGAGACCACCCTGGGCAACACGGGGAAACCCCCTCATCAATGCAAAAAATATTTTTAAATTAGTCGGGTGTGGTGGTGTGTGCCTGTGGTCCCAGCTACTCAGGAGACTTAGATGAAAGGATCGAGTAAGCCCAGGAGGTTGAGGTCGCCGTGAGCTGTGATCACGCCAATGCACCACAGCCTTGGTGACAGAGTAAGACCCTATCTCCAAAAAAAAAAAAAATTAATTCTCAAGCCCCATCTCAGACCCACCGAAATAGAATCTCTGTAACTCTAAAAGGCTCCACTAGTTTGAGAACCACTGCTACACTCGATCACTAACTCCCTCCAGAGGATGTGAGGCACAGGCCTAAGAAACTACTTCTCCTTGCTTCAGTGTAAGACCCACACTGTCCCTGAAGAAAGTAAGGAGATGTCTTGGGACAGCTGTATGTGTCTGTTAAGGTCATCCAAGAATGTAAGACATATGGGTAACAGTTCCAACCAGAACTTGAAAAAAGCTTTGTTGAGATAAGCAGTTAGAACAAGAGGTGTCACAAAGTTCAATGACAACAGTAAAGTGTTTTTATGTCAATTTTCTTTCCAAAATATTATCTTGTCACCTTACAATAACTAAGTCTTACTGGTAGAAACTTTCTTTGAAGTTAAACACCCACAAGATTCTTAGATACACTCACGTAAGTTTCTCATCTTGCCATGAGCTGCCTGGGAGTAGAGAATTCCTCTTCCATTCACAAAAAGGGGAAACTTTAAGAGTTTGCATGGACTGATTCGGCATGCCACCAGAAGGACATTCACCCAGAGGGTGATAGGTGAGAAACTGACCTTTTCAAAGGCTGCTTATCTGTTCAATTCAGCCTGGCATAACCCCTGTTCTAGAGGCACCAGCCCATTTATAAATGATCACAAGTCTGATCATTTCGGTTTGCCTTTAGGACAGAAATGGAGCAAGAATAGTCTTCCTAGAGTCTGTCTCTCTAACTTGGGGAAAGTGCACAAAGGGAGGAGGGGAAAGCGCAGTGAGAGGAGAGGAACAGAAATCCAGGGTCACACTTAGGGGAGGTGACCCAGAGGACAAGGTGGTGCAGGCCGTGTAACTGTCCTAAAAAGAGATCTGCCTATTCCCTTCTTCTTGCAGGAAGCTGCTCCTGGTAGATGGTCGACTTCTAAGAGGAATGTGCTTGAAGCAGCACTTGTGGCCAGTGGAAAGGGCCCTAGGCCGGTATATGGCAAGCTGGGATCCTAACCCTGGTGCTCCCTGGACATGCGCCCCATCTC
Organism: Homo sapiens; assembly: GCF_000001405.40. NCBI lineage: Eukaryota > Metazoa > Chordata > Mammalia > Primates > Hominidae > Homo > Homo sapiens. Next base: position 93,894,938 of record NC_000010.11, on the reverse strand, counting down.
ACCCCCACGTTCCACATCTTGGAGGAGACAAAGCAAACGAAAACCCAAAAGCCCTCACCTTCCTGGGCCTCACTTTGCTCATGTGTCGAAGGAGGGGGACTGAACATAAAGTGTTCTTCACGAGGGGTCCCTGACTTTGGGGACGGGGCTGTGAGCTTCTTAACAAGATATGCCTTGTTCTGCATCGTTTGCTAAAAAGTCCTTGTATCCCTAAAGGTTAAAAACTAGCGGTCCCACTTATCTCTGCCTTTCCAAGATTCTAAAACTCTAGGACGAACATTTTTTCTAGACTCGATGCTTTTCAGCTTCCTTTTCGGAGAGAACCCTTAACCACCGGGATCACTTTTCAGGGTCAGCTTCCTCGCAACGTCGCCCCACTGCAGGATGGCCTCTCTCGCTGACCCCCCACCTACGACCTAGGGGAGGGTACGCCAAACTGCAGTCTGACTCCACAGCCCTGCCCCGACACTAATTACAGGAGCAGCCTCGGAATCCCAAAAGGACTGCTAACAATCGGAAAGTTTCTTCCGTCTTAGCGCCGGCTGGGGCGCCGGGAATTCCGCTTTGCAGCCCCCCAGCTGACAGCTCGAGGGGTTTCCCGAGCCCCGGGCAGGGTGGGGACGGAGGCGCGGCGGGCACTGTGCCCGGGTTGCGGGGACCCCAACCCGCCGGCGCCCGCTCGGGACCCCCGAGCGAGACCAGAGCCCGATCCACACCGCGCACTCACCCGGCTCGGTGCGGGAGCAACACGGCGAGGAAAGGCAGAGCCAGCACCTACCGCGGTCTGGCGCCCCAGCTGCCTCGGCGGCCGCCGGCTCCTCAGTGGCGCCCGGGGGTGCATCGTCCGTTAGCGGCAGCCCGGGCTCCTGGAGCTCCGCGACCCCGGTGCTGTCCTGAGGCCGCATCTCGCGGCACGCGCTCTACCAGCGGCCGGTGCCGTCTGGCGCCAGCAGCAGCGCCTGGGCTGCCGCTCTTCCGGCGGGCGATGGCGCCCATGCGCATGCGCGCCCGGCCCACCCGCACCCTCCCCCAAGGAGACCGCGCGCGTCCTCCGCTGGCCTCTTAACCTGGGGAGACCCGCTGCCTCCCTGGTCGGGCTGTGGTGCCCACAGCTGGCTCTAAGGCGTCCAACCCTCTGCTGCGTTCAGGCTACATGGCCCAGCTGCTTGGAGCCATCCTTGGCAAGTCACACTGAACCTGTCTGTCATGGCACAGACAAGGAGGGGCGCTGGGTTCCCAAGCCCTGGCGCCCGGGGGTCCTGTGGCCTCCTTTTCAGGAGGCTCAAAGAGTGGGCGTTTTTTCATTGATGTAACCACGCATTCAGCACCTCTGTGATACCCCGAAGATTTTACAAAGCACCATGCTTGTCTTTAAATGGTCTAGGGTTTTTATGTTTTGTTTTGTTTTGTTTTGTTTTGTTTTGTTTCCCGTGTTGTCCCTTTGCTGCTTACCAAGGAGGGTAGAATTTTGCTGTTTTGGGAAATATTTTTAAGAAAGAATTAGTGTGTAATTATAGGAAAATATATCTATAAGACTGACCAGAACCCATTTATATGTTCTTTGCATTCTTTGCAAGAGTAGGCATGCATTATTGATCTTTGGTTTTCTTTTCTTAAATGGAAATATCCTAATTTGGCCAGATGTAAGATTCAAGTAATCTGATGTAATTAGACCTGGTAAAATATATTCTTTGGCCCAGGATTCACTAACAGCCTCTTTTTGTTTAGCTAATAATTCTTCTTCCATCTCTTTGCTTGCTTTATATGTGGAAGAACAGTCTCTGTGCAAGGATGAACGTATCTAAACTTCTAAGTCCAGTGCCAAGCAGATCACCAAAGGAGAGTGAAGTTTGCCTTTACTCAGACATTTGCACATAGTGATCCACAGCTGAAACAGTTTTAGACTTGAAGTCAGGAATCCTAGGTTCTGGCCCTGAGTGTGTGACCTCAGTCACCACTGTACCCCTCGAAGCCTTGATTACCTCCTTTATTTAATAGCGATCAAGTATTTCCCTTCCTGCTTCGCAGAGTAGTTATGTAAATAAAATGCAATGATGTGGGCAAAAGCATAATATCACCTGGAAAACACTATGTTAGAAAATCAAAGTGTGTTTTAAACTAGGGTCAGCATATAATTTATCCTCCAAACTGGACCTTTTTTTTTTTAAGAGTAAAAGGAGGAGCTCTTTTAAAAGTTACACAAGGGAATAGGCATAAACTGGGACTGTCCTAGGCAAACTGAGACAAATGGTCACCTGAATTCTAACTTGATTAACACATACTTTTGCCTTGTCTTAAAAGAGAATTTAAGGCTGGGCACGGTGGCTCAGCCTACCATCCTAGCACTTCGGGAGGCTGAGGTGGGAGGATTGCTTGAGCTTAGGAGTTTGAGACCAGCCTGGGCAACATAGACCTTGTCTCTATAAAAAAAATAATAATACTTTTAAAAGAATTTAAGGCTACTTACAAAAATATCTGTAACAGGTTTTGTTGTCGTTGTTTTAGATAGGGAAATTTCAGGGAAGGATGGTAAGGGTGGTAGATCATGATTATAAAGCAAGAACCAGGAAGCTTCCTCAAATATCTGGGAAGTCAAGTGCAGTTTCACAATTGCATTCTAAGATTTCGATATGGAAAGGGTTTGAAGAGTCCCCTCCTCTTAAATGGTGAAGATTATGGCTAGGAAGTGTGGTAAAGAAGAAAGAAGTGTGATGATTTGAGAAGGAAGTACCCTGACTGCTCCACTTTCAACACTTTCAACACCATCCTCGAAAAGGGAGAAGAAGAAGAGAAGAAAATGGGTACTACACCAGTTATTAAAGGTGGTGAGATGATTTCATACCTGCTGTTTATTCCCTTTAACTTCCTTCCCCTCCACTGCTGACCTTCATATATAAATGGTATCAGTTATATTCATTCTCCCATTTAGCTGACAGCCATGCTGACATAAAAGGCAACCAATGAGAAAAGTGCGGACCAAGCTGGCCTGTAATCCCAGCACTTTGGGAGGCCGAGGAGGGCAGATCACTTGAGGTCAGGAGTTCGAGACCAGCCTGGCCAACATGGTGAGACCCCGTCTCTACTAAAAATACAAAAATTAGCCAGGTGTAATGGCGGGTGCCTATAATCCCAGCTGCTCAGGAGGCTGAGGCAGGAGAATCACTTGAACCCAGGAGGCGGAGGTTGCGGTGAGCCGAGATCACGCTGCTGCACTATATCCTGGGCAACATGAGCGAGACTGTCTCAAAAAAAAAAAAAAAAAAAAAAAAAAAGTGCGGACCAGACTAGAAGTCAGAAGACATGGCTGTCCTGAAGCTCCACCCAGTAGAGGTGTGGGGCTGTTAAGGTCTCTCCTGAACATTGTTATTTCAGGTCTTTGGTGATGATAGTGATATTGAGCTGGTGACAGATAGATCTCCATAATGTGCAGGATGGGCCAGAAATCCCGACTGTAGAGGAGACTAGTTCAGAGCCTATTGAAGTGACCCAGATGAGATTCTGACCCCAGGTAGAGAAGGCAAGGAGGAAAGATGGATTTTGAGGTGGCTAGGAGATGGAATGTGCAGAACTCGTTGACTAGATGTGAAAGAGCATTGTTTCTGTATGCAAAATTGTGCTGTGTTCCAGCACACACTCTTCTGCTTCTGAAGTGATTCAATCTTCCAGTGAGAACAGGAGCTCTCACTGTGATGCCAGGTAGCCACAGCAAGGATGGCACTCCCATAGTTCTGGTGTCAAGAAGGAAGATGAAAATGGAGAAGAGGTGGGTTTTAACCTGTCCCTGCTAACCACTGAAAGTCCAAGATCCTCACCATCCATGTGGCAGCAGGTGGAGACTTCCAGGAGGAGTCAGATTCCTGGTTTCCACTGGTCTTTGCATGTCAGGGATGTTCCTAAGTGAGACGTTTGTATGTCAGAAACTGTCTTTCATAACAAACTGGTACCTTGGTACTGATTTGAAGGACTGCTTTTTTTTTTCCAAAAAATTCATGGATTCTTACCTTTTAAACTAATGCAACTTATGACTTGGGAAATGGCAGTTTGTTCCAAACAGCCCTAATGTTTTGTTTTGGGAAAAATCAGTACTGTGGAACATAAGATCATATTTCTAAATAATCTTTGTAAATGAAAGAAGGGACCAGCAAAAGAGAGGTCATTTAGGATAAATGTAGGATAGAACACTGGAGAGGCAAAATAAACTGTTCAAATAAGTAGGAGCTGACTCTGATAATATAACAGAAAAAAATGCCAGGAATGGCTCCTCAAAAAATTAGACATAGTTACTATATGATCCTCCAATTCTACTTCTGGATATATATTCCCAGATGAAGTGAAAGCAGGAAATTGAACAGATATTTGTACATTCATTTTCATATTAGTATTATTCACAACTGCCAAAAGCTGGAAACAACTCAAATGTCTGTCAATGAATGAACAGATAAGCAAAGTGTGGTATAAAGCATACAGTGGAATGTTATTCAGTCTTAAGAAATGAAATTCTGACATGCTACAACATGGATGAACCTTGAAGACATTATGCTAAGTAAATAAACTGAACATAAAAGGACAAATATTGTATGATTCTATTTATTAGCAGGGCCTAGCATAGTCAAATTCATGAGACAGAAAGTAGAATGATGGTTCCCCGGGTCTGGGATGTGGAGGGAATGGGAGTTAGTGTTTAATGGGTATGGCATTTCAGTTTAGGATGGTGAAAGAGTTCGGTGGATGGATGGTGGTGATGGTTGTTCAGCCATGTGAATGCACTTAATGCCACTGAGTTGTATATTTAAAGTGGTTAAAATGGTAAATTTTATGTGTATTTTATTAAAATTTTTAAGGGGTTAAAAATGCCAGGGAAAACATTTCTGAGAGTTTGAACTTTAATCTCTGTAGACAGTTTAAAGCCCTTACCAGATTTTTGAAGTTTCTTTGAAGTCCTGTGTTTCATCTTTAAAAAGGCATGACAATTTTCCATTCTGATCCCTAATATGTTTATCTTTATCTTCATACCATTTTTCATGTAATGCATTCAGCTAGTGTTGTTTGAGTGCCCACTTTGGACCACGTACAGTTCTTGGCAGTGGTGGAGTTGGGAACAAAAGAGACAAGGCCGAGGACGTGATCGGGATGGGGAGGGAGATGATGGAGAAATGAAGAAATGATGCTAGCATTACCTAGCATCCTGCAAAATCCATGAGCCAGGGGTGTGGCACTCGTTTAGTTCCCAGCTTTCTGTTCTCTCCTGTTGGACAGATTGGGCTGGAAGTCAGGATGCTCCCTTTCAAGGGAGCTCTGACGATGGGGCCAGGACATTCTCCAGTTCTTCCTTGCTTTCCTACTCTCTGATCTGTTCCCATGCTGCAAAAGGCACCTTCTGTATAAACGATTTCTGACACCCCAGGGAACTTGTATTTTTCTATGAGAACTTTCTGTTTATAGATTATCTGAGAGTGAGGATGCCTGAGCTTTAGAGTTGGCCCTGGGTGTTGCTACAGAATTCACGTTAACCCCAGATTTGTCATAACTTGGGATCTGGATTGCACTCAACTCTCATTTTGATAATTACCATTTATGAAAGAATCAAAATGTGCCAGGCACTATTGAGCTCATCAGCTTATTTGATACTCAGGAGAGCTTTATCCAGCAGTTTTGCTTAATAGTTAAAAGCAGGGCTCTGGAATCAGAATGCCCAGGGTCCATTCCTGGATGTACCACTTAACCAGCCTTGTGACTTCCGACACATGACAGCCCATTGCTCTGAGCCTCTGTTTTCACACCTATAAAATAGAATAATAATAGTATCTAGCTGTTGCGAGGATAAAATGAGATAATACTTGTAGAGTACCCGACAGTAAGTACTCTTTTTTAAACAGTATGCATTTTATCATCCTCATTTTATAGATGAGAAAATTGAGGCTCAGAGATGTTAAACCAGTTGCCCAAAGTCAAACTGATAGTGAAGGGCCCAGGTAGGATTGAAACCCAGGATCATCAGACGCCTAGGTGGGTGGTCCTGATGACTCTGCTCTATTATTTGCCCAGAGAGCTGAATTGCCAGGATTGCTGGTTTCTGAGAGGACCTCATTAGAGCATAGTTTCTTTCACTCAACGTTCTCCTTTGAACGCTGAGACCATTGCGATGGCAATACTCATGATGACTTTCCACACAACTGTGTGATGTGCACTAGGCTTATGGTGTCTCTCTAGCATCTTAACTTTCCTAGAGTAAAATGCTGTGAAATAAATAAGAAAAACAATTTTTATAATGCTATTAACAGAATCCAACCTCTGTCCTAATCTGCTATGACAGCAGTCGTACTCCAGTGTCTACAGCTCTGATCTCTTCCTAACTCAATTCTGCTGTCCAAAGTATGGGTCTCAGCTGGGTCCCACAGGGAATGGAGGCTGTTCATAGGCAATTTGCAACGTGAATACCTACATATAACTCAGACCTAATGTTAGTCCCTTCCTGAATCGTCTGCATGCCTCAGGCACTCTGTTATTCTCCGTCTTCTCCTTCTTTCTCCCTGCTCCATTTCTGTGTACCCATTACTGGATGTTCTTCCAACTCCTGATTCTGTCGAACAAAAAGGGCAAACATTAATTTCTACTAAGATGAGACCTCAGGGAGAAAGAAGGCTTAAGCCAAGTGTCAGTAAGCAGAGAATTCCAATACCAAACTACAAAGTATTATTTATCCTACAGACAAACATATGTACACACACACACAGTGCTTGGCTACCACAATCCAATAAGAGAAGCCAGTTCTAGTCCGCTAAAGCAGCAGCAATTTCACCTTCAGTGGTAGTAAGGATAGAAAGCACTCAAGAGGTTCCATTTAGATACAAAGCCATGTATATTTGCTTTGTATATTTGTATATTAGCTGGGACTACAGGCACATGCCACCATATCTGGCTAATTTTTCAATTTTTTGTAGAGACAAGGTCTCACTATATTGCCCAAGCCCGTCTCAAACTCCTGGCCTCAAGCAACCCTTCCACCTCAGCCTCCTAAAGGGGCTGGGCATGAGCCACTGTGACTGGCCACTGTGACTGGCCCCAAGCCCAAGTTCTTAACCATTACTGCCCTAAAACAACGAATGCTTTTAGGTAATTCTAGTTTGCCAAGGTCAATATTTCCTGCAGCCTCCATAGTGTGTGTGTATTCATATTTGTAAAACATTTAGATAAAATGTATGATAATTGTAACAATAGCTTACTTAAAGGATAGAGAGGAGGAAATAGGTTATAAGTTTCTTTAAATATATGCATTGTTAGTATTTTGTTTAGGACAGTCAATTACCTCTTAAGGAGATTAAAAAATGAGGAGAAAAATCTTTTACGTATACATAAATGTTTACCACTTCTGAAACTCTTCATTCCTTTGTCTAGGACTATGTCTCTATGTGATACATGTGATATCATTTTCTTTCAGCCTGAGGAAATTTTAAAATATTTCTTGTAGAGTAGATCTGCTGGCAACAAATTCTCTGTTTTTGTTTGTCTAAAAAATGTATTTCTATTTTGTGTTTTGAGGAATATATGTGTTGGATATACAGTTATAGGTTGACAGTTTTTTTCTTTCAAGACCTTGAAAATCTTGTTCTATTTTCTTCTGGCTGACTTGTCTCTGATGATAAATCAGTGTTAATATTATCTTTGTCCCACTGTTTTTTCTGGCAACTTTTTTTTTAAAGGTGATCAACCTTATGTCATTTATATTTTATTTTATATTTTTAACTTTTTTTATTTTTAATTTTTATGGGTACATAGTAGGTGTATATATTGATGGAGTACATGAGGTATTTTGTTACAGGCACATAATGTGTAATAACCCCATCAGGGTAAATCCATCACTTTAAGAATTCATCATTTCTTTGTGTTACTAACATTTCAATTATACCCCCTCAGTTATTCCAAAATGTGTAACAAATTATTGCTGACTGTAGTCACCCTTTAGTGTTATCAAATACGAAATCATATTCATTGTATCTAAGTAATTTTTGTACCTACTCACCATCCCTTTTTCCTACCCCTGCCCACACTACACTTCCCAGCCTCTGGTAACCATCCTCCTACTCTCTGTCTCCATGAGTTCAATTGTTTTAAATTTAGCTCCCACAAATGAGTGAGAACATGTGAAGTTTGTCTTTCTGTGCCTGGCTTACTTCACTTAACATAATGTCCTCCAGTTCCAGCCACGTCATTGCAAATGACAGAATCTTATTCTTTTTTATGACTGAAAAGTATTCCACTGTGTATATGTACCACATTTTCTTTATCCATTCATTTGTTGATGGGCACTTAGGTTGATTCCAAATCCTGGCTATTGTGAATAGTGCTGCAATAAACATGGGCGTATAGATATCTCTTTGATATATTAATTTTCTTCCTTTTGGGTGTATACTTAGCAGTGGGGTTGATGGATCATATGGTAGTTCTATTTTAGTTTGTTGAGGAACCTCATACTGTTTTTATAGTGGCTGTACTAATTTACATTCCCACCAATATTGTATGAGGATTTCTCTTTCTCCACATCTTCACCCACATTCATTATTGCCTGTCTTTTTGATAAAAAAATATTTTAACTGGGGTGAGATGATATTTCATAGTAGGTTTAATTTGCACTTCTGTGGTGATCAGTGATTTTGAGCGCATTTTCATATACCTGTTTGCCATTTGGTGTCTTCTTTCGAGAAATGTCTATTCAGACCTTAAGCTCATTTTAAAATCAGACTATTAAATTTGTTTTGTTTCCTATTAAGTTGTTTGAGCTCCTTATATATTTGGGTTATTAATCCTTTGCCAGATGGGTAGTTTACAAATATTTCCACCCATTCTGTGGGTCATCTCTTCACTTTGATGATTGTTGCCTTTGTTGTGCAGAAGTTTTTTAATGTGATCCTCTTTGTCCTTCGTTGCTTTGGCAGCCTGTGCTTTTGGGGTACTGCTCAAGAAATTTCTGCCCAGACCAATGTCCTGGAGAGTTTCTCCAAAGTTTTATTTTAGTAGTTTCATAGTTTTGGGTATGAAATTTAAGTCTTTAATCCATTTTGATTTTATTTTTCTATATGGTGAGAGATAGGGGTCTAGTTTCATTCTGCTGTGTATTTATTGCAACATTTATTGAAGAGACTGTCTTTTCCCCATTGAATGTTTTTGGCAACTTTGTAAAAAATGAGTTCAGTGTAGATGTATGGACTTGTTTCTGGGTTCTCTATTCTGTTCCATTGATCTATGTGTCTGTTTTAATGCAAGTACCATCCCGTTTTGGTTACTATAGCTCTGTAGTATAACTTGAAGTCAGGTAACATGATTCCTTTAGTTTTGTTCTTTTTGTTCAGGATGGCTTTGGCTATTCTGGGTTTTTTGTGGTTCCATATACATTTTAGGATTGTTTTTTCTATATCTGTAAAGAATGTCATTGGTATTTTGATAGGGATTATATTGAATCTGTAGACTGCTTAGGGTAGTATGGACATTTTAATAATATTGATTCGTTCAATCCATGAACATGGAATATCTTTCTGTTTTTATTGTGCCCTGTTTAATTTCTTGCATCAATTTTTTATAGTTTTGATTGTAGAGATCTTTCACTTCTTTGGTTAAGTTTGTTCCTAAGTATTTTATTTGTAGCTGTTGTAAATGGAATTACTTTCTCAATTTCTTATTCAGACTGTTGCTGTTGGCATATAGAAATGCTACTGATTTTTGGCCGGGCATGGTGGCTAGCACCTGTAATCCCAGCACTTTGGGAGGCTGAGGCGGGTGGGTCACAAGGTCAGGAGATCAAGACCATCCTGGCTAACACAGTGAAACCCCGTCTCTACTAAAAAAAAAAAATACTAAAAAATTAGCCAGGCGTGGTGGCAGGCGCCTGTAGTCCCAGCTACTTGGAAGGCTGAGGCAGGAGAATGGTGTGAACCCGGGAGTTGGAGCTTGCAGTGAGCCGAGATCATGCCACTGCACTCCAGCCTGGGGGACAGAGCGAGACTCCGTCTCAAAAAAAAAAAAAAAAAAAGAAATGCTACTGATTTTTGTATGTTGATTTTGTATCCTATAACTTCACTGAATTTGTTTATCAGCTCTAATAGTTTTTTGGTGGTGTCTTTAGTTTCTTTAAATATAGGATTATATCATTTGCAAACAAAGATAATTTGACTTCTTCCTTTTCAATTTTCATGCCCTTTATTTCTTTCTCTTGTCTGATTGCTCTAGCTAGGACTTTCAGTCCTATGTTAAATAACAGTGGCGACAGTTAACATCCATTTGTTTCCAGGAATTTTTCACTTTTCTTCTTAATTTCTTCATTGGCCCACTGGTCATTCAGGAGCATATTGTTTAATTTCCGTGTGTTTGTATAGTTTCCACGTTCTTCTTGTTATTGATTTCTAGTGTTAGTCCATTGTGGTCGGAGAATATATTTTATATGATTTCGGTTTTTTTTTTTTTAATGTTTTAAGACTTTAGGCTGGATGTGGTAGCTCACGCCTGTAATGCTAGCACTTTTGGAGGCCAAGGCAGGTGGGCCACTTGAGTCCAGAGTTTGAGACCAGCCTGGGAAACATGGTAAAACTGTGTCTCTACAACAAATTACAAAAAATTAGCTGGGCATAGTGGCTTGTGCTTGTAGTCCCAGCTACCCAGGAGGCTGAGGTGGAAAGATCAGCTGAGCCTGGGAGGTCAAGGCTACAGTGAGCCATTACAGTGAGCCATGGTCACACCACTGCACTCCAGCCTGGGCAACAGAGTAAGACCCTGTCTCAATAAATAAATTAATTAAATAAATAAATATTGGCTTTACATATCTGGGTGCTCCAGCGTTGAGTGTATTTATATTTATAATCGTTATATCCTGTTGTTGAATCGATCCTTTTTCCATTATATAATGACCATCTTTGTTTGTATTTATAGTTTTTGTCTTGAAATGTATTTTATCTGATATAGGTATAGCTACTCCTGCTCTTGTTTTGATTTTCATTTGCATGGAATATCTTTTTCCATCCCTTCATTTTCAGTCCATGTGTGTCTTTGTAGGTAAAGTGTGTTTTTTGTAGGCAACAGATCACTGGGTCTTGTTTTGTTTTGTGTTTTTAATCCATGTAGCCAGTCTATGTCTTTGGTTTGGAGAGTTTAGTCCATTTACGTTCAATGTTATTAATGATAAGTAAAGACTTACTCCTACCATTTTGTTATTTGTTTTCTGGTTGTTTTGTGGTCTTCTCTTCCTTCTTTCCTTCCTGTCTTCCTTTTTTTTGGAAGTGATTTTTTTCTGGTGGTATGTTTTGATTTTTTCTTTTTTTTGTGTGTGTAACTGTTGTAGGTATTTGATTTGAGGTTACCATGAGGCTTGCAAATAACGTCTTGTAACCCATTATTTTAAGCGAATGACAACTCTGATTGCAAAATTGAACAAAGAAGCTAACAAACAAGCAAGGAGAAAACTAATACAAATTCAATACTTTAACTTCATCTCCTCTCAAGTTTTTGTTGTTTCTGTTTATATCTTATTATACTCTCTGTCTTAAAAATTTGTTGCAGTTATTATTCTTGATAGGTGCATCTTTTTAGTCTTCCTACTTAAGATAGAAGTAGTTTGCACACCACAATTACACTGTTACAGTATTCTTTATTTGTTTGTGTACTTGTTGTTACTTACCGGTAAGTTTTGTACCTTCAGATGATTTCTTATTGCTCATTAATGTCCCTTTCTTTCAGATTGAATTCCCGTTAGCATTTCTTATAGGACAGGTCTGGTGTTTAAAAAAAAAATCACTCAATTTTTGTTAGTCTGATAAAGTCTTTATTTCTCCTTCATGTTTGAAAGATATTTTCACTGGATATAATATTCCAGGATAAAAGGGTTTTTTTCAGCACTTTAAATATATCATACTACTCTTCTGGCCTGTAAGGTTTCCACTGAAAAATCTGCTGCCAGACATACTGGAGCTGCCTTATATGTTACTTATTTCTTTTGTCTTGGTGCTTTTAGGATCTTTTCTTTATCCTTGACCTTTGGGAGTTTGATTATTAAATGACTTGAGGTAGTCTTATTTGGGTTAAATTTGCTTGGTGTTGTATAACCTTCTTGTACTTGAATATTGACATCTTTCTCTAGGTTTGGAAAGTTCTTCGTTATTATCTCTTTGAATAAACTACCCTATTCTCTCTCTCTACCACCTCTTTAAGGCCAATAATTTAGATTTTCCCTTTTGAGGCTGTTTTCTAGACCATGTAAGCATGCTTCATTTTTTTTATTCTTTTTTCTTTTGACTTCACTGACTCTGTATTTTCAAATAGCCTGTCTTCAAGCTCACTAATTCTTTCTTCTGCTTGATCAGTTTTGCTGTTGAGAGATTCTGATGCATTCTTCAGTTTATCAATTGCATTGACTAGCTCCAGAATTTCTGCCTGATAATTATTTCTGCTTTTTAATTATTTCAATCTCTTCGTTAAATTTATCTGATAGGATTCTGGATTTCTTCTTTGTTTTATCTTGGATTTCATTGAGCTTCCTCAAAACAGCTATTTTGAATTCTCTGTCAGAAAGGTTACCTATCTCTGTCACTCTGAAATTTGTCACTGCTGCCTTATTTAGTTTGTTTGGTGAGATCATGTTTTCCTGGATGGTACTAATGCTTGTGAATGTTTCTCAATGGCTAGGCATTAAATAATCATTTATTTTTTTCTAATCCTTACAATCTAGGCTTATTTATACACTTCCTTCCTGAGAAAGCTTTCCAAGTATTCAAAGGGAGTTGAGTGTTGTAATCTAAGTCTTTGGTCACTGTGTGGCAACTTTTTATCATTAGTTGTCATCAATATGTGTTGATATAATTTATAGTTTTCTCTGTTTTTATTCTGCCTGAGGATCATTGAGATTCTTGCATCTTCGGATTGGTACTTTTCATCAAATGTAGAAAATTAGGAGCAGCAATGCCTCCCTAGTCTCACAGATGCTACTACCGCTCCCACCCCTTCACTCCTCAGTTGTGCAATGGGCACCTGCAACAATGAGAATGACTACCTCTTTAATGTTATCCTTATTGGAGATTCTGGTGTTGGAAAGAATAATCTCCTGTCTTGATTTACTCAAAATGAGTTTAATCTGGAAAGCAAGAGCACCACTGGAGTAGTTTGCAACAAGAAGCATCCATATTGATAGGAAAACAATAAAGGCACAGATGTGGGACAGAGCAGGGCAAGAGTAATACGAAGCTATAACATAAGCTTATTATCATGAAGATATAGGTGCCTTATTGGTTTAAGACATTGCTAAACATCTCACATATGAAAATACAGAATGATTGCTGAAAGAACTGAGCGATCACACTGATAGTAATGTTGTTGTCATGTTATCATGGACAAATAAGAGTGATTTACATCATCTCAGGGAAGTTCCTAGAGTTGAAGGCAAGAGCTTTGGCAGAAAAAAATGATTTGTCATTCATTGAGACATCTGCTCTAGACTCTACAAATGTAGAAGCTACTTTTCAGACAATTCTAACAGAGATACCTCACATTGTTTCTCAGAAGCAAATGTCAGACAGAGCCGAAAAAGACATGTCCCCAAGCAATAATGTGGTTCCTGTTCATGTTCCACCAATCACTGAAAACAAACCAAAGGTGCAGTGCTGTCAGAACATCTAAGGCGTTTCTCTTCTGCCCTGGAAGGCAATGTATAACCCATTTCTCAAGTCCAATATTTAAATACTGAGGAGAACAAAAACCACCCAGTAACAGGCCCTGGAGACAAATACTCCTTATGTGAGGAATTTAGAAGGGAGCAAAGACCACCTGTTGACCACAAAACAGGCAAAACTCCTTATCTGAAGAATTTAGAAGTAATTAAACTTCCCTAGTATCCAAAGTTGGCATCTGGTTCCAGGCCTCTTTTCAACTTAAAGTTTGTAAAGATGTATAGACGTTCTATACGTCTCCAGAATGCCATGTCAAAACTCATTGTGCAATCCTTGCTGACATTAAGGCACCAAAAGTACTACAAATGTAATCATTTATTATGACCTATGTGGCTAGTATGGTCCCAATTACCCTCAAGCTCCTGCCTTAAAGTTCATAACTACTCCTAAGGAAAAATCCACCACGGTGCACTCCGCCCTCTCATTGAGGTGCCCTGATGCACTCTCTGGCAACGTTCTTTCTTTCTAATAGTACTTTCCTTTTTCAAACCTATACTGTTGTCAGTAAATTCTTACCAGCCTGTGAGTCAACCACTTCTAGATGCTGGGGCTCTGATACCTTGCCTGGCAAATATTTTTGTAATTCTTGTGTCATTTTTTTTCTTATTACTTCATACTTATGAATTTTTCCATATCTTCAGTGTTTTGATTTTAGTTTTATAAAATTATCCACTTATCCCAAATGATTGCAACCTTTTTCATGCTATGGCTTCACTAGACTTAGTTTAATAGGTGGAATGTTTGGATTCCTCAATTATTGTTTACTTTTCATTCTGGAAGCCCATCACTGTAGGACATAATAGAACTTGATCACTAGAAGCTCAGACCTATTGGTCTTGATCAAATCAAACTAAGACCTTAGAAATAAGCTATCATTTTGCCACAGAGCAGCTTATAGGTTATATACTCTTCTCTCAGTGCAGTGTATATTTCCACAAATGTAAGGTGACCCTATAAACATAGCAGGATTTTGAGAGCTGAAAAATGTTCCATTATTCTGGAAGTCAATTTCTAAAATGCCTTAATAGGTTTATGTAGTTTAGTAAATTTTGTTTTTTAATTTTTGTAAGCATCAGAGTTGATTAGAGAGGGAGACATGTTTTTTTTCTGGAGAAGAATTATCTAAACAAACACAAAAGATTTGTTACGGTTTTGTTAGTAGTATGTTTATGGGGCCATATGTTAAATAATGTTTCCCATCAGGCTGGGAACTGGTGAGACTGGTAGAATCCCATCTGAGGTGCCTCTGTTGCAATGATCAGGCAGCCCAAACCATTTAAGCAATCTCATTTTCCAGCCGTAGATAACGTGGCGTTTTATTACTCAGGCAATAACTGGTTTAATACTGGTAGTATCAAATTTTGAAGTGTTAATTTTGTCTTAAAACCTTCCAGTAAGTGAAATGAAACCAGTTTTATGACCATATCTACCAGCAGGCATGGATAATTATTTTGACAATGCTGATATTTGAGTTTTGCAGTATATTATGGAATACAGTTCAGTTAAATCTTTGGTTTCAGTGTGTCTAAAGAATACAATGAGGAATTTCTGCTCAAATGGTACCACTTAAAGGCATGCATTCTTTTAGTATATGAAATGAAATAGCACCTTGAGTTTAAATAGAATGCACTTAGGCATTGCAGAGACTGGATATAATTTTCTTCCACTACATTATTAAAATCAATGAGACAATTAGTTTCTCATTCAGAAATGTGCATACTAATATTTAGTTTTGCTTTCTTGTGGATAATATTAAGCACTTACTCAGCAGTTTTCTGGAAGTTGTGTCAGCTGTAATGATACTGCTATTCAGGATAGTGGGATATCCCCAAAAATATATATATGTGGGCTTGCTTAGATTACTGTGTTTCATAATTCATCTTTTGTCTTTTGCTTTGCTCATGATGTGTGGTGAACATGGAAGGCATTGCTGTAGTCAGTCACCTGGGTTTTCTTCTGTAGCCATTTTATTATTTTAGTGTATGGATTATGAAGATACTATTATCTGTTGGTGAATTGCTAGTTTGTATTTTTGCATGCTCTGTAACTTGATTTTTTAGTTATTAATTTGGAACACATTCACATTCTAATAAACAGTTATGGGGGGATTTTAAAAAAAGAAAATTAGTAGTCATTTCCTGAAGCATTTTCTTTGCTGCCTCCTTCCATCCTCCTAATCTCCCTTCTAATTTTACAATCATACAAAAGTCAGACTGCTAATTTTGTTTCACAGATCACTGAGACACTATTCATTTTTTAAATCCTCTTTTCTCTCCATGCTTCAGTTTAGATAGTTTCTATTTCCTGTGTTCATTTCAGGTATTATATTCTTTAACTCTAGAACTTCCATTTGGATCTCTTTTTTTGATTTGTTTCCATTTCTCTCTTTATTGTGTCCATGTTTTCCTTTAGATCATTGAATATATTTATAACAACAATTTTAAAGTCCTCACCTGCTAGTTCTAGCTTCTCCTCCATTTTTGGGTCTCTAGATTCACTAATTTTTCTCCTTGTTAAAGGTCATATTTTCCTACTTCTTTTCACAACTAGTGAAGTTTTTTTAAAATTGGTTGCTAGATAGAATTTAGATTTTATTCTCTTCCTTTAATGAGTGTTGAGCTTTATCCTGGCCTGTAGTTAATTTATTTGTGGATCAGTTTGACCCTATTAAAGCTTGAATTTAACCTCTTCTAGGATAGGTCTACAGTGGCTTTTACCTTAAAGCTAAATATTTTTATTTATAAGACCTGGAATTGGGGCCAGGCATGGTGGCTCACGCCTGTAATCCCAGCACTTTGGGAGGCCAAGGTGGGTGGATCACCTTAGGTCAGGAGTTTGAGACCAGCCTGACTAACGTGGTGAAACCCCAGCTCTACAAAAAATACAAAAATTAGCTGGACATAGTGGCGGGTACCTGTAATCCCAGCTACTCAGGAGGCTGAGGCAGGAGAATCACTTGAACCCGGGAGGCAGAGGTTGCAGTGAGCCGAGATCCCACCATTGCACTCCAGCCTGGGCAACAGAGCAAGACTCCGTTAAAAAAAAAAAAAACAAACCTGGAATTTCTCTTTGTGATGATTTTGTGATAAGTCATCCAAAACATTGTGAGCTCCTTAGTTCATAGCTCCCTGGAAGTTGTTCTTTTCTCAGTAGGTTATTTATTTATTTATTGCCTAGACTAGGGAATTTTGCTTACCCTATACTGAGTACAGCTTAGTATGTAGAGACAAAGACTCAAGAGGATCTTCATACATATTTCTGGAGCCTTTTCGCTATAAAGCACTCCAGAAATATGTATGAAGATACCCTCGAGTCTTTGTTTACTTATTCCTCTCCCTCTCCTTTCTTTCTCTCTCTTTTTTTTTTTTTTTTTTTTTGAGGCGGGGTCTCACTCTGTTGCCCAGGCTGGAGTGCAGTGGCATGATCTCGGCTCACAGCAATCTGCCTCCCATCCTGGGTTCAAGTGATTCTCTGACCTCAGCCTCCCAAGTACCCGGGACTACAGGTGCACACCACCATGCCCTGCTAATTTTTTGTATTTTGGGGGGAGAGATGGGGTTTCACCATGTTGGCCAAGCTGAGTTGTTCTTGAACTCCTGGCCTCAAGTGATCCACTCACCTTGGCCTCCCGAAGTACTAGGATTACAGGCATGAGCCACTGCGCCTGGCCTCACTCTCCTTTTTTATCGGTAGATTAGTGTCGTTTCAACTACTTGCTTAATGCTATACTCCTACTTTACACATAGAGCTTATTCTTTTATGTTAAAACTTTCTCTTGTAGGATTATGTTTCATTATTTTTGTAAAGTAAATTTTTACACTAGTATAGCAATCATACAGAAAAGTGCACAAATCCTGTGTATGGCTCAATAAGTGTTCATAAAGTGAACATGCCCATGTAAACAGCACCCAGATCAAGAAATAGAACTTACGACCAGTTCCCCAAAAGTCCCTCTTTTGACCCTTCCCATTAGTGCACCCCCTCCAAAGGTAACTACTAACCAGACTTCTAAAACTAGGTATTAAATTTGCTTATTTTTAAGCTTTATATGATGGGAATTGTACAATATGCATTCTTTTTTGTGCAGCTTCTTTCACTGATTGTGAGATTCATCCATATTACTGTGTGTAGCTTTAGTTGATTCATTCTTTTATCTATATGATATTAGAGTGTATGAATATATCATGCATCTTTATCGATGTTGACCATTATAAGGGACATTGCCAAGTTAAAACTATAGTGTCTCTTGGCCATTTAACAAATTTCCATTGCAAAACTTTGGAAAGACTGTTGGACCTGAGTTCCAAAAACTGTTGTATCACACTCTGTATATATTGAACTCTAAAACTCAAATTTATGTTAATTCACAAATATTTATCAACTGTATACTATGTGCCAAGTACAATGCTAGACACTAGGGCTGGGGGCCCTTGAGGATTTAATAGTCTAGTGAGAAGGTGTAGACATGTAAGTAGATAATCATAATATACTGTAGAAAAATGTTAGAGAAAACCATAACTATGGCTTCATTAAAAGTACTTTAAATGATGTAATTTTAAAAATATTCAGTTTCACAAAAGGCATCAGCCTGTATTAGTTGACTAATCTTCTGGAATTCCCAGAGATGATTTTAAAGATCATTTAGACAGATTTAGAAAGATTACAGAGTCACTCTTTTCAAACAGTCTCAGTGTTCAGTCAGTTGGGAAGATCCCATTATGCATCAAAGAAATGCCAATGTTATTTCCCACAGGCTTTCCCTCCTCTGTGTTCCCCTTAAATACCCTCAGCCCCTTTCATTTCTTAATTATGTCTTCTCTCAACAAGCTCATCTGTTCTCTTGGCTCTAACACTTGTATCTGTCCATGACCCCCGTATCTTTAACTCTACTCCAGTCTTCTCTCTGAGCCCATATGTAATTTCCCTGGCATTTAACCATCTATCAGGTAGCTTCACTGGCACATCAGTTCAACAAGACCATAACAGAACTGACTGCTGTCTACACAGTCCTCCCCTTCCTCTATTTTCTATCCCAGTGGGGCCACTACTAGTCACTCAAGCTGGGGGCCATTTTAAACTCTGTATCTTCCTTCACCCTCCACATCCAGTCAGTCATAAGGCTTGTTAATTCTACCTTAAAACTATCTCTTCAATCTTTCCACTCTTTTAATTTCACAGCCACTATTCTGATTTAGGCTTCTGCCATCTCTGGATTGTTGCCACTGCCTCCTCATGGATCTTTCTGACTTTAATCTAGTTTTTCATACTGATCTAGCTTCCAAACCATGATTTAGAATGCAAATCTGATCCTATTGTTTTCTTGCTTAGATATCTTCAATGACTCTCCATTACCCATAGTAGTAATTACCGTAAGGTGTGCCCTAATTTGCTGCAGTGGATTAAGATGTGCCAAGGTTGGCCGTGGCTGGACAGGTGTGTTGCAGCCCAGTGTGCCCGATGTGTTTTCATTTTCCATGTATAGTATGAATGGAATGGTTAGAAAGGACTGGCTACAAGATTTGGTCCAAACTCCAGACTCCTGCCAACTTCTCTAGTCCATCTCTAGCACTAGTCCATCTTCATCGCCTCACACTCTATTGTCTGATGACTGGCATTTCCTGTGACGTGCCAGGCTGTTTCATGTCTGTATCATTGCACAGAGGGCAAGCTCTTTCATCAATCTGGGGAGAACTTCTCCCTTTCTCTACTTGGCAAACTTCTACACACCTTTTTAAAATTTAGTTCAACCTTTTCCCTCTTGAGTACACTCCTCTGAGTTTCTAGGCCATTCCAGCCTTTGTACTTTCATTGTAACTCATAATCTACCTCTATTATGGCACCATCATGCTTAAGCGCATCTTTTGGTTAACATATGTATCTCTCTTGCTAGTTTCAACTTCTTGAAGCTTTTCATCTTTGTTTTCCCAGTGCCTTGTGCAAAGGAGGATCGAAAAAAGGTTAGGTGAACCAAGTGCAATATAATAACTTACATCAGTCAAGATGGGCTAGTTTATGCTGCTGTGACAAGTAACTTAACACAATAAAACTTTAATTCTGAGTCATGCTATAATCAGTCAGGCTGATGGATGCTCCATATCAACTCATGCTTCTGTGGTCACCCTGGAGAATTATGAGTGCTTGTGTGTGTGTGTGTGTGTTTACATGCACGTGTGTGCACATATATTCATTTTTTAAGTCTGTGGTATAATATATATAAAATTTAGCAATTTAACCAAGGTGTACAATTCAGTGTCATTAAGTATATTCACAGTGTTATGCAACCATTACCACTATCTAGTTCCAGAGATATTTCATCACCTCAAATGGAAATCTTCGACTCATTAAACAGCCACTTCTTTTTAGTACATAATATAATGTAGCCAAATACCACCCAAACTAATAATTAAGCTTCTCCTTTCTTTTTTTTTTTCAAGCACTGGGATGTCTAGGGATAAGCTTTCATACTAGAATTAATCTCTCAATACCTTCACAAGTAACTGCTATAGTACATTTTGTTAAATGAATTAACTAAGCAATCATATTCTGTTGAAGCTACAAAATCAATTTTAAAAATAAGGAAATAGAAATGTGCGTGGAAGGATTTTCCTTAAAAGGAGCACTTGATGTAAACAAGCATCTCTTGTCACCCAGCAACTGCTCCTCTGGAGTTGTCTTTAATGGGGTAATTTCAGCTGGCAGCTGGTGCAACCTTGAAATGATCCTGTTTATTTTTCCTCCTCCCCGATGTGTAGAGGTCACTGCTGATAATAATGTGATTGCTATTCATTATTATCTGGATATGATAACATGGCAGAACTACCTCAAAATGCTCTTTTTGGAAATCTTGACATTGACTGTGCAGATACAGTTGGGTCACACTAGACATACATTTTGAAGTCAAAGATATTTACATTTTAGAAATAAAAATGACCCATATGGTGACATTTTGGGCTGTATGATTTACCAAAAACAGAAGAAAAATGACCTACATGGGTGGTGGATGGAGAACAAGCATTGTTATGCTTTTTCCATTTTGTAGCTGTTTAATTGAATAAATAAACATTCATTATTCAAACTGCCTGGGTTTGAATCTTGGCTCTGCCTCTGCCAGTTGTGTGTTCTTTGACATACTCATCTCTCTGTGCTGAACTTGAATCATCTACAAAAATAGGGCTAGTAATAGTATTTACCACACTACCATGTGAGGATAAAATGAGCTTATGTATGTAAAATGCTTAGAACAATGTCTGGCAGACC
Source organism: Homo sapiens (assembly GCF_000001405.40). Taxonomy (NCBI): domain Eukaryota; kingdom Metazoa; phylum Chordata; class Mammalia; order Primates; family Hominidae; genus Homo; species Homo sapiens. The sequence goes on along the minus strand of NC_000010.11, from coordinate 93,873,978 downwards.
GTAAGTTCTATGTAACTGATGACTTTGAATGTTTCAGGATTGTGTTCCCTCTTGACAAATCGCTTCCTTTCCTACCCCTCTGACCTCCCCTGACTGAGTTAGCCACCCTCTGCCATGTGCCTCTCTGACATCCTTTCTTCCCCCAAGGCTAAACAACACTTAAACAGAATTGTGTCTTTAATTAACTGTGTCGTCCAAGAGCTAGAAGCTCTGAGTGGACAGAGACTTGGTCAGTCTTCATCATTAAATCCTCATGTGTTCGATGACTTACTCACCTGTGTGTGCCCTAAGCAAGGCAGAGTAAGGCTGCAGAAGTGGCCAACCTAATTTAATGGGGAACACAGAGAGGGCAGCAGTTTGCTGAGATTTACTAAGACTTTGCAGGAACTCTTGAGAAGAAAACTGCTGAGTCACAGGCATGCATTTTGAACAGAGAATAATCTTAACTTGAGATCTTGCAACATTGCTTGGGCACGTAGCTGTTACTGGCTGCCCCACCTGAAAACAAAGGCGTACAAATACTAATTATCTTAGCTTTAAACTCTTTCATTGGAAGTAATGGGACTCACTTGAACAATAATATAATATATAGTTTCAAGTAGCTACAAGGAAGATATTGAATGTTCCCACATTCACACAAAGAAATGATAGATGTTTGAGATGTGGATATGCTAATTACCATGACCTGATCGCTCTACATCATATGTATAAAAAATCACAATGTACCACCAAAATTTTTACAAATATTATATGCCATTAAAGAACATTTTTTAAAAGGTTAAAAAAGAAGAAAACAGTGGGTTTGTAGACAAAAATGTTAAGATTTTATGTAGTAATCTATGATTCTGGTTTCCAAACACAATGGACTTGGGAATATGAATATATTCATATTGTAAGGAAAGGGGGTGGGTGGACAGGGATGTAAGTAAGGACATACAGGGTGTGTCCCAGAAGCCAAGGGCAGGAATACAGGGTCTGCCTGTGAGGAAATGTCTGGAGCTGAGCCACCCTCTCAGTCTCTTATTTCTTTCTGGGGCCAGATGGTTCCTTGATGCTAGGGCTCCCTGACCATCTGTTTCTTTTTTCACTCTCTTCAGGCTGCCTCTCTTTACTTATCTATTGAGTGGAAGAAAAACCCCCAGCTCCTGGAGTTATGTGCACCTCACTTCCAGCTGCACGCTGAGAATAACTAGCCATTGCTTAGCCACTAAACTTGGCTTCTAGGGAGACTCTGATTGGTTAAAATAGAGCCAGATGTCTCTTTCCATCTTATTCATAATTGCCAAGGTTGTCTATTACAAACATGATTGCCAGGTGAGCAATTCACTCCGAACAGGCTCACTGAAGAACAGGCAGAGACTCCAGTATCTAAACAATGTAATTTAAAATGGTCCCCAATGTTATGCAAGGTTGAGTCAGGCAAATAACAGCATAGAGTACAGAGTTTGTCTTAGCCAACCAGAAACCACTGGGTTTCAATAGATTGTAGGAATTGTCCCTGTGATGGCATTAAAAACATACAAACCAACCAACCCTCTTGGATGGGGTGTTATTCAGATGTACTATGTAATTCTCTGAAAACAGGAATTCCTCCCTTTGTCTGGAATTCTCTTCCTCTCCTTATACATTAGACTGATCCCTAATTATTATACATCTTTCAGATCTTAGTTTGATGCACAAACTCAGGCATGCAAAATACAAAAATGTAGTTTTCTACAAATGAACTTAATTTCTCTGATGAGCCCCCTTTCTGATTTCAGTGGTAGCCATTTAATCTTAGTCAATCAGGGATTCCCACTTTCCCAGGGATTCCCAGTTTCCTAGTGTTGCACCAGAGTTTAGTATCTAGCACTGGTAATGGTGGTGGAGGTGGGTAGTAGGGGGGCAGCTGGAATTCCTGATTGGTGTTTACTGGCATCTCCTAGCAAGTCCTCATTCCCACCTGGTCTTTAGTTGTTAATACACATAATCCCAGCTGAGTCATTCTGTTATCAAACTGGACTTGGGTCTGCCTGCCTGGTATAGCAAAGCCAAGCACTGACATAAGGATTGCAAAAAAAGAAAGTGAAGCATTTATTGCAGGGTGCCAAGCAAGGAGAATTGGGAAGACCCAAACTCCCTTATGGCTTACAGGTAAAGGGTTTTAAAGGCAGGGAGGCCGAGGTTACAGGAGTCATTAATCAATATATGGTGGTTATACATTGGTTTGACCTAAAGAGGTGGGGTATCTTGAAGCATGGGGCTTACAGGTCATAGGTAGAGTCGAAGGTTCTCTGATATGTAGCTAGTTAAGGAAGGTGAGCTTTGTTTAAACATTTGGAATCAGCAGACAAGAATGTTAGCTCTGGCTTATGGATGTGACTTCCTCCAGGCCCCTTAGGAAGAACTTCAGAACAAAGAACGGCCATCTACATGCCAGTGGGTTCATTTGTCAGGTTTCTGAAGAACAACTCACGGACATATGTTAAGATGTTATTTTTTGGCCGGGCACGGTGGCTCACACCTGTAACCCCAGCACTTTGGGAGGCCAAGGCGAGCAGATCACGAGGTCAGGAGATGGAGACCATCCTGGCTAACACGGTGAAACCCTGTCTCTCTACTAAAAATACAATAAAAAATTAGCCGGGCGTGGTAAAGGGCGCGTGTAGTCCCAGCTACTAGGGTGGCTGAGGGAGGAGAATGGCGTGAACCCGGGAGGTGGAGCTTGCAGTGAGCTGAGATCACACCACTGCACTCCAGCCTGGATGACAGAGCAAGACTCCGTCTCAAAAAAAAAAAAAAAAAAAAAAGATGTTATTTTTTTATTTCTATAGGGAACAAAACATCTCATGACTCTAACTTCCTTGGCTATTTATTTATTACTTTCTTGCTTAGCAAGTTGCTTATGTACTTCTTAAGGCTAGCTAGATGCCTGGAATTTCTCTTGAAGGAACTCAGACTTTTTTTATTTCCAGGCTCAGGCTGGGGTGCAGCTGCAGGCCTCTAAGAGGAGTCCCTGTTCCATCTCAATCCCTCCTCCTGAACACTGCACTCTGTTGGGTCTGAGGCTCTCTTGACTCACCCGGGCACCTTCTTAGGAGCCTGGGATTCTTGGTGCTCCACATCATACCAGACCCACAGGAACTCTATGAGGTGTTTGCTGTCCTGCACCATGTCTGGACTGTATTTGTTCTGGGAGATTATCTATTGTCCCTATACTTAGCTGGGTATAGGGAACCCCCAGTGAAGATGTCTCAGGCCCAGGCCACCATAGCTATTTATAGTCTGCAGTCTAGCCGATAGTCCCTTCCCTGAGCTCAGAATCCCAAATAGAGTTTCTACTGTTTGCCTTTCTTGGGCTCTTCTGGAGAGAGGCAGCTTAAATCCCACCTGCATTTAGAACCCCAAACCTATCTAGGATTTCTGTTCTTCCCCTCTCCTATGATTAGGCATCCCAGGAGAGAAGCAGGGTGAAGTTTACTCTTAGAACCAAGCAGAGCCAATCTACTCACTAGCTCAGGCCAGAAAAACTTTATCTAGTCTGGGGGTAACAGGTAGAGGAGGGAGGTGGGATGGGATAAGGAAGTATGAAAGAGATGGACAAGGAATAAACAAAGAAATAAATGCAAGAATGAAAAAATAAGCTTTGCATAGCTTTCTATGGCTTTGTCTATCCATGCCAAAAGTCTGGAAGTTTCATTTAATGAATCTTTTACCCACTTGAGAAATCAGTGGTCACTGGGAGTCAGCAAGAATTCACTAGCTGAATTAATTTTATTCCTTTTTTGATGAATTATGAAGCTGGAAGATCACGGCAATGCTGGAGACAATTAAGACAATTACTGGATTTCAATGGAGCAAGTAGGGAAGCAGTGGTCACTGGGAGTCAGTCAGAATCCTTAGCATTATTAGTTCTTTTCGATGCATTCTTTCATTTAATCCCAAAACAACCCAATGACTGGAAGAAAATTAAATGTATCCTGAATGTCAACTACAGCTTTTGTACAGCTAAAGAAACTGAATCGCAGGCAGATATTATAATTTCTCTAAGACTACATGGGTGGTGTTTCCGTTAAAACCCTCTCAGCAGCAAATGACACTGGAATCCTACTCAAACTGAGTATTTTAACTATCTATTGCTATATACCACTCCATAACTTAGCATTTTGGAATATACCACTCCATAACTTAGCATTTTGTTTATTTGCAATTTGGGCAGGGTTCAGTGGGGAAAGCTTGTCAACTATGGCTGGAAGTCTCACTTCCAGGGGGGCTCACTCATGTGGCTGGTGGGGTTGTGCTGGGAGTCTCAGTTCTTGCTGTCAGCTGGGGTCCTTGGTCCTTCACAAGGCCTTTCTACATAGTTAGCTTGTTCTCATAGCATGATAGTCTCAGGGTAGTTGCACTTCTGCAGTGGTTGGTTTCCAAGTGTGCCATAGCTGAAATCTGAAGGCTGATGCCCAGAACTTGCACGCCGTCATCTTTATCACAATTTATTGTTTAAAGAGAGGCAAGGGGTCAGCCCAGATTCAAGGACAGAAGGCTACACAAGGTATGAATACCAGGAGGCCTGGTTCATTGGAGGTCACTAAAGTGGTAATCTAACCACATTGGACTAAGGATTTTACTGATTCACATTACCAGCAGGTCCAAGAAGTATAGCTGGTGCGGGCATGTCAATGACAAGGCACTCAAGTGAGATCAGCAAGAATATGCTACTCTTTGCCTTCCACTCCTGCTTCCTGTGGAGACATCATTCTCAGACAGGCTTCTTGCTAATGGTGGCAAGGTGGCTATCATATTTCTGATGTTCAAGGAGCCATGTGGGATTATGTGTCCACCTATGCACCCATGCTATGACTTGGAGGATAGAATATGCTAACTAGGTAGTCTGGGCCATATCTTCATCTATGGTATGTTCTATTAATTATCTACCTACCCAACAGTGTTTCCTGGCTCTCTTCTCCTTTGATTGAAAGCCTGAAACCAAATTTTCAGTTTCTCAGTTTCTCTCCCAGCTCCATGTGACTGAGTCTGGCCAATGAGGTGAAAGGAGATGTGATTTTTCTGGACTTTCAGGGAAGATTTTTCTTCCCTAGTTAAAAAAAAAAAAAACTAGTCTCCTTATACATATACCTCTTCTCCCACCAGCAACTTCCTGCTTTGATACTAATGTGTGAGAATGAAAAGACTGTAGTATGACAATGAGGAGAAGACCATGAGAATCTCAGATATGCAGACCTAGAGTCTGGTATCATTCAACCACTGGTCAAATGCAGAAATCTCCTACACCCAAACAATAAGTATCTTGACAGTTTAAGGCACTTATGATTGAGTTTTCCCTTGCATCATAAGTAAACACCATTCCTGGGGCTGGGAAGGTGGATCCAAACTTGCTTAACCGTATGGACTGTGAGTGTAGGAGGGGTGGTTCCCCAAAGGAAAATAGGACAGTTACTAGAGGAAGGGGGGAATGAGTAGATGCTGTGCAGGTGGAAAGTGTCCCTTTCACCTGGAAAGTCCTGGGGAGAGGAATTGGTGTCAGGTTAGTCTGCTCTCAGAGCCTCATGAAATCAGCATTGTTATACTCAGTTTGCACATTAAGAAATGGAAGCTGAAGGAAATTAAGAGAATTGTTCATTGTCACTCAACTCATTCGCTGCAGATCTGAGAATACTACCCAATTCCTTGCATTTTTATGTCATTGCTGCTTCCATGAAGCAGCACAAAGCAATAGGGATAACTAATTACCTTGAAAGAGAATTAAACTCCCAAAGGATTTTGATAAGCTGGAACAATAGGCTAAATCTTGGCGGAACATGAGAGAAAAAGATTGAGAAGTATTACTTGATTATAAAATCAACATGAATCATTGGGGTAACATGGCAGCCAAAATAGTCAATGTGAGCTTGAATTGCATTAATTAAGGATGACATTTAATTGTTATACTCTGTTTACTATATTAATTACCTATAGCCACATAACAAATTATGCTCAAAACTTAGCAGCTTGAACCAAATATTTATCATCTCACAGTTTCTGTGGGTCAGGAATTTGAGAGTGGCTTCTTGTGGGTGGCAGGGGCTTGGGGAGGATTTTGGTTCAAGATCTCTCATGAGGCTGCAACAAAACTTTCAGCCAGGGATTCTGTCATTTGAGGGCTTGACTGGGGCTGGAGGATCCACTTCCAAGCTCACTCATGTGACTGTCTGCAGGGAGTTTCAGTTTCTCACTGTCTGTTGGCTGGAGGCTCAGTTCCTCACCAAATATGTCCTCTCCGTAGGGCTTTTTGAGCTTCCTCATGACAAGGAAGCTGGCTTCCCCCAGAGCCAAGAGAGAGCAAGCAGGAAACAGCAGTGCCTTTTATGACCCAGTCTCTGAAGTTACATTCTGTCACTTAATGCTTTTTTTGTATTTGTTAGAAGCAAGTCAGAAGTCTAGTCCCTACTTGAGGGAAGGACTCCATCTTTTGAAGGCAGGGTCAAAGAATTTGTGGACATAGTTAAACTACCCAGTGTTCCTACTGACAAGACCACACATGAAGCATTTTATTTGATTCTGGCAATTAAATTTGAGAGAAACATATAACCCTGTAGTTTTCCTTTGTAACACCTATTACTTCTTTGTGGGTGTAGTATTCATATAATTATCTACCTCATCTACAGGGCTATATGCTCCATTAAGCAGAAATGTAACCTATTTTTCTCACCATCTCCTTCCCAATATCTAGTTTACTAATTGGTATGAAGAAAGTTCACAAGAAATAATTGTTGAATGTTGAAAGATTTCACTGGATAGGTCCAAAGGGATGTAAACCCCTTGCCACATGAGAAATAGTTGGAGTAGATTGAGATTTAGCCTGAAAAGAAAAGACTCACTCAGGAACATGAGAGCTCTCTTCAAACATTTGATGAGCTGTCACCTGCAAAATGGAAGGGATTGATTATGGACACATCCAAGGTGGGAGCTGCCATTGACTGGTGGAAGCTACAAGGTGGCAGAGTTTACCTGACTATGAGGAACAACTGTGTAGCAACTAGGACTATTTTACAATGGAATAGAATGCTTAAGGAGGAAGTAAGTAGTTTAAATGCCTGCTGGAAGATCCTTGTTGGGAATACTGCAAAAAAACAAACAACAACAAAAAAAAACACATGATTAATACATTAGATAGGATGTGGGTTAGTTGACTTTTATGGAACTCTGAAATTATGTGTTTCTGTAATCTCAGGTTTATGCTATTTACCTAAATTTAAAATGTCAAAACAGATAAACAAAACACTATCAGTCTATCCCCTGTGGTGGTCATTGGATGGTTTATTTATCCAGCATGTGTTCCCATTCCTTTTTGAAAATGTATCCCTTTGTTTTGAGGGACTGCTCTACCTGCCAACCCTGTAATTTTAGTAGGAGCTGCTAATCAGAGTACCCTGCCCATTCTACACCAACTACAGTAGATGTGGGACACTGACTGATCATTCAGAATACTCCTTGGGACTTTTCTTATCTATGTATTTATTTAAAATATATATTTTCAAAAATGAGAGATGGGTCTCACTATGTTGCCCAGGCTGGTCTTGAACTCGTGGGCTCAAGTGATCCTCCCGCCTCAGCCTCCCCAAGTGCTGGGAGTACAGGCATGAGCCACTGCACCTGGCCAGGGACTTTTCCAAGTGGAACTAAGCAAGCAAGTTCTGTCACCTCTGGTGTCAGAGTGGGGAGGATGTGAGCCTGGGAGATGTTGGCAGTGGTAGTTCCAGCTTTATGAATGAAGCAAGGACTGGGAGCCTTATTTTGTTTCCAGGCAGGACTCCAGGGCTGCGTAGCCAGATTTTTCAAGTGAAACTGGAAATCAAATTTTTTAAATCTGCCAATGAATCACATTTATTTTTATTTTATGAGACACAGTCTTTGTTGCTCAGGCTGGAGTGCAGTGATGTGATCATAGCTCTCTGTAGCTTTGACCTCTCGGGCTCAGGTGATCCTCCCACCTCAGCCTCCCAAGTAGTTGGGACCACACACATGAACCACCATGCCTGGCTAATTTATTTTTATTTGTTGTAGTGATGGGACCTCACCCTGTTGTCCAGGCTGGTCTCAAACTCCTGGGCTCAAGCAATCCTCCCACCTCGGCCTCCCAAAGTGCTGGGTTTGTAGGCAGGAGCCACCATGCCCGGCCCTGAATCACATTTAAAAATACATTGTGCAGGCTAAACAAGACAACTCTGAGCTGAGTCTGTCCTGCAGGCTTCCCATTTGTGACTTTTGCCATAGAGAACACTGCCTACCTTCTCCACTTCTACATGGACCATTCCTGCTTTCTGGGCCATTGCCTTAGTGAAAAGGCTAGATTTCATCAATATTATTATGTACAAACCTGGTTTTAACTGCCAGTAATTCATGTCTGGACATACTGGCTACATTTGCTTCAGCAAGGTGGGTTTTCTATTAACACATTTAGTATTCCTCAGTCCAAGTTTCCTTTTTATAGGATCAAAGAATTAATGAGTCTGAAGGGAGTTTACGGGGTAGAGGGGGGAATGCCTTCTCTTTCAGTCGCCCTCTCTTCTTTGGCATGACACATGGTCATTTAGGCTCATCACCAGGACTGCTACAGGCAGGCAGATCACTGCCTGCCAGCAATGGGTCCACACATGAATGAGCGGGTCCCCCTAGATACACAGGACACTGTGTAACCCTTGCAGCTCAACACAGAGGAATCCTGAACTTGTTCTTCTGAACAGCGCAAAATAAGGCTATTTTCAGTCAAAATCATAGAGACAGAAAGTAGAATAGGTAGTTGCCAGGCACTGGGGCAGGGGAGCAGGAAATGGGAACTTAGTGCTTAATGGGTACAGAGGTCCAGGTGAGGAAGATAAAAAAGTTCTGGAGATGAAAGGTAGTGATGATCGCACAACAATGTGAACGTACTTTACGCGAAAGAACTGTAATTTTAGAATGGTTAAAGTGGTAAATTTTATGTTATGTATATTTTACCACAAAAAACAAATGGCTTTTATGAATGAGCAGAACAGTCTCCTAGCCATGTGATGCTATTTTGGGGTTCAGTAACAATTACTTTATCTAAGACACGCTCTATTAAAATGCTAATACTCCTAGGATAAAACAAAATAAAATAAAATGAATCTACTTTCTCTTTCACATGCCATGATGGTCTGCAAGTGATTGACAGGCAATCAGATATTAGATCTGGGAAAGTGTAATAGGTTATGGTGGCACCATATTCCAGGTGCAAGCCAGGAAAGCAGGAAAAGGAGAGGTATGGACTAAAAAGGAAGAAAAGAGGAAAAAGGATATGAAATAGTTAAGAATGGGAGATGCTAGGGGAATTTTGCCCAGATAGAGGAAGAAAGAGAGGCTTATAAGAGTTTCACTGGGGCAGTTTTCTGAGGAGCAAATGATGCAAGATAAAGGGACAAGACTGGAGTTCTAGTTAGAAAGACCTGACCAAGAACCAGGTTGCAGATAAAGCAGGACAGTCTTGGGGAGATACAAGCTGCAACTATGTAAATCAGACTTTATAGACTAAACTAGTGAAGGAAGACATGTAACCATAATCCACTATCCTGTATGTCTTATGGATCCAAGATTTCATCATTCTAAAGCAAAGTTGCTGTGCATATGCTGATAAAGCATGCCATTATGAGAACCTGTGATACCAGAAAAATGTATGAGGCTAGATTGTGGGTTGAAATCTCAATGAAATAATACCTCCTAAAAAGAATACACATAAAAGCATATTTATAGGGCACCATGTAATTGTAAGGTGTTAGTATCAGTTAGAGTTCTGGCAGATAACAGATGATGTATTAATCTATCACGTCTGGGTTAAGAGAATCTGCAAGGCATGGTGACACCTCCAGGCATCATCAATAGTAGAGAGGCATTACTATCCCAGGCCTGAAGGGATAAGGGGGAGGATGACATTAATGGATATCAGTAGGAGAAGGACTGCTTGATATGCCTTCAGTAGAGGAGCAGAACTTCTGCTAAACCAGAGCCTCCCATCCTCCATAACCACTGACTGAACCAAATGGTAAACCAGAGGACATGTAGGCCTGTGTACTGATGTTCTTAGAGAACAGGCTTCCGGAACCCACATCAGGATAAAGAATGGGAAGAAGGGATATGGAGGGGCAAATGGAGACTATCCAGCACAGAATTAATATGGTATGGCCGGGCATGGTGGCTCATGCCTGTAATCCCAGCTCTTTAGGATGCCAAGGTGGGAGGATCACTTGAGCCCAGGAGTTCAGGACAAGCCTGAGCAACATAGCGAGACCCCATCTCTACAGATAATTTTAAAAATTAGCCAGGTGTGGTGGCACACGCCTGTGGTCCCAGCTACTTGGAAGGCTGAGGCAGGGGGATCACCTGAGACCAGAAGGTCGAGGCTGCAGTAAGCTGTGATTGTGCCACCACATTCCAGCCTAGGTGACAGAGTGAGACCCTGTCTCAAAGAAAAATGACGTGGTGTTTAGGAGGTATGTTAGTCCATTTTGCATTGCTATAAAGAAGTACCTAGGGCTGGGTAATTTACAAGGAAAATAAGTTTATTTAGCTCATGGTTCTGCAGGCTATACATGAAGCATGGTGCCAGCATCTGCTTCTGGTAAGTCCTCAGGAACCTTACAATTATGTTCCAGGAAGGGGAGCCAATGTGTCACATGGCAAGAGAAGGAGCAAGAGAGACAGGGGGAGATTCCAGGCTCTTGTAAATAACCAGATCTCATGTAAACTCATTATCATGGAGAGGGCACCAAGCCATTCATGAAGGATCCAATTTCATGACCCAAACACCTTCCACCAGGCCCCACCTCCAACACTGGGGATCACAATTTGATAAGAGATTTGGAGGGGACAAACATTCAAACTACACCATTCCTCCCGTGGACTCCCAAATCTCATGTCCTCCGCACATTGCAAAATAAAATCATTCCTTCCCAACAGTACCCCAAAGTTTTAACTCATTCCAGCATTAACTTAAAAGTCCAAATCTCAAGTCCAAAGTCTCATCTGAGACTCAAGGCAAGTTCCTTCCACCTATGAGCCTATAAAATCAAACCAAGTTATTTTCTTCCAGATACAATAATGGTACAGGCGTTGGGTAGACATTCCCATTCCAAAATGAAGAAATCACCCAAAGAAAGGGACAATAGGCCCCACACAAGTCTGAAACTCAGCAGGGCAGATATTAAACCTCAGAGCTCCAAAATAATCTCCCTTTACCCCATGTCCTGCATCCTGAGTACAATGGTACAAGGGGTGGGTTTCCAAGGCCTTGGATAGCCCCATCCCTGTGGCCTCTCTGGGTGCATCCTGTGTGGTTGCTCTCATGGATTGGAGTCTGGTGCCTGTGGCTTTTCCACACTATGGTTGTAAGCCACTAGTGGTTCTACAATTTGGGGATCTGAATGATGGCAGGTCCTTCCCCACAGTTCCACTAGGCAGTGCCCTGGTGGGAACTCTGTGTGGGGGCTCCAACTGCACATTTCTCCCATGACATTGCCCTAGTAGAGGCTGTCTGCAGAGACTTCTCTCTGGACACCCAGACTTTCTGATATATCCTGTGAAATCTAGGTGGAAGTCACGAGGCCTCCCTCATGCTTGTATTCTGTGCACCTGCAGGATTAACACCATGTGGAAGCTGCCAAGGTTTAGAGCTTATGCTCTCCAAAGTGGCAGCCTATTCATTGTTTTGTTGTTGTTGTTTATTTTTTTATTTTATTTTATTTTTTTGGTAGAGACAGTGTTTCACCATATTGCCCAGGCTGGTCTTGAACTCCTGGACTCAAGTGATCCACCTGCTTTGGATCACTTGCAAAGTACTGAGATTACAGGTGTGAGCCACTGTGCCCAGCCTCAAAGCAGCAGCCTGATTTGTAACTGAATGACAGCTGGAGCTGAAGCAGCAGGGTTGGGGAAAGCAGCCTTCCGAGTTGGTGCAGGGTAATTGTGCCCAGGGCCTGGCCCCTGAAACCATTCTTTCCTCCTAGGCCTCTCAGCCTGTGATAGGAGGGGCTGTCCCAAAGACTTCTGAAATGTATTCAAGGCCTTTTCCCCACTGTCTTGGCTATTAGCTCTTGGCTCCTGTTTAGCCATGCTAATCTCTCCAGCAAGTGGTTGCTCCACAGTCCTCTCGTATTTCTCTCCTGAAAATGCTTTTTCCTTCTTTACCACATGGCCAAGTTGTGTCTTTTCTAAATTTTTGTGCTCTGCTCCTTTTTAAATTGTAAATTTCCAGTACCTGATCATAGGTTGTTAGAAGCAGCCAGATCACCTCTTGAACGTCTTGCTGCTTAGAAATTTTTTCTGCCAGCCGGGCACAGTGGCTCACGCCTGTAATCCCAGCACTTTGGGAGGCCGAGGTGGGAGGTCAGGAGATCAAGACCATCCTGGCTAATACAGTGAAACCCCGTCTCTACTAAAAATACAAACAAATTAGCTGGGCATGGTGGTGGGCACCTGTAGTCCCAGCTACTAGGAAGGCTGAGGCAGGAGAATGGCGTGAACCTGGGAGGCGGAGCTTGCAGTGAGCTGAGATGGCGCCACTGCACTCCAGCCTGGGCGACAGAGCAAGACTCTGTCTCAAGAATAAATGAATAATAATAATAATAAAGAAATTTCTTCTGCCATATTCCCTGGGATATCAGCCTTCAGTTCAAACTTCTACAGATCTCTACAGCCTGGACATAATGTAGCCAAGTTTTTTGCTAAGGCATAACATGGGTGACCTTTATTCCTGTTCTCAATAACTCCCTCATTTCCATCTGAGCCTGGCCTTCACTGTCCATATTTCTATCACCATTTTGGTCACAACCATTTAACCAGTCTCTGAGAAGTCCCAAACTTTCCCTCATCTCACTGTCTTCTTCTGAGCCCTCTAAACTCTTCCAACTTCTGCCCTTTACCCAGTCCCGAAGCCTGCTTCCACATTTTCAAATATCTTTATAGCAACACCCTACTTCTCAGTACCAATTTTCTGTGTTAGTCCATTTTGCATTGCTAGAAAGAAGTACCTGAGGCTGGATAATTGATAAAGAAAAGAAGTTTATTTGGCTCGCGGTTCTGCAGGCTGTACATGAAGCATGGTGCTGGCATCTGCTTCCAATGAGTTCTCAGGAAGCTTACAATCATGGCAGAAGGGAAGGAGAGCCAGCATGTTACATGGGAAGAGAGGGAGCAAGAGAGAGAGAGGGGGTAGGTGCCAGGCTCTTTTAAACAACCAGATCTCTTGTGAACTTGTTACCATGGGGAGGGCACCAAGCCATTCATGAGGGATCCGCCCCCATGTCCCAAACACCTCCCTCTAGGCCCCACCTCCATCAGGCATCACATTTCAACATGAGATTTGGAAGAAGGCATAAATATCCAAACTATCAGGAGGCCAGAAGCCAGGCTACCTGGGCTTGAATGCTGCACCATCTCTTTGTAGCTATCTGACCTAAGCAAATGATTTATCTTCTCTTTAGTGTGGCAGGTGCCAATCTCTGGCTGACCCAGTGGTCATTCCCATTCCCTTCCCCCTTACTGCCTTCTACTTTAGAGTCTGGAAAGGTTAAATACCCACTTTCCCATGCCCCTTTGTAGTCACGAGTGGCCAAGTGACACATTTCTTGCCAATAGAACATAAGTAGAAGTTAATGGGACAGTTTCTGGGAATGCTTTTACTTTTTTAATAGAAGGGCAGATGAACAGATATGATCCCTGGAATTGGGATAATCCTCTTATGACCATGAGGGAAAGACCTTGAAAATATCTGAGACACTGGCCCTGGCATCACTGAGCCATGAGCCAGTGCCAGCAGCCACCTACCTCTGGACTGCTCGTTAGGCTTGTTATAGGAGACGGGGGAAGGGGGAAGAGAGAGAGAGAGACAGAGAGAATATAATGTAAGCCACCATTAGTTAGGTTTTCTGTTATTTAAAGCTGAAAACATTTCCAACTCATATACCAAGACTGTTTTCTAATTTTACAAAATAACAGTGTTTACTTCAGTTTTATTGTAAAGATTAAATAAGGTAACAATACCAACATTTGTATGGCACTTATGATATACCAGGCACTGTTTTGAGTAATTTATGTATGTGAACACTTTAAAATCTCACAAGACCTCTGTGTGGTAGACATTATCATTATCTCCATTTTAGAGATAAGGAGATTATCATTTGACCAAAGTCATAGAACTTGTATTAACATATGGCAGAGCCAGTGTTTGCACTCAGGTAGCCTGACTCCAAGGTCTGACCACTTATAATATAAAGACTTAGTGCAGAAGTACAAAGTAGGTACTCAAAAAATGTCAGCAATAATATTGATGATGACCAGGTGTCACAGGAATGCCCAGAAAATGATGCAGGGGCACATTTATTTGAGTTGACTTGGAGGGTAGTTCTTCCGCAAAGTTCAGTCTGAAAATAGAGCTCTACACCTAGAAAAAAATCTTAGAAGCAGATGAGAAACTCCAGGAGAGGAAGGACTTTAGGTTGGCAAGGCTGGAATTCTGGAGCCAACTATCTGATGGCATTCCAGAACTTACCCCATGATTCTTTTCCTGAGTCCTTTTTATCATCCTTGAGTCTTCATTTCCCAGTGGCTATGCTCCCACCATCCTGGGGCCAGGATGCCCTCATGCCCTTGCCCTTCCAAACCCAAGATTTTACCTTTCAAGAACCAGGAACATTTCATTTCTTTTTGGGGGCCAAAACATATCGAACATTTAATATAAAATCTGCCCAGTAGGTGTCAGCATCTATCACAAAATGAGCCATTGTTTAACCCATCCTTTATGTTTAAACTTTAAGATTCAAATCATATGGAATAAAGCTGTTTCCTACTGTATTAATGCTTAGAAGGTTGTAACTCCACTTCCAGCCTTCCATTTTGCTGGACATATGGTCAGAAATTACGTTTCAAACATTTTAAAATGTAGAGGAAACTTTGAGGATAGAAGCTTGCTTGATGAAAAGATTAAGAAAATAATTTGGGGGGAGAGGCAAAAAAGAAAATAATTTTTCTATAAAATGATTGATTCTGTTATCGATTGACATCATTATTCTGTGTATTCAATGATAAAGAAGACACACTGGAAGCCTGGAGTAGGACCTCCCCCTAGAGTAGGATAGGCTCCTGCATGCTATAGGATACTGAAGTTTAGAATGATGCATTTTTGACTACTGGTGTCTTTTTTTGGTAAATGTTGTCTTAATTCTGCTGTTTTCTCCCCAACCTATAGATATTCTTTACAACATACAAGTGTACCTGCATTTTAAGAAAATGGAACATGGAAAAATCTGGATGTACTTAATAGCTCAGTGTCATTGAACCAATATCCATTAAGTACCTATTTTCTGTTCTTTAATGACATCTTGGACAGATCTCAAAGCTTCTTAGTCACAGTCAGGTATTAAAAATCTAGCCTAGTCCGGTGAGAAACTTGAATTTCACATCCAATTCAATGCTCTCTCCTTCTTCCTTAACTTGGGTATGACCAAGGGATCTGCATGGAAGGGGACATGGTCTACTATCTAATTCCTTCCCACTCTGCCGCTTCCGCGTCCTCTAGGATTAAGGAAGGAGGAGAGGCCAAAGAGGGAAAACAAAAACCTCTCTAGGGAAGGAGATCCTGCAGGATCTCTTAATTGCACAAATGCTGCACATCTCATTGGCCATAACTTGCACACCTACGTGCAAGGGGGGATGGGAAATGTAGTCTTTGTTCTGAATGAAGGATTCTGTATCCAAGGCGAGATGATTTCTTCCAGCATAACGTTTTCTGACCACCAACCACCCTAAGCCCCTTCCATGCTGGGGTCCTCTAACCCAGAAGGCAAATGCCTCCAGGGTACCTATGAGAAGGCTCAAGCTCTGCTAATCTTTATGGGTTCTGCTTGCACCACAGGAAATGTAAATATAGTAGCCTTCCTCATCCATAGGGGATATGGTCCAACACCCCCAGCAGATGCCTGAACCCAAGGATAGTATTGAACTTGATTGCCATCAGTTAGAATACATTTTTATTCATGTTTTCTGCCCATATATCTAACGCTTTTTCCATCTTAACTAAGCACTTGTCACACACTGTGGCCACAGCTTTTGCTGTTTGAAGTGCAACAGCAAAACTAGCATGAATTTCTTTTTTTCCTTCTTCTCTTCCTTCCTATCTTCATGGATAGGTTTGTTGTATAATCCAAAGACCATGAGGATGGCTAAATAGTAGAAAGGAGAGCTTTTTTGGGAATATTGGTTTGCAAACCACAAAGAGATACTCTCCAGTGTGGACCAGAGGTGCTCTCCCTTTGAAGAGGGAAGAACAGGTTGGGTTTTATACCTCGCAGGGCCTGTATCACACAATAGAGTCATACGTATTTGGCGGGTTTGAGGGAAAAGCCATACACGTTTATGAGGGGAGCTGAGCATGTGCAATGAGTAAACATATAAGTAACATACCTCCCATGTTCACTTTGGTTGGGGGGAGGGTTTAGCATTAACACAAGGTGAAATTTGGCTCTTTACATCAAAAGGTGAATGATAGAACACAAAGTTTGTGCACAGCCTCTATAAACTGACTGAAACTGGCTTAAAGTCTGTAATTTCTTATCAGAAAAGAATGTTTGGTGCCCCTCCATCCAATTAGAGTTGTAATTAGGCCTGGGTTATAAATCAGAGTTAGGAAGGATCTGATAGCTCCTATTGTTAGGACATTTAGAGGTGGAGGAAATTAGAAATTTGCCATGCTAGCCAGGCCCTGAATCGGTAGGCAACTCAACCCATAGGTAACTTTATTTCCTTAACTTTAAGGTCTGTCTTAGCTAACAAAGGGGCATCTATTTTGGTCTCTCAGATAACAAGTCTTACTTCAGATCTCAGCAACCTCAGCATATCATTTTTTTCTTTTCGTATTAAGTTGAGAACTTTCACCTTTTCACTTACAGGAAGCACTTTATGGCTTTTCCTTAGCATATGTGAATAGCCAGCATTATGATCTTTGCTCTCGTATTCTGGGGCCATTATTAAGTGAGATAAAGGGTTACTTGAACATAAGCACGGCAATACCAGGACACTTGATCTGCTACTAAGTGCCTAATAGGTGGATAGTGTATCTAGCATAGATATGCTAGACGAAGGGATGAGTCATATCTCAGGTGCAGAGCCAGAAGGCAAGAGTTTTCATCATACCACTCAGATGGCGCACAACTTTAAATGTATTGGAATTGTTTATTTCTGGAATTTTCCATTTGATATTTTTGGATTGCAATTGACTGCAGGTAACTGAAACCATAGAAAGTGAAACTGTGAATAGATGGACTACTGTATCCGTGCTTGAGAAGCTTCAGCATCCTTTTTCTAGGACAATTTTGCTACCCTGGGAACATTTCTACTTTTCATTAGGCTTTGGGGAATGCTGACATAATGGTGGTACACCTGTTGAGTTAACTTTTTTGTTTGTTTGTTTTTTGAGAGGGAGTCTCACTCTGTCGCCCAGGCTGGAGTGCAATGGTAGGATCTCGGCTCACTGCAACCTCCACCTCCTGGGTTCAAGTGATTCTCGTGCCTCAGCCTCCCTAGTAGCTGGGATAATAGGCATGTGCCACCATATCCCGCTAATTTTTTTGTATTTTTAGTATAGACGGGTTTTCACCATGTTGGCCAGGCTTTTCTCGAACTCCTGACCTCAAGTGATCCACCCGCCTCAGCCTCCCAAAATGCTGGGATTACAGTGTTGGGTTAACTTTTAGTCAGTCCCATGGCTGTGAGGCAGGAGAATGGGGAATTAGGGTAACCAAGGGTAAAGGCATAAACAAAAGAGCAGCAGGTGCGGACAGTTCTAGGCAAGATTCGGCAGCATACCGGCCACATCCTTGCCCTGTGATAACAAGACAGAAGTTTCCACTTCAGCCTCTGATTGGTCACTGGCCAAGCCTTCCTAGGGTGTAACCAATTGGAGGCCTCTAAAGGGCACCTAGGGTTGTTACCAAATTCTTTCAGCTTAATAAAAACCCTAATTGGGGTGGAGGGGCACTCTTGAGTTGCTTGCTCTAATCTGCTCCTACTCTGGAGTGTCAGTAAATCTGTGCTTTTGTTATTGTTCTCTTGTTGCTTTGTCTTTCGTTGCTTCATTCCTTTGTTGCTTTGTTTATGCATTTTGTTCAATTCTTTGTTCAACATATCAAGAACCTGGACGACTCAGTCAAGACCTTCCATCCGGTAACAGCTGTACTTAGTACCTAAGAACTCAGCATTATGACTATAATGACAATTCCAAAACAACGGCAAAAGTCCCATTCAGTATCTTGTGACCCAAGGTCCTATATATAAATGTCAAATATGGAAATAAATATGTCTTCTTCTGTATCATATAACCTCAGGAATAATGGCTGACAATTGTTTATGTCTGCACCTTAGCAGGACTCAGGTTCCGCTCCATCCCCCAGCCTGAGAAAAGCAAAGGCTATTTATTCAGAGCTGCTATAGCAAGAGAAACAGCCACCATCATTGAGTTTTAGCAGAAACTCAAAGGTGGGCAGAGAAGTGTGAAAGCTTTATAGTGGGGAAAAAAGGAAAGCTTTAGGTATGGCCTCAGGGAGGCTATTGGCCTGGGAAAGCTGTAGGAGGCTACCTAGAAGCGGGGAATCCTGTGTGTTTGATTGGGAATGCATATTTGGCTTTCCCTAGTTGGTCCTAAGTTGGAAGTGGAGAAAAAAACTTACAGAATCTGTTAGTTATTAATCAAGTCCTGGCCATTTGGGGCCGATTGTGACACAAGTTATTATTTAGCTTCCTGGCTTGTCACTAGAGATAACAAGTGAGTTCCTGAAAGTCTGATTTATAACAGGCTACCTTCCTGTGCTGGTTATTGTCAAAAGGGGTTGGTTTTCTGGATAGGTTGTGAGTCAAAATACTATCTTTATATATAGTTTGGCAATTGTCCATTTGTACATCCAGTATTTCAATAGTAAGCAGTAAACTTGACTCTGCTTTATCAAATACGATAGTACCTCACATTTTATCATGGTTTACAATTTATAAAGTACATTTTTGTGTATCTCCATGATTAGTAAGGCCAAACACTGTCATTTTCCTTGTAAAGTGAAGAAATAGCCTCAGAAAGGTCAATGGCTTTAAAAAGTCACAAAGCTGCTAAAGAGCCTGATTTAATTAGGACTGTCCAATTCTTTATGCCTGGCACCCCATTCAGTAAACACTCCCTTTTACTCTTGTTAAAACTTTAGACAAATTAAATTTAACAGTTTGGCCAGGTACAGTGGCTCACACCTGTAATCCCAGCACTTTGGGAGGCCAAGACAGGTGGATCACTTCAGCCCAGGCGTTCGAGACCAGCCTGGGCAACATGACAAAACCCAATCTCTACAAAAAATACTAAAAATTAGCTGGGTGTGGTGGCGTGCACCTGTAGTCCCAGCTACTCGGGAGGCTGAGGTGAAAGAATCACCTGAGCCTGGGGATTCGAGGCTGCAGTGGGCCATGATCATGCCACTGGACTACAGCCTGGGTGACAGAGGGGGACTCTTTCTCAAAAAAAAAAAAAAAAAAAAAAAAAAAGGAACAGAGTTTAATTAAGGAAAGAATGATTTGTGAATCGGGCAGTTCCCCAAACCAGAATAGGTCCAGAGAGGCTCCTGTGCTGCCACATGGACAGAAAGGATTTATAGATAAAAAAAGGAAAGTGAGATATAGAAAATGGAAGTGAGGTACAGAAACAGCTGGATTGGTAACAGCTTTGTAATCATCCAAGGGATTTTTCCTGCCCACTGCATAAAGAAAGACCACGGCATTGTAGTAGAGAAAGAGTTTAATAGGCAGGAGGCCAGCCACGACACATGGGAGATAGAGTTCCTACTCAAATCATCTTGTTTAGAGCTCCTAAGTTAGGGGTTTTTCAAAGGCAGTTTGGGGGAAGGGGTAACAGGTAACAGATGCTTGCTGCTGATTGGCTGGGGCGGAGATGAAATCATTCATTGGAGGTGGAAGCTATCCTGTGGTGGGCTGAATCGCTTCTGGGTGGGGCCACAGGAGCTGGGTTGGTGGTCCAGGTGGAGCCATGAGTGTCAAACACACAAAAACCTATGAAGATATCTGAAAAGGCCAGTCTACAATAGTGTTGTTATTTGCAGGAGTAATTGGGGAAGTTGCGTATGGTATAACCTCAGGAATAATGGCTGACGATTGCTTATGTCTGCACCTTAGCAGGACTCAAGTTCCGCTCCTTCCCCCAGCCTAAGGGCTTCCCATTAGCTTTACAAAATCGGTTAAGTTTTGGGCAAGGCCTATTATTAAACTATAGCCTTAATATCTTTAAAGTTAGCTTGGCCCAATAGCCCAGGAATAATAAGAAAAAGGCAAGATGGGGATTGGGTTAGTTTAGCTTACTAGTTTTGTTTGTTTGTTTTTGTTTTTCTCACTGATATAACTTTTGCAAAGGTAGTTTCAGCTTGGCATTTGCCTTATTTGAACAAGGTCTGAACAGTGGGCTGCCTTTGATTGGTTGAAACTTGGTGAGTTCACCGAAAATCACTGACATGAGGCAGATTGACTGATAGGAGAAAAGGTATACAAGTGTATTTAATACATATACATGGGAGTCTTCAGGATGAAAACACAAAGATACAGGAGAAACTGTCCACTTTTATGCTTAGCTTCAACAAGGTATGGATGGATAACCATGTAAAAATATTATTGGACAAAAAGGGTATGATTTACTGCTAATAGGATAACCAACCAACGGGTTCACCTTGCCCACTGCCTAGACAGAGCCGATTTACCAAGACAGGGGAATTGCAATAGAGAAAGAGTAATTTACGCAGAGTCAGCTGTGCAGGAGACCAGAGTTTTATTAGTACTCAAATCAATCTCCCTGAAAACTCGGGGATCAGAGTTTTTAAGGCTAATTTGGTGGGCAGGAGGCCAGTGAGTCAGGAGTGCTGATTGGTTGGCTCAGGGTTGAAATCACAGGGAGTCTAATCTGTTCTCTTGTGCTAAGTCAGTTCCTGGGTGAGGGCCACAGAACTGGTTGGCAGGCCCAGGTGGGGCCATCTGGTTTCAGAAATGCAAAAACTTGAAAAGACATCTCAACAGGCCAATCTTAGTTTCACAATAGTGATGTTATCTTCAAGAGTATTTGGGGAAGTTGCAAATCTTATGACCTCTGGAATAATGGCTGGTAATATTTAGAATCCCAGCCCCTCTCATCATTACTTTATGGCTGGTGGCATATCATTCATTTTACAAGAACAGTTTAGCTTTTGGAAAGAGGTATTATTTAAACCATAAACTAAATTCCTTCCCAAGGCCAATTTGGCCTATGCCCAGGAATGGACAAAGACAGTTGAGATATTAGAAGCAAGATGGAGCTGGTTAGGTCGGATATCTTTCACCGTCATAATTTCTTTAGTTATAATTTTGCAAAGGCGGTTTCAATAGACTTAGTGGGAAAAACCAATAAGGCCTGCCTGTCTAGATTCTTCTTGGCTTCTCTGAGCACACACCCCTTTCTTCTGAATGTGGGGCAGGACTCTTCTCTGGAATGGGGATCAGATAATTTCTTTATGGCCAGTTTTTTTGTTTGTTTGTTTTTTATTTTGAGACGGAGTCTCACTTTGTCACCCAGGCTGCAGTGCACTGGGGCATCTTGGCTCACTGCAACCTCCTCCTCCCAGGTTCAAGCGACTCTCCTGCCTCAGCCTCCTGAGTAGCTGGGACTACAGGCGCATGCCACCATGCCAGGCTAATTTCTGTATTTTTAGTAGAGATGGGGTTTCACCATATTGGCCAGGCTGGTCTCAAAGTCCTGACCTCAAGTGATCCGCCCACCCTGGCATCCCAGAATTCTGGGATTACAGGTATGAGCCATCACACCAGGCCTATGGACAGTTTTAAATAGAGTATTTTTAGGTTTTATGACTGGCCTTCAAGGGAAAAGGGTTTCTGGTTTCTATGACCCACCTTGGGGAAGAAGAAGTTTAGTTGCTATGGCTAGCCTTGTGGGAGAATGGGACTGACAGAAAGGAGGGCAGGCAGGAGAAAGTCATAGAAAAATTTTGGGGCTGGGTGCTGGTGGCTCATGTCAGTAATCCCAGCATTTTGGGAGGCAGAGGCAGGAGGGTTGCTTGAGGCCAGAAGTTTGAGACCAGCCTGGGCAACATGGCAAAACCTCATCTCTACAAAAAAATTAAAAATTAGCTAGGTGTGGTGGCATGCATCTATAGTACCAGCTACTTAGGAGGCTGAGCTGGGAAGTTCGCTTAAGACCAGGAGGTTGAGAGGGCAGTAAGCCATGATCACATCACTGCACTCCAGCATGGGTGACAGAGCAAGATCCTGTCTCAAAAACAAAAGAAAACAAAAACTTTTGTTTCTGAGGCTGTTGCTGAGGATTTCATTTTTGTGCATTGTTTTCTGAGCCCCAATAGTAGGTTACAGTCTATTTACACATCCAGTTAGGTTACAGTTCACTATGTACTGAGAAAACTTTAGGCTGAACTTAAAATATGTAAGGGAGCAGCTTTAGGCTAAACATAACACTCTCATTAGCACCTGGGTTTTGAAACAGAAAGTTTCCGTGGACCCTCTGTGGGTGGGAACTGGAGTGCATGAGAGCTAGAATTAGCTGGCTGCTTCGGTGCTGGCAGGGGTGAACTCCACTCACTTGGTCCCACTGTGTTCCAACCCTCACAGGAGGGGGAGCACAGGTGAGCAGGTGCAGGAGCCAGAACAAGTGCTTTCGGGTGCTGGAAGGAGCAAAACTCTGTGCTGCCCCATGGCATCATCTTGGGGGGTGCCTGGAACCTCTCAACCACCAGAAAGAGTGTTACAAGAGTGCTAAAACAATGCTTTTTTAGCTTTGCCACCCACAGACGGCTTAAGTGTTTACAGCTAAGTGGAGTGTCAGCATGACAGCTTTTTCACCCACACCTGAGTTCTTGTCTGGCGTCTAGGAGGAATGAAGTCCTGTGAACAAATTGGAGATGGTAAATGTGGGGGCTTTTATTGCCAATGAAAGTGGCTCTCAGCAGGAAGGGGAGCTGAAAAGGGGATGAAGCAGGAAGATAATCTTCCCCCAGAGTCGAGCCATCCTGACCAGACTCTTCTCTGAAGTTACATCATCAAGCTGTTCCTCTGAAGTCAAGCTGCTTCTCTCTGACGTCCAATTGTAGTGTCCGACGTCCTGCTGCTTCTCTTCTCCTCCCTCTTCTGGCAGAGGCTGGGGTATTCATGGGCACAGGATTGGGGGGTGGGGTGGGCCATGGATGGTTTTGGAAAAGGCAACATTTGAGCGGGAAAACAGGAATGCATGTTCTTGCTTTGGGTTGCAGTTCCAGGCCTGAGGTTGGGCCCCTCACTGGGGACTGCCCTCTTCTGCCCAGAATTTCCCTGCCTCCTGTCTCTATCATTTTGAACAATAAATTAACTGATCACCCTATCCTACCCAGCAGAAACTTGAACCTATGACTTCTGCATTCCAAGACCACTGCTCTGTTTGCCAGATTTTATTAATCCCAGGCTCCCTGTCACTGTCTCTCCTAGTATCTCCAGGCCTTTGCCAAGTCACACCACTGAGTAGACTCAAATCCAGCGATCTGTTTAAACAACAGTTTTCTTTCAAATCTGCCCGGTTTCCAACTGGCTAATGAAGCTCAATCACAAAAAGTTTCTATTAAGAGGTAATTAGCAAGATGAAAATAAGCCTTGAAGTTTAATTGTTCAATGTGCCTTAACGAATCCTCAGGAGCAGCTTGAATGTTTGTAATAAACGCAGGACAAAGATGATGTTCATTTTGTGTCAATGTTTAATACCTTACCCAAGGCAATTTTTATTAAACTGCAACCTCTGAACTTTTAATGCTCTCCGAATTTTTTAAAACATCAAAAATTGTGTAAATGAATGAGTTACAAACCTATTCAGCATTATTTTCCTTCAAGAGTGTGTCTGAGCAGAGTGTCAGTTTATTTTCTGCAGTTAATTAATTCTGCCTTTCTTAAGCAGAATGTCTGATTGCCTTAAGCGATAGAGAGGCTTTTTGCTAGAACAGAAAGCTGTCTGCGTAGTTTATGTTAATACAAACCTGCAGGCGGTAAATGACTGCTCTTTGGAAAGAAAGCAAATGGCTACTTTGAAACTATTGAGATGCATTAGGGCTCTTGATTTGAGAAACAGGAAATACTAGAGCAAAAAAACAAATTGATTTAAGCCATTCATAGACTAACAAGCACTCCTAGTCCCTTTGTGAATTTTGGGTTCTTGGGCCCAGCCCTCAGGCAAGTACTTGCTTCCTTCCACCCACCCCAGTGCGGATTCTCCTTTCTGCTTTGATCCCTGAATTAATAAACCACTCTGGGAAGGAGGGTCCTTTAAGTCAGCATGGAACCACCACCCCCAACCTCGGCCATCAAAAATCCATAAATCATTCAAAGCAGGAATTCTTCATAGCAGGAAATGAGCCTCTTGAAATTCACTTTAATTTCCCATAATCTTTGGAATTACAGGAGATAATCTGGTTCATTCTCCCAATTTCTGGTTAGGAAAATGTTAAAGGTGGTATGCCTTTTATTGATATCTGAGGCTCTGGATGAGATGAGTAGAAGTTGGAACTAGAATCCCACTCTCCTAGGGCAGCACTCACTCCACTGCACCCTCTGCCACTAACTAGAGACTGCAGAGACAGGGATTACCATCTTGCCGACAGTGCTGTCTTCTGAAGGTTCCCTTGTATGTCACTTATTTGGAACCTGGGACACGCTTTGTCCTAGAAACACGTTTGTTTAAAAGGTGGCTGGGTTCTCCATCCAACTTAAAACCAGTTTTAACCCACATCACTGCTGCGGTCCTCAAAGCAGCCTAAGCCCTCGAAGGGGTTCAGAGTCTGCCACCCCAAAATATGCCTCTCTGCACAAGGATTCTTTTGAACTGAAGACAACTGAGAAAAACAGACACAGGGTAAACTCTCTGTCCTTCCCTGTATGCCTGAGAGTGTTACCAAAAAATGAGGGGTTCAGTCCTGGTCCTGCTGCTCACTGCACAGAATGCCAATCACTGTGACAATGAGTCAATTGCCGGAGAAGAAGACTTTAATCAGGTGCTGCAGGCTAGGATGACAGGAGGTACAGTCTCAAATCCCTCTTCCAATGGACTAAAATTGGGGGACTTAAATACTGAGGAACGCAAAGAAAACAGGAATTAGGGAGGGATAAGGAAGCAATTGTGATGGATGAGGGTCCTGGGGTCTCATTGTCTGAATGTGGTGATTTGATGAGTTTCAGTTCCTTGCCTGAGGGTTGGTTTCTTTTATTTTTATTTTTATAATTATTATTGTTTTGAGGCAGGGTCTCACCCTGTTGCCTGGACGGGAATGCAATGGCATGAAATAATGGCTCACTGCAGCCTTGACCTCCCGGGCTCAAACAATCCTCCAACCTTAGTCCCCTGAGTAGTTAGGATTACATCTACATGTGCCTGCCACTGTGCTGGGCTAACTTTTTGTATTATTTTTTTTTTTTTGGTAGAGATGGGGTTTCACCATGTTACCCAGGCTGGTCTCAAACTTCTGGTCTCAAACCATCTGTCCACTTTGGCCTCCCAAAATGCCAAGATTATAGGTGCATGCCAATGTGCCCAGCCAAAGGGTTGGTTTCTTGAGGAAGAAGCTCAGATGAGACAAATGTAAGCTTCAAATTTTAAGACTGAGGCTGGGCGTAGTGGCTCATGCCTGTAATACCAGCACTTTGGGAGGCCGAAGAGGGCAGATCACCTGAGGTCAGGAGTTCGAGATCAGCCTGGCCAACATGGTGAAACCCCGTCTCTACTAAAAATACAAAAATTAGCTAAGTGTGGTGGTGCGCACATGTAATCCCAGCTACTTGGGAGGCCGAGGCATGAGAATCGTTTGAACCCGGGAGGCGGAGGTTGCAGTGAGGTGAGGTCATGTCACTGCACTCCAGCCTGGGCAACAGAGCGAAACTTCATCTCAAAAAAAAAAAAAAAAGACTGAGAGGGTCAACTTCTATGTTTATTCAAAACCTCATAAATATAACTTCCATGGGACAATTAGGCCGGTTTCAAAAGAAGAAGATAAATTTCCCTTCTGAAGTTGTCCCCGCCTCCACTTCCCATACCAGGAGTGGGATAACAACCTTATCCCAGAAACAAGATGGCACTGAGGAAGAGTCTAACCAAACAAACCTTACTAACTACCCTTATCTTCCATTAGACTCTTCATAAATTCACCTCCCACAACTTGATGCCCCTACTAGCCTAAGCCCATGTTGCTTTTTCTTTTTGAGACAGGGTCTTGCTCTGTCACCCAGGCTGGAGTGCAGTGGTGTGATCATGATTCATTGCAGCCTAGATCTTCCAGGCTCAAGCAATCTTCCTACCTCAGCCTCCCAAGTAGCTGGGACTACAGGCATGCACCACCAAGCCTGGCTAATTTACATATGTATGTATGTATGTATTATAGAGATAGGGTCTCACTACGTTGTTCAGGTTCGTCTTGAACTCCTAGGCTCAAGCAATTCTCCTGCCTTGAACCCCCAAAGTGCTGTAATTACAGGCGTGAGCCACTGTGCATGGCCCTAAAACCCCTTTTTGTTTGTTTTGTCACATCTCTACAAATGTTTTGTTCTTTTGTTAAGATGCTATATAAACCCCAAGTTCTTTTTTTAAAAACATTTTATTTTACTTTATTCTAAGTTCCGGGATACATGTGCAGGATGTGCAGATTTGTTACATAGGTAAACGTGTGCCATGGTGGTTTGCTGCACCTACCAACCCATCACCTAGGTATTAAGTCCCACATGCATTAGCTATTTATCCTGATGCTCTCCCCAGAAATCCCGACAGGCCCCAGTGTGCATTGTTCGCTTCCTTGTGTCCATGTGTTCTCATTGTTCGCCTCACCTCCCACTTATAAGTGAGAAAACTAAGTGTTTGGTTTTCTGTTCCTATGTTAGTTTGCTAAGAATAATGACTAGCCCCAAGCTCTAACCACCTCTTTGAATTACTCATTTTTGAGTTTGTCTCACAAGTATGCATGATGTACACATTAATTAAACTTTATTTTTCTCATTAGTCTTTCCTTTGTTAGTCTAATTTGCAGCAGCACCTGCCCCTCTCAACTAGAAAACCTAGAAGGGTAGGGGAAAAATATTTTTTTTCCTTTCCTACACACCTCTAAAACTCTAGTGCTGGGCGTTGACACTGGTTCCTAAGCCTTTCGTAAATTTTCTTTATAGAGACAGTGTCTCACTCTGGTGCCCAGCCTGGAGAGCAGTGGCCTGAGCCTAGCTCACTGCAGTCTCAAACTTCTGGGTTAAAGCAATCCTCCCACCTCAGCCTCCCAGAAGCTTGGATGGACTACAAGTGTCTACCAACATGCCCAACTATTTTTTAAATATTTTTTTTTAGAGATGGGGTCTCACTATATTGCCCAGGCTGGTCTTGTCCTCCTGGCCTCAAGCCTACGCCTTTCTGAAAGCTACGCTCTGAGGTCTGGGAGAACCCCAAATAAGCCAGGGTATAGAGAAAGAGAACTACAGTTGTGTCCGGAATTGGTGGGTTCTTGGTCTCACTGACTTCAAGGATGAAGCTGTGGGCCCTCGCGGTGACTGCTACAGTTCTTAAAGGTGGCATGTCCAGAGTTTATTCCTTCTGATGTTCAGATGTGTTCAGAGTTTCTTCCTTCTAGTGGATTCGTGGTCTCGCTGGCGAAGGAGTGAAGCTGCAGACCTTCCCGGTGAGTGTTACAGTTCTTAAGGCAATGCGTCTGGAGTTCTTTCCTCCCAGTGTGTTCATGGTCTCACTGGCTTCAAAAGTGAGGCAGACTTCCGTGTTGAGTGTTACAGCTCATAAAGCAGTGTGGACCCAAAGAGTGAGCAGCAGCAACACTTACCACAAAGAGCAAAAGAATAAAGCTTCCACACCATTGAAGGAGACCCCAGTGGGTTGCCACTGCTGGCTCGGCAGCCTGCTTTTATTCCCTTATCTGGCTCCACCCACATCCTGCTGATTGGTCCATTTTACAGAGAGCCAATTGGTCTGTTTTACAGAGAGCTGATTGGTCCATTTTGACAGGGTGCTGATTGGTGCGTTTACAATCCCTGAGCTAGGCCCAAAAGTTCCCAGTCCCCACTAGATTAGCTAGATACAGAGTGTGGATACAAAGGTTCTCCAAGTCCCTGCCAGAGTAGCTAGATACAGAGTGTCGATTGGTGTATTCACAAACCCTGAGCTAGACACAGGGTGCTGATTGGTGTGTTTACAAACCTTGAGCTAGATACAGAGTGCCGATTGGTGTATTTATAATCCCTTAGCTAGACATAAAGGTTCTCCAAGTCCCCACCAGACTCAGGAGCCCAGCTGGCTTCACTCAGTAGCTCCCACACTGGGGCTGCAGGTGGAGCTGCCTGCCAATCCCGCGCCCTGTGCCTGCAGTTCTCAGCCCTTGGGTGGTCGATGGGACTGGGCGCCTTGGAGCAGGGGCGGTGCTCGTCGGGGAGGCTCAGGCCGCTCAGGAGCCTACGGCGGCGGGTAGGGGGGAGGCTCAGGCAAGGCGGGCTGCAGGTCCCGAGCCCTGCCCCAGAGGGAGGCAGCTAAGGCTCAGCGAGAAGTCGAGCACAGCAGCTGCTGGCCCAGGTGCTAAGCCCCTCACTGCCCGGGGCAGGCAGGGCCTGCCGGCCGCTCCGAGTGTGGAGCCGCCGAGCCCACGCCCACCTGGAACTAGAGCTGGCCTGCAAGCACCCTGTGCACACAGCCCTGGTTCCCGCCCGCGCCTCTCCCTCCACACCTCCCTGCAAGCTGAGGGAGCCGGCTCTGGCCTTGGCCAACCCAGGAAGGGGCTCCCACAGCGCAGCGGCAGGCTGAAGGGCTCTTCAAGTGCCACCAAAGTGGGAGCCCAGGCAGAGGAGAGAGTGCCGAGAGTGAGTGAGGGCTGCAAGGGCTGCCAGCACGGTGTCACCTCTCAGAGTGATGGAGTAGGTGGCACTGGAGTATCCCTTGGAGGTCTAGGGGGTACTGGCAGAGAAGGGGTTGGATTTGAGAGCTTCTGAAACTGGGGGTGGGGATTGTGGAGAAGGACGTTTTTCAATTACAGGAGAGGCAAAATGCTCCTTCTATCCTTCCAGGTTATTTGGCTTGTCTGTGAATTAAATTGACATAAGAGATTTAACAGGAGAAAACCAATTCTAATTATGTATGTATGCATGAAGTCCCACAAAAATATGAGACTCAAAGGAGCAGCCAGATGATTGAGATTTATGTATCACCCTTGAAGCTGTCCTCACAAGGGTAACAAGCGTTCTGGACAGAAACATTGTTATAATTAAGCGTTAATCAGGCTGTACTCTGGCCCACTTCCTGGTAACTGAAAGTTGCACAGCACTAGATAATGACCATTTGCATCCCCACTGTTGCTATAGGTGGGATTTCTGATGTTAGAATCATAAGGCTTTTAAGAATTAATTTGTATCCCCATTATTCTTACAGATAGAATTTCTGATGTTGGAGTCATAAGGCCTTTGTGTTTAAGAATTGCTTAAGAGGTTTTTTCAGATCCTGAATTCCAGTGGAAGAGCTGATGCCAACCGTTTGAAGATCCCCACAGAAGAACCGAATCAGCGTGAGAATACAATTTCCTTATCTTCCTGTCCCACAATTTCCCCCATGCACACTTTCACCCATCAATGATCTTCACAGTTAAAATCCCTAGCCCCAAACTCCTCAGGGAGATGGATTTGAGGTTTCCTACTGTCTCCTCATTCAGCAGCCCTGTGATTGAACCTGTTTCTCTATTGCAACCTGGTTTTGATGTGTTGACTTGCTGCACATCAGACAGTGAACCTATCACAGTTACACCCCGAGATACAGAAAGGAATAAGGGTTTGGGGTTCCTGCAGGGTGGTGGAGGCAAATTACAGGAAGGGGAGGGGAGGAAATGTATGGTGAATGGTGGTTGCCTTGCTATGCAGATAAAAGTCTCTCAGGTGATAAAAGTCATCTCTGAGTAGCTGTCTTCTTCCTACAGATACCTTTACTAATGAAGATATCCTTTATAAATGTAAATTTCCTTTACAAAAGAGGACATTTGTGCATTATTTTAGTTGGGGAGAAGTAAAGAGCTTTTCCCACGTTGACTGGTTCACAATTTCTTTTAGCTCAAAAGAATCAATATGCCAAAGTGGCATATTTTGAGGTGATATGTTTTGAACCTCTTCACAGGGCTAGAGAAGGATCCAGCGGGGGAGAAACAAAGGTTATTTTACAAACTCTTTTTTCATAAATTAAGTGTTCTGATAAGTTATGATGGGGCTCAGGGCATGCCACCTCAATACAGGACTGCGAAAGACCAGAATTTACAACTCCCAAATATGCCTTTTTGATATAAGATTATTTTGAGCTGGTTATCTTGAGAAACTGCAGACACAGGTGAAGTTCTGAAAAGTTACCCTTTTGTGAGAGAAATTTATGTCTATAAAGGAAATCTCCATTTGCAAGGGTGTTTCCCTCTCATACCAGGAAGACTAAATCTCTAAACATACTTTTTACTTTTATTTTTATGTTTTTTTTTTTTTTTTTTTTTTTTTTTTTTTACTTTTTGTAGAGATAGGGTCTTACTATGTCACCCTGGCTGGTCTTGAATTCCTGGGCTTAAATGATCCTCCTGCCTGGGCCTCCCAAAGTGCTGGGATTATAGGCTTGAGCCACCACTCAGCCAAGACACTCTTAATCAATGGAGAAGACATCAACCAAAATCTGCATAATAAACCTTGCTGTGTTTACGGCCATACTCTTCATTGTTTGTTTCAGAGAATGATAGTATTTAAGGCTGAAATTTAAACTCTTTCTTTGGGGTCTACTCTAGAGATTTACTTATTTCTCTGGGTTATCACTCATGTATACAGAAGGTGTACATATTATTAAATTTCTGCTTGTTTTTCTCTTGTTAATCTGTCTTTTGTTATAGAGAGTCTTGGCTAAAAACTCATGAAGGGTGAAGGAAAAATTATTTTTTCCCCCTTACAGTTCTAAAATGCCTATATGAAATTAGAGTAAATTTGGGAAGTGGTTCTCTTTTTATTGCAAAAGAAGTACCAGGGAACAGCTCTAAAATACTCCCTTGGAGGGCCAATGACTGGATTAGTTTATCATTTGAAGGCAGTCTCATCAGAAGATAGCTATGGGTCTCCAGGGTGCCTGATGCCAGATCCTGGTCTTCCCCTAGACAGACTTGCCCCCAGGAGGTGCCTGGATGCGTAAATTGAAAGCACTGAGCATCTGCCCTCTTGTGAGCCCAGGAGTGGGGCACTCTTGGCTGAACTGGGTACTGAGGAAGGGGATCTCTCTGCCCCCAGGATTTCCTACAGCCTTGGTTGAGATCTAGAATTTACTGACATCATCACAGTGGGGGCCCAGCATGGCCACTTGGACTTTATAAGACTGGCTTTCAACACAGATGCACTTACCAGTAAGAAGCCACTGGCTGGTGGACTCAGTAGACTCAAGTACTGTTTTAAAATGTAGATTTTATTATTATTCAGGTTTGATGAGGCCAACAGATCAGGAGATGACTGCCATTGAAAAGATAGTTTGTTACAGTTCCCAAGAGGTGGGGACGATCCATACCACAGTGTATGTGTGGTGGGAGGGGCACACTGGGAAGCAGCAGCGTTGGTCAGGAGGCAGAGGGAGGGAGGGGAAAACTCGAGCAAGAGCCTTTATTCCTGCTGCAGGAAGAAGCAGGTGAGGCAGGGTAAGCAGGCTTAGGATGGACAGTTTGAATAACTTCAGCTGGCTCTGATACATAGGGGGCTATCTCTCATTGTTTGGGAGTTGGCCCTGGGGTGATTAGAGCAGAAGGCCCCAAGTGTGAAAGGAGGTGGGTATGTGGACTCTGGGTTGGTTGGTTTGCATATGAAAGGCACTCTCCAGGGGAGTCTGTACTGCCTCCAGGAATTAGTGATCCCTAAACCCCAGCCCTAAGCCCTAAGTCAGGGAGGGGCAGCCTCTTCAGGATCAGCAACACCCCAGATGTCAAAGCTTCAGAATACAGAAAATAAGACTAAGAGAAGTGGCTCACACCTGTAATCCCAGTGCTTTGAGAGGTGGGAGAATCACTTGAGGCCAGGAGTTTGGGAACAGCCTGAGCAACATATCGAAACTCTTATGATGTCTCCACTGCACTCCAGCCTGGGCAACAGAGCAAGATCCTGTCGCTGAAAAAAACAAAAACCAAAACACACACACACACACACACACACACACACACACACACACACACACACAGAGAGTGCACAAGAGACAGAGAGAGCAAATAAAAAGGCATGATTAATACAGGTACTCTCTGCTTCGGGAGGAGGAGTGTGGAAGCTGAACTGATTTCTTCTTTGGCTGAAGTAAGCTGCCCCCGACCCCTACTCACCACTCTCCCCATGGATCTTGGATAATTCAGGGAAGGAGATACTTGCCTCCTACTAGTGAGGTAGATGGGGCCTACAAGCAAATAATTTTAAAATGCCAAAGAGGTGACCATGTTTGATCTCTGAGTTTGTGCAGCATTCCGTGCCAGTTACAATAGTGAGACCTCAGTTGATTAGTTGTAGAAAGAATTTTAAAGCACTTCAAAACTTCTTTGCAACTCTCATTATCCTAATAAAGTGGAAGCAAAAAGGAAATAAATGAATATTTAAATCAATTTAAAATGTATTGACCTCAACAGAACATTTTTGCAAGAAACTTGCAAATATATTTGCAAGAAACTAATTCCTCAGGGATTGAACACTTTCAGAGAATTAGTTTGGTGGGAGTCAAACAGCACAATAAGCATATATGATCAAATACAAGGAGACTTTAAATATATATATATTTAAAGATGTATCTATGTATATATTCTTACTTTGTGTATGTGAAACTATGAGCTTGTTTTTTGACCTAATTCTCATTTTCCTCAAAAGAATTTCTGTCCAATGTCTCCTGAGATGCTGTCCTCTGGTGTCCAGTTTATTGTTGAATAATGTTGCATTATTGAATAACTACCAAGTATTAGCACGGAGGTTATAATAATAAAGCACAAGCCTTATTCCCAAGTTGCTCCTGGATTAGGGATGAATGATTCTTAATGTTTTCTGGGTTGCAGATCCCTGATCATCCCTGTGGGGGGTCCACAGATTGCAGATTAAGAACCCTGTTCTAACAGGAAAGGCAGACAAATAATTATACTACACGGTGCTCTATCCAACAGTAGAAGTGTCTGCAACAGTTGTTCTTTACTTTGGCTGCTCATGAAAACATCTAGGGAGTTTTTTGTTGTTTTTTCTTTTGACAGAGTCTCGCTCTTTCGCCCAGGCTGGAGTGCAGTGGCGCTATCTCGGCTCACTGTAAACTCCGCCTCCGGGGTTCATGCCATTCTCCTGCCTGAGCCTCCCAAGTAGCTGGGACTACAGGCGCCCGCCACCACGCCCGGCTAATTTTTTTTCTTTGTATTTTTTAGTAGAGACGGGGTTTCACCGTGTTAGCCAGGATGGTCTCAAGCTCCTGACCTTGTGATCTGCCCGCCTCGGCCTCCCAAAGTGCTGGGATTACAGGCATGAGCCACCGCGCCCAGCCCATCTAGGGAGTTTTTAAGCACCAGTCATTTGTTCCCTCATCTAGAGGTCCTGATTTAGTTGGTCCGGGTAGCAGCCTGGGTATCAGGAGTATTATTAAAAAGTTCCCTGGAAGATTCCAATTGTAATAAGTGGAAAGGTTCTGCAGAAGCCCAGTGTGATGGTTAGTTTTGGGTTCATCTTGACTGGATTAAGGATGACCTAGAGAACTGGTAAAGGATTATTTCTGGGTGCATCTGGGAGGGTATTTCCGGAGGAGATTGGCATGTGAGTCAGTGGACTGAGTGGGGAAGATTCACCCCCAATGTGGACAGACATCATCCAGTCCACTGGGGGCCCAGATAGAACAAA
Organism: Homo sapiens; assembly: GCF_000001405.40. Classification (NCBI taxonomy): domain Eukaryota; kingdom Metazoa; phylum Chordata; class Mammalia; order Primates; family Hominidae; genus Homo; species Homo sapiens. Next base: position 93,840,015 of record NC_000010.11, on the reverse strand, counting down.
AAGATATTCTCTCCCTTCTGGAGCTGGGATACAGTCTTTTTCTCCTGCCCTTGGACTCCAGAATTGGCACTAGCTGCTTTTCACGTTCTCAGGCCTTCAGTCTGGGACTCAGTTCGCTTCCTTGTTTCTGAGCCTTTGGACTTGAACTGAGCCATGCTCCAGCAACCCAGGGTCTACAGCTTGCAGATGGCCTGTTGAGGGACTTTTCAGCCTCCATAATCACATGAGCCAATTCCTCTAATAAATCCCCTCTCATCTATGTCTATGTATACCCTCTTGACTCTGCCTCTCTGGAGAACCCTGACTAATGTACACAGCAAGGGCATGATTAGCTCTAGCATTCCCCCAAACCAAAATAGCCCTCACCCTACCCTGAGAAAAAATGAGAAGCAACTCAAAGTAGAAAAAAACCACCAAGAACCAAATATGACAGGAGAAGCAAGGCCAGATCTTGCAGAACAAATGTGTGTGGAGAGGGAGCATTGAAGCACTGTTTTCAGACAGCATTCAAGATGTTAGGGTGTGTTTGAGAGTTGGTGGTGGCTAAGTAGGGCTAGACATGACCAAATCCTGCAAAGCTATTAGAACAATGTTGTCAAGATTGGAAAATGTGTAGTTATAGAACATCCAGCAGACATTAATTAGCACAAGAGACCATAAAGGCCAGGACCTGGTAAAACTGGGCTGGAGGGAATTAACAACAGGAATAATAATTGCACCAAAATATTCATTGAGAGCTTACCATACTATACTATACACGCATTTTTTCATTTCATCCTCACAACTGGTCTTATAAAATAGTTTTGATTATCCTTTTTTTATACACGGGGATATTGGGGCTTAAAAGTATGAAAGACAAAGCGCATTGGACAATTAAGGAGATAGTTTTACCCAGGCAATTGCAATACAGAGAGTGTTTATTTATTTATTTATCTATTTTTTTTTTTGAGATAGGGTTTCGCTCTGTCACCTAGGCTGGAGTGCGGTGGCATAATCTCAGTTCACTGTAACCTCCACCTCCTGGGCTTAATCAGTCCTCCCACCTTAGCCTCCCGAGTAGCTGGGACTACAGGCACATGCCACCATGCCCAGCTAATTTTTCGTATTTTTGCTAGAGACAGGGTTTCACCATGTTGCCCAGGCTGGTCTCGAACTCCTGAACTCAGGTGATCTGCCTGTCTTGGCCTCCCAAAGTGCTGGGATTAGAGGCGTGAGCCACCACACCTGGCCGGAGAATGTTTATTAATGAGGACCATCTCAAAGAAAGTGAAGGAGGCCTGGGTTTTATAGAAGCAGGTAAGTGAGGGAATGAGTCTTATAGAAGTCCTGAGGAAGGATGGAGGCAGGTCTTGTCATGAAATATGCTAGGGCAGGGTGGTCCTTTTCAAGATTAGCTATTTCCTGATTTTGGAGTATAAAATGGTGGAGGGATTTCTTCACACTTGCTCTTTTCTCAGGGCTCAAGTAAAATTCAATATTATCAAAAGGTTGAGTAACTTGTCCAAGGTCAAGCAGCCAGTAAGTGGCCCAGCTGGATTCAGACCCAGCCTGCCTGGTGCAATCTGTTCTGGATTTGTGGCCAGAACATCAGTTTCTGTAAAAGGAGGAATTGGATGCTATTCAGGCAGGAAAAGCTAGGCAAAGGGAAGACTCCAGAGAGCAAGATCCAGACTTAGTTATCCTGTGAGCCTGGGTGGAATCACAGGAGTTGGGTTCTAATTAAATAGTTCTTGGATCACTGTTTGAGAAATGCAACAAACCAGGGTCCAGGACAAGGGCCCTAGGCTGAGAGAGTCCCCAGGCCCCCTATAGACAAGAACAACTAGGAACTCGTATCAGCCCCAGGTGGAAGCTGACTCTGCTCTCCTCCAACCTTAGACACCCCTTGGTGCTTAGACAGACAGGTGGGCAGATATGCAGGGAGCCAGAGAGGCCTGCTCCACTTCTGAGCTCCCAGGGTGATCCAAGTGGCTAGCTGGCAGAGCAGCTAGAATGCTTCATGTTAATTAGCCATTATCCTCTTGGACTCATTAAGCAAGTTCAAGGAGCTTTATTGCTTTGTTGACTGAAGGTTAAAATGAAAATGAGCTTTTTACACTTGTGTAGTTTAATAATTAAAAGAGAGAGAGATAGTTCTGTGCTTTCTAATGCACAGGGCCTCAGATAAATTTTCCTGAGGGTTGTAAATGCCAATGTCTTCTCATTTAATAACTATTGAGCACCCACAATGTGCTAGCCGTTGATAGAGAATGCTCAGTGACTAAAACAGATAAATATCCCTCCCCTTCTGAAACTTACAATCCAGCGACACAAAGAGATAATAAACACAATAAATGCATAAATTATGGGGAATTATAGGATATGATATGTGCTTTAAAAATTAGAGCAAGGTAAGGGGGCTTACAAGTGCTGGGGTTGGGTGCCGCAATTTAAACAGGGTGGTCAGTTGAGAAGTTGATAAGCGAGCAATGGTTTGAAGGTGAGAGAATGAGCCTTTCCGATACCTGGGAAAGGGCATTTTGGATGGAGGAGCTAGTGCAAAAAGCCCTGAGGTGGAAAGATGCCTGGTGTTCTCAGGAAACAGCAAAAAGGTCTGGCTGGTCCAAAGTACAAAAGGGGGAGCATAATAGAAGATGTCAGAGAAGTGACAGGGCCAGATGGAGTAGGATCGTAGAGGCCTTTAGAAGGACTTTTGCTTTTATTTTGACTAAAATGGGGACTAGAACGTTTGTTATCATATTCCTAAAATTATTGTTCTTATTTGCCTACTCTTGGAGGAAGAGGCTTGGTCCTGCCAGAGTCACAGGGGATTCAGGACACCAACCAGGCATAAGAATGCCCATGTCCAGATGTCACTCCATGGCAGCAGTCAGAAAAGATGGGGACAGGGCAAAGACATCAGCGTCATGGTGAAATTGAGGGAACAAACAGAAGAAGCCAGAATTATAGGACTTGATTTAACTCTCTCGACTTCTGAGACGCCTTCACTTGACTGATCTCCCAATGAGAGCTGGGGACTCTTTTCATTGACTCAGAACTTGTCTCATTACAGCACTGATACATTCTATTATACTTGTCTGTCTGTCTGTCTGTCAATCTTCCCTCATAATCTCAGTTCCTTGAAGTTAGGGTCCCTGTGTCATTTATTGTCCTTTTTTCCCCACATGTCAAACTCAATTCTGGCATATAGTGTCTACTCAGTGAATGATAAATAGTGAATAATAACATTTATTGAGTGTTCCCTGTGTGCTGGGCATTGTCTTTGCATCTTATATGCATTAACCCATTCAATTCTCCCTGAAACTCTCAGAAATAAAGACTATTACTATCCCACTTCAGCAATGAGTAAATTAAGTTTCAGAGAGGTTAAGTAATGTGTCCAAGGTTGCTTTATAAGTGAAGAAGCTGCTATTTCAACCTAGGCAGTTGGAGTTCAGAGTCTGTGCTATTAACCATTACAAGATAGATGGATGGATGGATGGATGGATGGATGGATGGATGGATGGATGGGACAGGTCAAAATTATGATACAGAGTTTGAATCAGTGTTCCAGAAGGGAGCAAGGATGGGAGAAATATTAAAATTTATATTTATTCATTAATAACTTGATAGTAGTATTGAACAAAACCCCAGGGGGCCAAAAGTACCTGTGTGCTGTTGAAAGAAAAAAGAAGAAGGAATGCGGAATGGATTAAAAAAGGCAATAATCTACCTGGGCTGTTACCAGATGCACTAACATCCCTAGCTTTGGCCCCCTTGGCTCACTAGCAAGGTCATCCCCAGGTTCTGGAACTGCCAAGTTTGATGGCCAACCCTGCTGGAGTGGGGGCAGGAGTGGGAGATTGTAGCATGAAGGGTTCTCAAATGAAGTGAGTGTTTTTGGTTTTGTTTTTAACTTTTATTTTTTGAACTGTAATTCACCTACAATGATATACACCATTTTTAAGTGTTGCAGTTCAATGAGCTTTTACAGAGAAGGTGAAATTTTGGGTACAGTCCTGGAGGAGTGAGCAAGAAGTTAAAGGTCAGGAGTGCACAGCACATGCAGGTGCACAGAACACTCAAAGAGCACGAGGTCTCTTGTGGCTGTGGTTCATCCTGAGAATAACACGCTGTTTGGGTATGGCAAGTAGATAAGGACGGATAAAAATCCAAAGGAAAGATAAGTCTGGCACATGTCGGAGAGAGGACACTAGTTTATAGTGCAGAGTTTTCACATTGTCGTTTGTTATGAGTTGCTATTTTTCTGTCTAAAACCTTCAATAAGAAGGCCTCTGCCTTTTGTTTTCTCTTCGGAATTCATTGATTCTTTCAATTTTATTTTCTTTATTTATGCCCTGTGGTGCTATTCCATATTCAAACAGCTGCAGGTGATGTTGCTTTCCTTCCCCCAATCCAAGCTACTGCATTAACCCCCACATATCCAGCCAAGTTCTGACGGGGAAGCCATTTATTCTTGAGGATGTAGATATGAGCATCTGCTCCATTTGGGATCATTGTTTATGGGCTGTGAATAAGAACACAATTCAAAGGTTATGAGAAAGGGCAGGGCATCTACAATATAAACACATCAGCCCCCAAATGGAGAAGACATGCCAGATACAATGAGAGCTGAGAAATTAACTGGCCATGGTTCAGTTATTCAATACATAGGTAACTAGTGCTTTCTGTCTGCTTGGCATGCCTTCTCTTTCTACCCAACTTTACTCAAGTGACATCTTGTGTCCCTGAGACCTTTTTTGGGCATGCTATCTGAAAGTTCCCTCCCCAAATAAACATTTCCTATGAACACTTCTGATATGGTTTGGATCTGTGTCCCCACACAAATCTCACGTTCAGTTGTAATCCCCAAGTTGGAGGTGGGGCCTCATAGGAGATGATTGGATCATGGGTGCAGTCTCTAATGGTTTAGCACCATCCCCCTAGTGCTGTTCTCATGATAGAGTTCTCATAAGATCTGGCTGTTTAAGAGTGCATAGCACCTTCCCGCTCTTTCTCCCCCTCCTGCTCTGGTCATGTAAGAAGAAGGCCTGCCTCCCCTTTGCCTTCTGCCATGATTAAAAATTTCCTAACACGGGCCTCCTGTAATCCCAGCACTTTGAGAGGCCAACGCAGGCAGATCACGAAGTCAGGATATTGAGACCATCCTGGCTAACACGGTGAAACCCCATCTCTACTAAAATACAAAAACTTAGCCGGGAGTGGTGGCAGGCACCTGTAGTCCCAGCTACTTGGGAGGCTGAGGCAGGAGAATGGTGTGAACCTGGGAGGTGGGGAGGTTGCAGTGAGCCGAGATCATGCCACTGCACTCCAGCCTGGGCCACAGAGCAAGACTCCATCTCAAAAGAAAAAAAAAAAAAAAGAAAATTTCCTAACACCTCCCCAGAAGACATCATGCTTCCTGTGCAGCCTGCAGAACTGTCAGCCAATTAAACCTCTTTTCTTTGTAAATTATGCAGTCTCAATTATTTCTTTATAACAGTGTGACAATGGACTATTACAGAAAATTGGTACTGAGAAGTGGGGCATTGCTATAAAGATATCTGAAAATGTGGAAGCAGCTTTGGAATTGGGTAACGTTACAAGCAGAAACTGGAAGAGTGTGGAGGGCTCAGAAAAAGACAGGAAGATGAGGAAAAGTTTGTTGTGACCAAAATGCTTATAGTGATATAAACAATAAAGTCCAGGCTAAGGAGGCCTTAGATGGAAATGAGGAACTTATTGGGAACTGAAGCAAAGGTAATTTTTGTTATGCATCATCAAAGAACCTTGAGGCAGTGTGCCCCTGCTCTAGGGATCTGTAGAACTTTGAACTTGAGAGTGATGATTTAGGGTATCTGGTGGAATAAATTTCCAAGCAGCAGGTCATTCAAGATGTGGCCCGGTTGCTTCTCACAGTGCATGTTCATACATGGTGAGCAAAGAAATGACCTGAAATTTGAACTTATATGTAAAAGGGAAGCAGAGTATAAAAGTTTAGAAAATTTGCAGCCTGGCCATGTGGTAGAAAAGAAAGGGCCATTTTCAGGGGAGGAATTAAAGCCAGCTATAGAGATTTGCATAAGTAAAGAGGATCCAAATGCAGATAGCCAAGACAATGGGAAAAAGCCCTCCAAGGCATTTCAGAGACTTTCGAGGCAGCCCCTGCCATTACAGGCCTGGAGGTCTAGGGGGGAAAAATGGCTTTATGGGCTGGCCCCAGGACCCCTTGCTACTCTGTGCAGCCTTAGGACACTGCTGCTTGCATCCCAGCTGCTCCAGCTCCAGCTGTAGCTAAAAGGGCTCTAGTTACAGCTTGGGCTGTTGCTTCAGAGGTTGCAAGCTGTAAGCCTTGGTGACTTCTACATGGTGTTAAGGCTACAGGTGTGCAGAGGGCAAGAGTTGAGGCTTGGGAGCCTCCACCTAGATTTCAGAAGATGCATGGAAAAGCCTGGAAGTCCAGGCAGAAGGCTGTTGCAGGGGTGGAGCCCTCATGGAGAACCTCTACTAGGGCAATGCAGAGGGGAAATGGATTGGAGCCTTCACACAGAATCCCAGTTGGGTCACTGCTTAGTGGAGCTGTGAGAAGAGGGCCACCTTCCTCCAGACCCCAGAATGGTACATCCACCAGCAGCTTGCTCCCTGCAACTGGAAAAGCTGCAGGAATTCAATGCAAGCCCTTGAGAGCAGCTATGGGGCAGAGCCTTGCAGAGCCACGGGGACAAGCTGCTCAAGGCCTTGGTAACCCATCCTTCATACCTGGATGTGATACATGGAGTCAAAAGAGATTATTTTGGAGCTTTAGGATTTAATGCCTGCAATTCTGGATTTTGGACTTGCATGGGGCCTGTAGCCCCTTTTCTTTGGCAGATTTCTCCCTTCTGGAATGGGAGTATTTACTCAATGCCTATACCCCCCATTGTATCTTGGGAGTTATTAACTTATTTTTGATTTTATAGGCTCATAGGTGGAAGGGACTAGTCTTGTCTCAGATGGGACTTTGGACTTTTGAGTTAATGCTGGAATGAGTTAAGACTTTGGGGGACTATTGGGAAGGCATGATTGTATTTTGTAATATGAGAAGGCCATGAGATTTGGAGGAGTTAGAGGTAAAATAATATGGTTTGGATCTGTGTCCTCACCCAAATCTCATGTTCAATTGTAATCCCCAATGTTAGAGGTGGGGCCTGATGGGAGGTGATTAAATCATGGGGGTGGTTTTTAATAGTTAAGCACCATCTTCCTAGTGCTGTTCTCATGATAGAGTTCTCATAAGATCTGGTTGTTTAAAAGTGTGTAGTACCTCCCCCATCTCTCTCTTCTTCCTGCTCTGGCCATGTAAGAGGTGCCTGCCTCACCTTCACCTTCTGCCATGATTGTAAGTTTCCTGAGACCTCCCCAGAAGCTGAGCAGAAGACGTAATGCTTCCCGTACAGCCTGTAGAACCATGAACCAATTAAACCTCTTTTCTTTGTAAATTACCCAGTCTCAGATGTCTCTTCATAGCTGTGCAAAGATAGATTAATATATCTTCTCTGCTTATTTTTTTCCTTAACACTTGTCACAATCTAGCAGAGCATATATTTTACTTATTTATCTTATTCATTGTCTGTCTTCACCACCAAAATGCAAGCTCCAAGGAGACAGAGGTCTTTTTTCACTGCTGTTTCTGTCATATCTAAATCATAGCAGGTACTTTAAAAATATTTTTTGAATGAATGGATTGTGCTAGGTTCTGTTAGGAACAAAGAGGCTTTGAAGTCAAGAAACATCATTCAGTGATGACATAAGGCCTTCAATTCAAATAACATTAAAAAGAAATGAATGAATCAAGACACAAGTTTCCACATCAATAACAGAAACACAAAGAGCCTACCTCAACCTAATTAACCAACTTATAGATTTAACAACCTTGAAATTCCTTAACATTTCTTTCAAAGGAGCAGATTATTTAGCAGCTTCCTTTTTAAAACCAGGGAACATAATTATAGATACATAGACTTCAGAAGGGTAAAGGATTTACAAGTCATATTTGCATGTTTTTAGGAAAATTCTGGTTTTTGCAGGTCTGAAGAAATGAGCCATTGAGACATTCAAAACAATTAAACCAAGGATGCAGATAACTACATTTAATATTATGATCTTACTTACTGGGAAGTTGTGTGCAGACAATTTCACTGACTTACGGGAGCTTTCAAAATTCTATTTTCCAGTTATTTTATCTTTGACTGAACTCTGAGTTTTTAGTGATTAATTAAATTTGTTTTTTTTGCCACCTAAATTTTAACAAAATATTCCATCAGACAAGTAGATTGTGGCAAGTGTTATTTAGGTTTTTTAAAATAAGTTTTTACTCATTAGAAAGGCTCACAAGTTTTTTTCTGAGATAACATTTAAGAGAAAGTCACACATTTGAGTTTTTCATGCTAAAACGTTTCAAAATGTAAAGTTTAGGCTGGGCACAGTAGCACATACCAGTAATCTCAGCACTTTGAGAGGGTAAGGCGGGAGGATCGCTTGAGCCCAGGAGTTCAAGACAAGCCTGGGCGACATATTCAGACCCTGTCTCTACAAATAGTATAAAAATTAGCCAGGCATGGTGGTATGTGCCTGTAGTCCCAGCTACTTGGGAGGCTGAGGTGAGCGGAGCAGTTGAGCCCAGGAGGTTGAGGCTACAGTGAACCAAGGTTGCACCACTGCACTCCAGCCTGGAGAGGAGAGAGAGAGAGAGAGAGAGAGAGACAGAGACAGAGAGAGAGAGAGACAGAGAGAGAGAGAGAGAGAGAGAGAGAGAGAGAGACCCTGTCTCTAAATAAAGCAAAATAAAATAAAATGTAAAGTTTATGAAGAATTAATACCTTTCACCCCTTGCATTTACATTGGATATTGACTGACTTGCTGTTTTTTCTCAGTGTCAAATCAGAAAACCCTCTGCTGCAGTTTGAGGAAAAGTCTTCAAATGTTCAACTTTTGTGTTTTTCTGCACTGAACTTGCATAGATGAGTGGCTTTTAAAATGTAGTTCAGGACTTACAAAGTGGTCCACATGGATTCTGGGGAATGGTGCAAATCGGGGGCCCCTGCAGCATTAATGTTTCTGGTATGGATTAACAAACATTAAAGGCATTTAATGTAAACATTTAAGTTCATTAATTCATTCATTCAAAAACTGTTGTATTGAGTACTTACTAAATGCCAAGCACAATGCTAGGTGAGGGATTATAGCTGTGAACAAAACAGACATGGACTAGCTCTCATGGAGTTTACTTTCTAGTGTGGAGAAAGATACCAAACAGGCAAATAAATGAGAGATAATTTTAAATATATGACTTGCATTCTAAACAAAATAAAACAAATAAAACGGTGTGATGTGATAAGAGTAATAGAGTGGGGTGGGAGAGATTTGGTGCTTAAGGACAGCCTCTCTGAGAAGGTGACATGTGCTAAGACCTGAATGACAAGAAGAAAATTAGTCCCAAAAGATGGACTGAGATGAACTGTCGATCTCAGCTTTTCATGCCTGAAAAATTGTAATCAATTATCAAACTTATTTTTAATTCTTCCCTACATGTACCTGCTGCCCCAGCCAGGCGTATGTCAAGAGTGACAACCTTCACCTCACCCCTCCATGGAGGTGACACATTCTTCAAAAGCCAAATGTCTTGATGCCTTCTTAGTCATAAATATTACTGTTTCTTAAATAATAGTAAAGGGCAGGGGAGACAATTTTTTTGGCATTTCTTGGCATCTGGGGAAAACCATCCACCTATTCCATGCACCTTTAGCCTGGGGAAAAGGGAATAGAGTGTTATGTGAGGAAGACTTCAGCAAAGGTCTAAAACATGAAGGTGAGTTTTTGGACTCCAATGTTCAGCTGACTGGGGCACCAATCTGTGAACTGACAATAGTTATTTAGTGTTCTGTATTCATGCACTGAGATCTGATTAAACCCTTTGGAAGATTCCTTCTCTTATTTCCAGTGGAACATCTTGCAGCAGGAACCTGAGGCTCCATGTTGAAGCTAGGTTCCTGCATCTGCCACCTGGATCTTAAGCCACCTTGTCACTGAGTTTCAAGACCCTTCTAACAGTAAGTGCCTCCTATGACATGTGATATGGTTTGGCTGTGTCCCCACCCAAATCTCACCTTGAATTGTAATAATCCCCATATATCAAGGCAGGTGGAGATAATTGAATCATGGGGGTGGTTTCCCCCATACTGTTCTCGTGGTAATGAATAAGTCTCACGAGATCTGATGGTTTTATAAAGGGGAGTTCACCTGCACATGCTCTCTTGCCTGCTGCCATGTAAGATGTGACTTTGCTCCTTATTCACCTTCTGCCATGATTGTGAGGCCTCCCCAGCCATGTGGAACCATGAGTTAATTGAATCTCTTTCCTTTATAAATTACCCAGTCTTGGTATGTCTTTATTAGTAGCATAAAAAACAGATTAATACAACATGCTTATCCTGCCTCTAAGCCTGTAGACTCAGTTATTCTAGAATGCTCAAGCCTTTCCAATGGGCCTGTGCAAACGTTGCCTGTCATTTAAAGCTATCTCCTCCCTAAAGTCTTTCCCAGTGACTCTGACTTCTCACAGCCCCTGTTGTGGTCAGCATAATATTCTCCTTGGCTATGACTTCGTAGACCTGCATTCTTTTAAACTCTGCTCCCAGAGACTATGATGATCAGCCTGGTCCAGGAACTTACTTTCCATCTGAAGGAGATTCAAGGGGAAAGAGAAAGAGAGTGGCCAAACAGATAGAGACAGGACTGATTCTCTGCTTTCTACAGTTCTTGGTTGACTTCAGAGACAGGCCTTCCTAATTTGGATCAAACTGGTCTTTCTAGTTCAAGGCCACAGGTCATAGTATGGAAGCTTCTTAAACTTTAGGAGCAGAAGAATCACTTAGGAGGCTTACTACAAATGCAAATTTCCAGGGGTCAGCCCCAGAGGTTCTCCTTCAGTAAATCTGGTGAGTCCTGAGAATCTGCATTTATACAAGCACCCCCAGGTAATTGAGATATTGCTTATCTGTGAACATTTTGTAAAATACTTGCATAATGAAGTGCAAGGAACCATTGCCCACCTCTGCCTCTTCTGTGTAACAGGGTTCTCTATTGTAAGACAGGATCCTAAAATTCTAGTTCATCCAACAAACATTTATTTAATCCAATGTCATACTAGGCATACAGATTAGGCCATAAAAATATTTGGGACATACCTATACTAAAAAGGTATTAGTTGCTTATCTCAAATTCAAATTTAACCAGGCATTTTGTATTTTACTTGGCATTGCCAGGTGGCATGGGGCTGGGAGGAATTGCTGCAATTTGGGTCCTCTGGCAGGCAGACTGAGATGGAGTTCACTGCTCAGGATGTTTATTAGGAAGCACCCTTGAAATCAACACATGTGGAAGAGAGAAGGAAGCTAGATCAGGCTGAGAAAGAAGGCAAATTGAGATGCAGGCCCAACATCCTTGACCAGTCCAACAGGTGGCTGTGAGCCAAAAAGCATCAGAATTGCTCTGCAATGGACTGAAATAGCTGGGACTTTATACGCCGGCTTTCATCCATTACTGAGTACAAGCCATCCCAGGAAGAGTGTAACACTAGGCAAGGCAGCTCTTTGCAGCTGAGGCAGGAGCTGAAGGGGCAGCAGCACTCTTAGCAGCCAGGTAAGTCCTTCTTTGAGTGGGGATCCCTCTTCTTTGAAGGCAGGGAATCTCAGCCGGGTGCGATGGCTCATGCCTGTAGTCACAGCACTTTGAGGGACCGAGCTGGGTAGATCAGTTGAGGTCAGGAGTTTGAGACCAGCCTGGCCAACATTGTGAATCCATCTCTACTAAAAATACTATATATATATCTAAATTAGCTGGGTGTGGTGGTGGGCGCCTGTAATCCTAGCTACTCTGGAGGCTGAGGCAAGAGAATCACTTGAACCCAGGAGGCAGAGGCTGCAGTGAGCTGAGATTGTGCCACTGCACTCCAGCCTGGGTAACAGAACAAGAGTTTGTCTCAACACACATGCACACACACACACACACCCCACAAAAATGTAGTGAATCTCTGTGGCCCCTACAAGAGTCTGAGATCTAGCTACGAAGCCAGTCTGTGGGTTCCATCCATTAAAAATTAATGTGATCTTATTTTATGCTTGAGAGATCATAACACCTGGATATAGTGGTTACATTGATTCAGCCAGAAGCCTCTGGCCTACAATAGTATACCACCGCTGGCTTTTTTGAGCTACTTCACAGTGTGATATTTTTGTGGACACCAATTTTCAAACCTCCACAACCCAGAAAATAGAATTGTCCAAAGTGAATGAGTGATTCATGGTGGAAACTCTCAGGGTTTAAGGAACAGAGCTGATGGAAAGCTGTGACAACCAGCTAATCATGAGGTGATCAACGCCTTTCATTCCAACAGTAGATTGTGACCAGGATAGTTTACCTAACACTGTCTCGGGGTTGCTGTATTTCCCATTCTTCATCCACTTATTCAGCCAACTGGTGCTAATTGACCTTTGGGCACAGAAATAAGAGCTCTTATTCCTTACGTATAGAATTCCTGAAAGCTTCCTATTATTAATAGGACAGCTTGAGTGAAGATGGAAAGGTTGTTCTTGATACTTAATATGTTTAGGTATTTCACTTTTTCATATCTTCCAATGCCTCATTTGCCTTTCTTTGAAGCATCACAGCCTCTCTTTCCTCTACATCAATAATTTATATATTTAAAAAAACCGCACTGGTTTCCATAGCAACTTCAAAGGTGAACAGCTCATCTAGGCCAGGAGGATCTTCAGAAACTGTTTATGATAAAATCACCAGGTCTTCTAGAGAAAAAAAAAAAAAAGCCAGCGACTTAAAACATTTAAAAGCTAACACTGTGGGAGAATACCTCCCCCCAAAACATGCGCGCATGCACACGCACACGCACACACACATACACACACACACGAGAGAGAGAGAGAGAGAGAAAGAGAGTGGCCTGATGGTGTACTGTGGAATTTGGTGCATTCTGGCATCTTTTTACAGTGTGGGAATGGGGCACAATTCCCTTAGCGACGTAGGCACAACACTATGCTGGGGGATGTGGGACTGGAGAAAAGGAATGAACCCTAACAAAAATGAGAATAATATTTTCCTGCTATAAAGTTTCATGGGGACCTCTTGGGTGCCCAGGGCTGAGTTCCTCATCTTTGTCAAATGTTGGAAGAATGCTTAAGATTCGATTATCATATTTCTGATTTTGTAGAGGAAGAATACAGGCTTAGAGAAAAATGGTATTTTGGAGAGCAAAGGCCAGAAGAACAGAAAATAGAGAGAAGGCGGGTGGCCATGAAAATGTACCACTCAGGTCTCCTACTGTGAAGAGCAAAATTGCCTGACTGGCCCCAGGTGCTGCTTCCGGATTCAGCACCACAATGTGCTGAGCCACACTCCCCAGGGGGCTGATCCCTGGGACGGCTGAGCATAGCAGAGGCACTAAGGCAAGCCCACTCCAGCAAGAGGCGTGTGGCTCTGACTCGAGGACTGTGGTTTGAGACGCTTCCTCCCCAGTGCTCCTTCCTGTCCAATTTCTTTCCCTGGGAGTCAGCCTGCATTATAGTCTGAAACTCGTCCAGCCTTCTCCCTTCCTCAATAATTCTTCTTGTGTGTCTGATTCTTCAAAAACATCTGTTTCTAGTGAACCCAAACTAGGGCACATATCATTTGAAATGGACAAAACACAGAGAAGAGTTAAGATGCATTTTGAATATGCTGGCCAAAGTCATCTTGGTCTTTAAAGGAGTGAAGAATGAAGTGAGCCTCGTGGTTCATTAAGAATTCAGCCAAATGGATGCTCAGCACCTTGGGCAGACAACTGTGTGCAGTCCATGTGCTCATGATCAAACTTGAACAACTGCTCCTTAAATTCAATGGGTGTTGACACATAATGTTAGTGACCAAACTTTAGGGAGCAGAAGGAAAACAAAATGCCAAACTTCTTTTTTTTTTTTTTTTTTTTAGATGGAGTCTCGCTCTGTCACCCAGGCTGGAGTGCAGTGGCATGATCTCGGCTCACTGCAACCTCCACCTCCCGGGTTCAAGCCATTCTCCTGCCTCAGGCTCCCGACTACAGGTGTGTGCCACCATGCCTGGCTTAATTTTTTGTATTTTTAGTAGAGACGGGGTTTCACCATGTTGGTCAGGCTGGTCTCGATCTCCTGACCTCATGACCCGCCCTCCTTAGCCTCCCAAAGTGCTGGGATTACAGGTGTGAGCCACTGCGCCTGGCCACAAAATGCCAAACTTCTTAAAAGAATAGCTTGAGTGTGTGATTCGCTTCATTGGTCTCTGTGTAACATTATAGTTTGTATAATATATAATTATATTAGAAAGCTGGATTTTCTTCCACAAATATCCCGGTATGTCTTCATTTTCCCCCTCTTTCATCCCTATGATCACGAATCACCTGAAGCCCTCATTGTTTATTACCAGACTTACTTCAACAGTCTCCTGTTGGTCTTCCTGCCTCCTTCCTCCAAGCTCCTGGGACTGGACAGTTGATTTTTCTAAACCACAGATTTGACTACATCAACCCTATGCTTAAAACCCTCCAGAGGCTCCTGCTCATTTCTTTCAAAATAAAACTGAACTCTTTAATTTGGCTTATGAGACCTTCAACGAGGCAGGTGACACCCTCTGGGTTCCACTCTCTTTACTCCTCAGCCAGACACAGGAGTTTCTTGGACTCTTAAGAGCCCTTCTTTAGAGTAGCTTGGCATATCCTGATGAAGTCCAGAGAGAGAAAGGCATGTCTCAGAGAGAACTGTGGGTGTTACTTTTGGCACATTGGGTATATATATATATATATATATATATATATATATATATATATATATATGTATGTATACCTGACCATATTTTTGAGTGACTGATACCAATTTACCACATACACCATGGGATATTTCCATTAATAAATTCAGGTGTTTTTTTTTCTTCCTGGAAAATTTTCTTAGATTATACTTTTTTAACATCAACTTTTTTTTTTTTTTTTTTTTTTTTTTTGAGACAGGGTCTCACTCTGTGGCCCAGGCTTGTGCAGTGGCGTGATCTCAGCTCACTGCAACCCCCGCCTCCTGGATTCAAGTGATTCTTCTGCTTCAGCCTCCAGAGTAGCTGGGATTACAGGCACATGCCACCACACCCAGCTAATTTTTCTACTTTTCGTAGATGTGGGGTTTCTCCATGTTGGCCATGTTGATCTCGAACTCCTGACCTCAGGTGATCCACCTACCTGGGCCTCCCAAAGGCCTGAGATTACAGGTGTGAGCCACTGCACCCGGCCAACATCAACTTTTTGAAGTTTAACTCACATATATAAATATGTACCAATTTTAAATATACAGTTTAATAATAATAATTATTATTATTTTTTGAGACACAGTCTCGCTCCATCGCCTAGGCTGGAGTGCAGTGGCATGAACTCGACTCACTGCAACCTCTGCCTCCTGGGTTCAAGCAGTTCCACCACCTCAGCCTCCCAAGTAGCTGGGATTACAGGGGCGTGTCACCACGCCCAGCTAATTTTTGTATTTTAGTAGAGATGGGGTTTCACCATGTTGGCCAGGCTGGTCTTGAATTCCTGACCTCAAGTGACCCACCTGCCTCAGCCTCCCAAAGTGCTGGGATTACAGGTGTGAGCCACTGTGCCCAGCCCAGTTTAATAAATTTTAAAAATGTATATGTTCATGTTACCTTTACCACCAAGATAATACATTTCATTATCTAAAAAAACTCCCTCCTGGCCCTTTGTCTTCATCCCCCCTACCCAAACAATCACTAACTGAGCAGCTTTCTGCTGCTGTAAATAAGATTTACCTTTTGTCAAATTTCATACAGTAGGTACTCTTTTGTGTCTGGCATCTCTGACTCGGAATAATATTTTGAGGTTTATCCTTGCTGCTGCATTGCTGGGTCAATTGTTCATTACTTTTATTACTGAGTGTATGCCACAATGTGTATCCTTTTACTTTTGATAGGCCTTAGGTTATTCTAGTTTTTTTTTTGCTGTTATAAATAAAACTGCTATTAACATTTGTATACAAGCCTTCTTGTAGACACGTTTTTATGTTTATCAGGTAAAAGGTAGGAATGTAATTGCTGTATTGTATGGTAACTGTGGGTTCAACCTTATAAGAAGCAGACAAATTATTTTCCAAAGGGGTTGTAACATTTTGCCTTCTCGACAGCAACATATGAGAGTTTCAGTTGCTTCATATCCTGGCCAACCCTTGGTATCATCAGTTTTGATCATTTTGGCCATTCTAGTGAGTGTGTATTGGCATCTCATTGTGGTTTTACTTTACAGCTCCTTGATGACCAACAAGGGTGAGCATCTTTTCATGTGCATATTGGACATTCATTATCATCTTTTGTAAAGTATTTCAACATAGCCAATGTTAAAAATTGGGTAGTTTGTCTTATTACTGAGTAATAACAGTTCTTTATATATTATGCATACAAGTTTTTGGTCGTATGTATGTGTTATGAATATTTTCTCTCATCATGTGGCCTATTTCATTAATAATGGTATATTTGAAAGAGAGAAGTCTACAATTTTGATGAAGTTCAATTTATCATTTTCTATTTTTGTTTTTCATGCCCAATCTAAGAAATCTATTTTTTATTTATTTATTTTTTGAGACAGGGTCTCACTCTGTCACCCAGGCTGGAATGCAGTAACACGATCATGGCTCACTGCAGTCTTGACCTCCCAACTCAGGCAGTCCTCCCACCTCAGCCCCCTGAGTGGCTGAGACTCTAGGCATGCACCACCACACCCGGCTAATTTTTGTATTTTTTGTAGAGATGGAGTTTCACTATGTTGCACAGGGCTGGTCTCGAACTCCTGGGCTCAAGCAATCCACCTGCCTTGGCCTCCCAAAGTGCTGGGATTACAGGTGTGAGCCAATGCGCTCAGCCAAGAAATCTTTGCTTATCCCAGATCAGAAATATTTTCTGCTATGTTTTCTTCTATAAGTTTTATATATTTAAATATTATGTTTAGGTTTATGTTTCATTTTAAATAATAAATTTTTGTGTATGATATAAAGTAAGAGTTGAGGTTCATTCTTTTCATGTGGATGTTCAGTTATTCCAGCATTATTTGTTGAAAAGACTACTCTTTCTTCATTGAATTGCCTTGGTACCTTTAGAAAAAAGTAATTGACCATATGAGTGTGGGTCTATTTCAGGTCTTTCTACTCTGTTCCATTACTCTATATGTAAATCCTTATGCAAATAACACTCTTTCTTGATTACTGTTCATTTAGTAAGTCTTGAAATCAAGCAGTACAAATCCTCCAACTTTGTTTTTTTCCTCAAAACTGTTTTGACTCTTCTAGATACTTTGCATTTCCATATAAATTTTAGAAACAGCTTATTAGTTTCTACAGTAAAGTTTCTTGGGATTTTGATGAGTCAAACCTGTTGATCAATTTGGGAAGAACTGACATCTTAACAATATTGAGTCTTCCAGTACATGAACATAGTCTATTTCTCCATTTTAGATTATAGGCTTAAATGTGAGTTTTATTCCATTGTTTTATATGTCTTCTTCAGGGGTTCAAGTGATCTGTATCTTTAATTTTCTTTGTTTATCTTCCATTTCAACCACTTTCTCTCTGAATCTTTTTGCTTCTGTTTTTAGTTCATTTTTATTTTCTTGTTCATTTTCCTGCCTCTGTTCAATCTTCTTAACTTTTCAGTTTAGTCTACTCTCCACTGGGTGTTTGTAATTTGGCCTTTATTCCTAAGATGATTTTGTCTTTTTCTTTCCTGAGTTGAATCAATCAATCAATTTATAAAATATGTACTTATCTGTTGTTTTGTTCATTTCTGTTCTTGGTTTTCAAATATCTGATTCAAGGTGGTTTTTTTATATTTCCAAATGTTTGAGGATATCAATTCCATTTAAAATTTTGTGTTTTGTTGTTGCTTTGTGGTTCTTTTTTGGGAAGGACTTCATCAGCTAAAGGCTTTGACTCTGATTTTTTTTTTTTTTTTTTTTTTTTTGAGATGGAGTCTCGCTCTGTCACCCAGGCTGGAGTGCAGTGGTGCCATCTCAGCTCACTGCAACCTCACATCTCTTGTTCAAGTGATTCTTGGGCCTCAGCCTCCTAGGTAGCTGGGATTACAGGCGTGTGCCACCATGCCCAGCTAATTTTTATATTTTTAGCAGAGACGGGGCTTCACCATGTTGGCCAGGGTGGTCTTGAACTCCTGACCTCAAATAATCTGCCCGCCTTGGCCTCCCAAAGTACTGGGATTACAGGCATGAGCCACTGCGCCTGGCCCTGATTCTAATTTTTATTCCCCCTTAAAGTAGCTTTACATGGATTTAGGATGCTTCATTTCATTGCAGTGTATTTCATGAAGTTATTTACCATTTCTAGTTCAAGATCACCCTCTTCTGTCAGTGTAGTGAAATGCAGTTCCTTTAAGGGATGGCTATCTTGTTTTTTAAAGTTGTGGGGTGAATAATTTTCTGTTGTTTTTTTATTACTTACCTATTCCAGTTTTATAATGTCCTATTGTGGTTTTATTGATGTTATCTTCTTTTATTTCCCTGAAAATTTTAAACAGTTTCATTTCAAAGTTCTTTTTAGATTCTTCTGTCACTTTAGAATGTAGATCTTTGATTTGTGATGACCTTTCAGTGTGCTCTGTGTCTTTTAACTTTTGCCGGAAAGTTCATATTGCGTGAGAATTTTCTCCCACACTTCCCTTGCCTGTGAGGCAGTTTCTTGGCTCCCTTAGTCTTGATCTCATAGGTTGACTAGACTAAACCTATGCCATATGTTTGCAGCTCAACTCACAGCTGCTCATTTCTGGGGTGAAAATTCTCCACAATGCACATGGTACAGACTGGTGTAAAGACTCACTCAGAATCCCTGAGTTGAAACCACCTTTGCAAAGATTATGACAGTAAGAGAAATCTGATATGGCTGACTCCATCTTGCTTCTAGCCTCACCGGTTGGCTGTCTTCACTCATTCCTGGGCATAGGACAAGCTAACATATTCTTACTTTTAACCAAATTAAAATTTATAGTTTAACTTGGAAGCAAGGATGATAATAGTTTCTCCCTGAAACGAATCCTCTCCTTGTTGGGGCCAGGGGGCGGGCTGAAACTACTTTCATAAGACTAATGAAAGGCCATAAGATTAGGATTATGGGAGGGCCCTGAATTCTGCTAAAATGTCGGTATAGTTTTTATGATCCCTTACTTCTCAGGAATCGTGTGGCCAGAGGTCACAAGATTTATGACTTCCCTAATTGCTCATATAGATAATATCACTATTGTAGAACTTAAGATTGGTCTTTTGAGATGTTTTTCAGACTGATGCCACCCAGACTCATGACTCATAACTCAACTATTTCTGTGCCCTCCTCTCCCACCAAGAGGTGGACTCAGTGCACAGATGGTGACCATTTTCCACACCCCTATGATTGCATTGCCAACCAATCAGCAGCACCCATTCTCTATCCCCTGCCCACCAAACTATCCTTGAAAAACCCTAACCCGTGAGCCTTTGGGGAGACTGATTTGAGTACTAACTCTATTTCCCCTGTGGCCAGCCTCACATCAATTAAACTACTGCAATACCATGGTCTCGGTGAATTGGTTTTGTCTGTGCAGAGGATGGGACGAACTCATCAGGCGATTACAGAGTTGTTGTAAAGATTATTTTAAGCTGAAGACATTTGAGACTCAACAGATGCAGAAAAAGACTTTCTTGGAGCTTTCCTAATCTGATGAAACACAGCAACTTTGGGAAATGAGACTACCATAAATCCCTTCTCCTAGGGAGAGTCCTAGCTGTGAAGAAGAGAGAAAGGCCACTAGCACCTATGTAAATAAAATGTCACAAACTTTCTTATCTCCCATTTATTCTCATAAAAATCCAATTGTCTTTCCTAAGGAAACCTATTTGTTCTTCTCATAGGAGCCTTTTCTCCTTTTTCCTTCCCCTACTATGTTAGGTACATAAGCCCTGAATTCTAACAGTGAGCACAATCACTGAGTGCATCACTGAGCACTCCTGTGTGTATGCACATTGCATGCTTAAATCAACTCTTCTTTTCTCTTGTCAATCTATCTTTTGATGGTTTAGATTCGTAGGCCCCCAGGCACTGACTCTGTGAAGGTAAAGTGTTTCCTCTCCAGCACCAGGAATAGCACTGATATGGTTTGGCTCCATGTCTCACCCAAATCTTATGTCAAATTGCAATCCTCACATGTCAGGGGAGGAGACTGGTGGGAGGTGATTGGATCACGGAGGTGGATTTCCCCCTTGCTGTTCTTGTGATAACGAATGAGTTCTCATGAGATCCGATGGTTTAAAAGTGTGTGGCACTTTCCCCCTCATTCTGTCTCTCCTTCTACTCTGCCTTGCTAAGATATGCTTCTCCTTCACCTTCTGCCATGATTGTAAGTTTCCTGAGGCCCCCTGGCCATGTGAAACTGTAGAGCCTGTTGAACCGTGAGTCAATTAAACTCCTTTTCTTCATAAATAACCAAGTCTCAAATAGTTCTTTCTAGCAGTGTGAGAATGGACTAATATAGGACTCTGCTTTGGACACTGACCCTGAGCAAGTGGTGTATTTCTGCCACTGTTCTAGATGTACGGATGAAGTTCTGTCATCCACTGTTCTTGGGTAGCTCCCCACTACCAAGGGCTACATTCAGTCCTTCCTCTGGACTCCAGTCTTGTTTGCCTAGTTCCAGTCTCACTGTTTGTCCCTGTGGTTTTATACTTTGCTTATTGTTTAAGTTTTACTCCTTTTTTGAGCCAGTGACATTTTCCTCTTGCATTTTTAGAGAAGCATAGAAATATGTATTTAATATCTAACCTGTCATTCCTATGGACTTGGAGCACAGGAAAGAGGATTATGAATGCATTTGCTCTGATATCTTTATTAAGAAGTTTTCAGGCCTTTTAAAAGTGAGGATGCCAGTATTTATCTGAACTCAAAACAATGGTTCTTGATCCAGTAATTCTGTTTCTGGAACTCTTCCTAGAGGAAGTAATCCAAAAAATGGGGGAAAAAAGCTTCATACACAAAGATGTTCATGGCTGTATTACTTTCTATGGTAAAGATCTGAATATATTATAAATATTTCCCAACAATAAATAAATATTAATATTTCCATTTAATATAATATTATGCAGCTACTAAAATAATACTTTACAAAGAATATATGATATAAAAATGCTTATTATAATACAAGGGAGAAAATTTGTAGCCATTTTTTGTTGTTTTATACAAGCATGCATTAAAAAATAGCATAGAAAGACTAATAAAAAGAAACCACATCAGTGCTAAAAACGGTTGTCTCTTAGTTTTTCTTTATTTTCAAAATTGTGTGTTATGTATATGAATCGCTTTTATAATAGGAAGATACCTAAATAAATATATTAACAAAAAGCTGAATGATAGAAGGACATTTTAAGACAGGCATCTTTCATGATTATAGAGAATGGATTGGCATACTACAAAACGATTGCTTCTAAAACACACAAACAGCAGAGGAAGCTTTTGTGTTAGAAGATTATTGGTTGTGATTAGATGGGTTTTCAGCATCAGGGCACAAGAAGCACCAGTTTGGTGACATCGAGCAAGGAGGCAGGGCTACAAGGGACTGGCAGATGGCAAGAACCTACACTCTGCAGGCAAATGGCCAGGCGCCAGGATCAGATGAGGGAAAGGGCAAGCTAGGAGACTGCGCCAGGGGAGCCAGTGGTAGGGGCCGGACAGGAGCCAACACTTATTGAGGGGTTGCTGAGTTTGTGCCAGGCACTGTTTTGGATCCTGAAATACAGGTGGAGAAGACTGACACAGTTCTTGCCTTCATGAAACTTACAGTCCATGGCAGGGGTTTCAAGCTGTTTTTTTTTTTTTGGAAAGGGCTAGACAGTAAGCATCTTAGGTTTTGTGAAGCTATACAATCTGTGTTACAATTACTCAGTTCTGCCACTGTAGCTTAGTAAAAGCAGCCACAGACAACAGTAAATGGATGGGTGTGGCTAGGTACCAATGAAACTTTGTTTATAAAAATAAGTGGTGGCTAGACTTGGATGGTGGCATAGTTTGCCACCTCCTGATCTAAGTGGAAGACAGACAGTAAACAAGTAAACAAGTTAATATGATAATTATGGTTTGTGATCATTGTCAGGAAGGAAATCAAAAGGGTGATCTAGTAGTGAATTAGTAATACATTACATTTTACCTTTTACCGAGATGTGACATCCATACAATAAGGTGCACAAATTCCAGGATATAGAATATTCTTAACACCTTAGAACTGGGTCCTGAAGCATTAGAATGACCTCTCCATCCAAAGAACTGGGCATGGGGAAGCATTCCAGGCAGAAGGGAAAACAAGTACAAGAGTCTGAGGCAGAAAAAGGTTTCGCATCTTCCATGAACAGAAAGGGTTTTCATGGGGCTAGATAGCAGTGAGCAGGGAATAGGGTGGGATGCTGTGGGTAGAGGAAAACCCCACAGACTTTAGAGGCCATTGTGGACATTCTGTATCTTATTCTAAATGTTATAGGAGAGCAATGGAGGGTTTTAAGCAGAATGGCATGATCTGATTGAAGTTTCAAGATGATAAGTGAACTGCTGTCTTCTTTCTGGACTTTTCTGTAGTAGTGTTCAGTTAGGACGGGGAACTGGGGCTAGGGGCTGGGGGCTGGGAGCATCCAGCCTCAGCTGGAGCTGAGATGGGCTGTGTGAGGAAAATCCATTAAAGAACACCATTACCATACACCACATACTGAACCATAAACATCGATTTATTTTGTAAAACACCTCTTTGAAATATTACTGTAACTAGATTTATTGGCACCTGTTTCCGAGCACTTAATTAGGAGATACTTTAAGAACTGTGCATCAAAGACAAGAACCTGAAGAAAATGCAAGCAGGGGGTTAAGAGGTGAGGTGAGCTGGCAGGTACAGATCTAGCAGCAGCAAGTCATGCTGCCGAGGTGGAGGCTCACGGGAGGCAGGAGGAGGGGGTCAGAATATATCTTTAGTGTCCAGGAAGAGACCCCGGTGGTTTTTGGAACCAGAGAGTTGAGGTTTGCTTTCATTGGTGTGGCTTGGTTCTGATTTAATGTTTTGAAGACATATTGTAGGGAATAGTTACAAAGTGTCCCTAGGATGGTGAAAAGAGGCGGGTGGTGAGGGGGCAAGAAGGAATGGAGTTTTGTAAATGGAGAATTAGAGGAAATGATAATTTGGGGCCAAGAGCCTTCCTCCTTCTCTCCCTACCTGCCTCTCTTCTTTTCTCCTTCCTTCCCTTTCATTTATTTACTTACTTATTTATTTATTTACTATCTACCTTGGTTGAATGTCATCTCCTTTCTTTTTTAAAAATGCAGAGGCGAGAGACCAAGAGGAAGAAATTGAATCAGTATGTACTGCCTTACTAAGGTTGTCATGAAGCAAGCGCAAACTAAAATATTGTTCATGTTTGTCTGACATTCAAATTTAACAGAGCACCCTGTATTTTTATGTGCTAAATCTGGCCATCCGTCTATGCCTGTGGCTTGGATTTTGCCATTTCAGCGTCAGCGAGTGAAACCTCCTCCTAATTACTCCCTGCTAATTGGAACCAGCTGCCACCAGGAGGCAGCCGGGCGCTGCTTCCACCCAAGATGAGGACAGTGTCTGAGATTCTAGGGAGCTCTGAGTCTACCTTCCTCTCGAACTCTCCTGACACCCATTTCCACTTCTAGCCACAACTTTCCACTGCTCTCTCCTAATCTTGCTTTAGTAAAAATAGCTAAACTTTAAAAAAAATTATACTCCATTTAAAGGTAAAAAGAACCCATAACATCACATGCATCTTGCCTCCCTAAATAATTGCAGTTAGAAATTAATTCATCTTCCTTTAAAAACCTGAATTTAGCCTCAACTAGTCACAGCTTCTGTCACTCGCCCCTTTGACCTGGGGGTCCCCTTCGCTCCCAGCTTTTCCCGTGTCCCTGTCCTTGCTCCCTCTCTCCACTGTGCCCTTCCTTCTTCAGCCGTCACTATGGTTACAGGGGGACCTGTTTCTGTGGTGCCCTCTTCCATAGCCTGCTTCCGAGGTAATTTCCCCAGTGAATTCCACCTCCTCTCAGTTATCTCTGCCCTTATCCTACTTCAGTGAGGTGGGTGGGGGGGGGAATCAGAGAGAGAAAGAAAGCGCATGCATCCAGCAGCTCAGATATCAAAATTCTTTCTGTTACCAGGAGACTTTCTCCAATCAATGTTGCCTCTTTTTTTGTTTTCCTTCTTTATGAGGAAAAGCTGTTCCCGACTCTGCCTCTTACTCTGGCATAAACCTAAATCCACTTATAAAAGTTAACTAAACACCTCTTGGCCTTGTGACTGTAACACTGAGCAACAGTTTGCTTCTTTGCATACCTCCAATTCTGGAGTCAAAAGGGTCCCTTTAGGACAGAAAAATGAACTGAAGAAAGAACACCAGCTCTGTCACATGGGGGAGACAGCGACACAGAAAATGTTAACCAAGCAGTCCAGGCCACAGAGAGATGTGTCCAAAGCCCAGGGCCCCGTAATGAGAGGCTACAGGCAAAGACTTTCCCAGAGAGGTGGAGAGGAAGCGTCTCCAACAGTGTCCAAGCAGCAAAGGTGATTCCAGAAAGCTTATGGTGAAATAACATGGAAGCAAAGATCACAAACAGCAGTGTTTTGATAAATATTTGGATGTTGGTTTGTTTGGTTTCTGCTAATTTGAGATTCTGTGAGTTAGATAATTTTCTTTGCTTCTCATGAGATATAGGATAACCTACTCAAATTATGCAAATGCTCATTCAAAGGAGGAAGCAGAATTATGTTAGTCTCTTCTATAATTCTATTGAAATGATGATTCATAGGGTCCATTCTCAAAGAAGACTTGCATCAAATTAACGCAGTCCAGCAACATTTTTTTTTAAATGTCATAAAAGGGCTGTAACTCACAGGAACTCTTCTTAAAATCCCCATGTCCTCACCCTTCCACTCCCTATTCACAGCTCCTTCTGGTCTCTTTCAGAATACAAATTCTGACACCCTCCTACGGCCTAACCTGTGAGTTACTTTGTGTTATTCTCCTCTTCTCCCAATTCTGCTTCATGGGAGTCCCCAAAAGAGGGCTATGCTGGGAACGCTGTGGGAGAAGAAGAAATTGACTAGAAAAAGCCGGAACCTTCTTTAAGTTGTAGGGCAACTGGAAAGCTGGGAACACATTGACAGCAGCACTTTTGCCTGGTTAAACTTATATTTTTGTTCTCAAAATGTAAGTTTCCTGTAAGTCCAGACCTGTTGGGATAGTCATCTCACCTAGTGGCGACCTTGAGTGGTATTTGGTACTTGCTAAGCTGCTGCACATGAAGCTGTGCTGTGTTCAAGGGCAGTAAAATTCAACTACACTCAGTCTGCCTGCCCTTAACCAAGGAGGAAAGCAAGGTAGTCTGTGTGGGTATGAAGCCAGCTCTCTCATTGCGTGTACAATGCCTGCCATGCTCACCATCACCTGAGCCAGATCATTGGCCTTCCTGCTAGGAGGATCGAGGGCAGAGGTCTATGGGAAGATGAAAGCAAAGTGTTTGTTACCACACCCCCTTTGTTATGGAGGTGATGGGCATTGTTGATATAGGTGATGCATGGGCAAATCTACTGACATGCTAAAAGGATGGGTAGTTGTTCATGCTGAATTGAATTAATTGTTTATATCTTGGCTGAGTCATTAGGAATCTATGTTACAGTCTCTGACTTTGCATGATCCAAAGCTGAATTCCGTGACTGTTATTCTGATTTTCCTCTTGGAATGACCAGGCTTTGGGGGACTAATCCAATCTTCCAAGGTGGGCCAGTGGATCGATTTCAGGGAAGAACAGAAGCTTCACGAGGGAGACATAGATATGAGTACTCTCTTCTTGCTAAGGAACGTCTATTTAGAATACCAAAGCAAGATGCTATTTAAATACTTTCTTCAGTTTCATTCTTTTTCTCTGTCCTTTACTGCCTTCCTTATCATCTGACTGAGGCAGGACCTTGGCAAACCTTATTCAGCAAAACAAATTATCAGAACCTTGGGAACCCCTGGACTCTGTTCTTGGAATCTCCATAACAGTCTTGCTGGCCACTGTCTAGGAAGAAAATTTCTTTCCCCAAAACTCATTGCTCACATTAGTTATACCTTTTCTGGGATCCACCCTTTTGTGGTCCCAGTGTCCTGGAGCACGGATGTTCATAGTGGCTGTCACATGGGCACTGTGCCCATGTGCATGGCAGGGGGGTTCTGCTGCCCTCTGTTGGCCACAGCAGACTTGGTCTGGTTGTTAACTACTGGGTCATGTCCGCCTCTGGCAAAAGGCTGCAGTTCTTGCCCTCTAACTCTCCTTCCTCAGCATTCCTTAACAGGTACCAAATCCTCCTATTATTAAGCATTGGATGAAGCCACATTGCAGCTCCCACGAAGAGTTTATCTAACATTCCCAAGTGAATGATTCTAGCAGTCTATCTAGCATAGGGATCATGAGTTGTTTCTGGGAACGGCCCTGAAATATGGTCAGAAAATGTCTGAGCTCATCAACTCTGTCCTGACTTATTTGATTTGCTATCAGAGAGTGATATCCCTGGATCTTGCCCCTACATAGTGTGGTAGTTTCTATTTGGAAGCCTCAAAACACAAAGCCCCTTCTATAGCATAATAATAATAATTATTATGATTAATCTGCTACTGCATCCTTTAAGTGGTGAGAATTACAGAAATCTCAAACATCAGCATCAGTTTGATCCTTTAAACTAGAAATAAAGGGGAGAAGATTTGGAAATATGCTGATGGGGGCAAAATCAGTTATTTGGAAGAAAAAGGAGACTGGGTTTAGATACCCTGATGTGCCAGGTTATTGGGAATCAGTAATATATGCCAACTTTTATTTTACCATGAATATCTCCTCAAAGTCTTGGACAGGCTTCTCTCTGGCCCTTCTGAGTACACTAATGCAGGTTGGTAGTGTGGTTTCTGGAATGTACTTCTAGGAGGATCCATTTACTAGGCAGCCTTTTTTCTTTGCTGTGGAGGAGGCTTTTAGCAGATGGGTGTGTTATATAATGGTCTGCACTTTGCCCCCACATGAGTGTAAATATTATAAACATGAACATCTGGCTGATATTACTGATGTCTACAGGGCATATTGGCCTCAGTTTAGGAGGGTGAAACAGTGAAACCCTCATCAAACAGTGATAAATCCAAGAGATGGCTGAGGTGGGATGAGGAGGGAAATTAGTCCCTTTTTTTTTTTTTGAGACGGAGCCTTGCTCTGTCGCCCAGGCTGGAGTCCAGTGGTGCGATCTCGGCTCACTGCAAGCTCCGCCTCCCAGGTTCATGCCATTCTCCTGCCTCAGCTTCCTGAGTAGCTGGGACTACAGGCGCCCACCACCACGCCTGGCTCATTTTTTTGTATTTTTAGTAGAGACAGGGTTTCACCGTGTCAGCCAGGGATGGTCTCGAGCTCCTGACCTCGTGATCCGCCCGCCTCAGCCTCCCAAAGTGCTGGGATTACAGTTTTGAGCCACGCGCCTGGCCCCCTTTTTTTGTTTTTGTTTTGTTTTGTTTTTGACATAGAGTTTCACTCTTGTCACCCAGGCTGGAATGCAATGGTGCAATCTCAGCTCACTGCAGCCTCTGCCTCCTGAGTTGAAGCGATTCTCCTGCCTCAGTCTCCCAAGTAGCTGGGATTACAGGTGCCCACCACCACGCCCAGCTAATTTTTGTATTGTTAGTAGAGACAGGGTTTCACCATGTTGGCCAGGCTGGTCTCGAACTCCTGACCTCAGGTGATCCGCCTGCCTCAGCCTCCCAAAGTGCTGGGACAGGCGTGAGCCACCATGCCCAGCCAACTTAGTCCCTTTTAATCTTCATTGTGGGGAAACTTTCCTTTAAGAAAGTTATGCAAGTATTATATGAAAATAATTTTTAAAAATCAAATAAAGGAATTTCAATAAAAAGTTGATTTCTTTCTTTTTAAGGCTGAATAACATTCTGTTGTATGCATATACCACGTTTCTTTTAATCATTCTGTCAATGGACATTTGGGTTGTTTCCACACATTGGCTATTGTGAATAGTGCTGCAGTGAACACTGGAGTGCTAATATCTCTTCAAGATCCTGATTTCAAATTTTCTGGACAGTCCCAGAAGTGAGATTGCTGGTTCATATGATAGTTCTATCTGTACTTTTTTGAGGAACCTCCATATGGTTATCCAGAGCAGCTGCACCATTTTGCATTTCACAGTGTACAAGGGTTCCAATTTCTCCACATCTTCACCAAAACTTTTTGTCTTTTGTTTTTTTTGATAATATTCATTCTAGTAAGCGTGAGATGATAGCTCTTGCTGGTTTTGATTTGCCTGTGCCTGATAGTGATGTTGAGCATCTTTTCATATATCTACTGGCCATTTGTATGTCTTCTTTGGAGAAATGTTATTCAAGTCTTTAGCCCATTTTAAAATCAGGTTATTAGTTTTATTGCTATTAAATTGTAGGAATTCATATTTTTGATATTAACCTCTTATCTGATATATGGTTTGCATATTTTTTCCTATTCTGTAGGTTGCCTTTTTACTCTGTTAATTGTTTCCTTTGCTGTGCAAAAGCTCTTTCAGTTTGATGTAGTCCCACTTGCCTGTTTTTGCTTTTGTTGCTTGTGCTTTTGGTATCATATCCATGAAACCATGGCCCAGACGAACATCATTAAGGTTTCCCCTGTGTTTTCTCCTAGGAGTTTTACAGTTGCAAGGTGTGGTTTACTTTTGATATGTTCCCTCTGCCAATCCTTAGGCGGCAGTTTTTTCACTCTGTTAAATCATTTAAATCGTAAAGATGTATTTATTCCCCTATAATTAGCATTTTAATCCAAATACTTAAAAGAGGGGGCAAATTGGGAAGGGAAGAATGAACACCATAGCCGAGTGACTGCAGATATAAAAAATCCCTTTGTTAGTTTGGTTGTTTTTAATTAATAATTGAACTTAAGGCTGGGTGCAGTGGCTCATGCCTGTAATCCCAGCACTTTGGGAGACCAAGTCAGGCGGATCACGAGGTCAGAAGATCAAGACCATCCTGGCTAACACGGTGAAAACCCGTCTCTACTAAAAATACAAAAAAATTAGCCGGGCGTGGTCGTGGGCGCCTGTAGTCCCAGCTACTCAGGAGGCTGAGGCAGGAGAATGGCATGAACCCGGGAGGCGGAGCTTGCAGTGAGCTGAGATCGTGCAACTGCACTCCAGCCTGGGCGACAGAGCGAGACTCCATCTCAAAAAAATAAATAAATAAAATAAATAGTAATAATAATAACAACTTAAATAAAGAGGACCCAGAGGCAGCTGTTTCTAATATTGAATCATCACTGCACATGAAAAACGCATTTATTTCTATGCTATGCCCTTTTTTCAATGTAGATAATTGATAATTTCTTTTTTCTTTTTCTTTTTTTTTTTTTTTTTGAGACCGGGTCTTGCTGTGTCACCCAGGCTGGAGTGCAGTGGCATGAACACAGCTCACTGTAGACTTGACCTCGTAGGCTCATGTGATCCTCTGGCCTCAGCCTCCCAAGTAGCTGGGTCCACAGGTGCTCACCACCACACTTAGCTAATTTTTAAAATTTTTGTAGAGATGAGATCTCACCATTTTGCCCAGGATGGTCTCAAATTCCTGGACTCAAGTGATCCTCCTGCCTTGACCTTCAAAAGTGCTGGAATTTAGGCGTGAGCCACCATGCCCAGTCCGTAATTTCTTAATCTTGCAAATGTACCATGCAAATGCAACTTTGAGCTCTACCTTCTAACTTGTCCATTACAACTCCTGAGCCCCTCATATACAAACTTCCTAAATATCTATCAGACTTCACCCTTATGACAGAGTACTCTTGGGGCTACAGTTTAAAGCAGAACTAGGCAAAGGCCTCTTCTGGTTATATATCAAAGGATAAGGCCATATTTCCTTGTCATTAATATTTTCTTTCATTTATTCATATATTCATGCATGTATGCAACATATGTGTTGAGTTCCTACATATACCAGTCACTTTGCTAAAAGACAGAGATACAGGCGTGAAGAAAACACAGCCCCTACCTATAACCTTCATATTATATTATATCAGTGTGGTTTTCATTAGGGCTGTTGGCAAATCTTTGTTTATTTCTATCTCCTTTCAGACATATAGTGGGATTATATTTCACTGTCCCATTGGTTTAGGCATGGCTATATGACAGGCATTAGCTAGCAAAACATGAACAGAAATGATGTGTCAAATTCCAGGGAGACGCTTTGAGAGCCAATCATGCCTTTTTGTCATGCCTGTTTTTCCTTCTGCTAAAGCGACTTACCAATGTTCCATATACTGACTAGTCTACCAATGCATACATGAATGTGTGATTATTATTGTGACTTGCACATAGTTCTTAGTTTCATGAATAAGAAGTAAATATTTATTATTTTAAGGCACTAAGATTTGAGAGTTACAAATAAACCTAGAAAAGGGTTACCAAATAACCCTGCCTACCCTGATTGATATAATCCATGTGAGTATAGCAGTCAATTACTATACTTAGGCGTGGTGACTCATGCTTGTAATCCTAGTACTTTGGGAGGCTGAGGCAGGAGGATTAGGAGGACCAATTGAGCCTAGGAGTTTGAGACCAGCCCCGGCAACGTAGCAAGACCCCGTCTCTACAAAAAATAAAAAAATTAGCCAGGCATGGTGGTGTGCATCTATAGTTTCAGCTGCTTGGGAGGCTGAGGAAGGAGGATCACTTGAGCTCAGAAGGAGGAGGTTGCAGTGAGCTATAATCATGCCACTGCACTCCAGCCTGGGTGACCGAGTGAGACTCTGTCAAACAAACAAACAAACAAACAACCCCAAAAAACCACTAAGGCTCTAATTTGAGAGAGACAAAGGTTTAAATCCTAGCTCTTCTATCTACTAAATCTACTAGCTACATGACTTTGGGTAGGCTTCTGAACCTCTCTGAACTTCAGTTCTTTCTCTGGAAAATAAGGATAATAATAGGATTGTAGTAAGGATTAAATGACTAAATGCATGTAAAATAGTACATGTTCTGAACATTGTAAATGCTTAATAAATTGCAACTATTTTTATTGCTTTCAATCATTAACAACATTTTTAGCCTATTAAACATAGGTACTCAGGCCATCTAAAGACAGGAAGAATGTGTGTAAGGCAGCTGAGTTATTGCACTAGATGGAATACTGTGTTTTAGGAGATGTGGAAAAGAGTAAGTTCTTCAAGATTTGGGTGAAAATAAGTGCATATATGACTATTTTGTGATAGTAGTGGGAAAGAGGTCTTTATATTTGGTCTTTTAAAATAGTATCTGTGCTTATTCACACTCCATTCAGAGTACTAGTCCCTCTTTACTAAACCTTGATGAATTCTGTGCTAAAAATACTTCTTTCCCATTTGGTGCACTGAAATGTCATATCCATTAAACACCAACATACCAAATGCTGCTTGCAGATACTCAACCCAGCAAACCCAAGTCAACAGGAAATTGGATCTTCCTCAGCTTGTTCGTACTGCACATCTCAACAGATTATTCTGAAGGATTATCTAAATGCTAATTATTATCTTAGAACTATCTTAGAATTATGAAATAAAGAACTCATCTACTATAAAGAAGGTGGTATTGGGTCAAGGTCTCCAAACTTTCAAGCTGTTTTTTTCCTCCTTTATAACAGGTAGTTACAGAAATTTCAGAACTGAAAGGGACCTTTGGGATGACCTTGTCCAGTTCCAATATCTTCTAGAAAATTGAGGCACCAAGAAACTTAAGTGTCTTGCCATGGGTAATGCTTAAAACTAGTATGTTCTAGAGCTTTTGGACAACTTTTTCTAACCACAGGCTTGGAGCTACTAGCATGATACTGGTTAGTCCAATGTGGTTATTTATATCAGAGGCTCCCAAATCCCAGTTAGTGGGCAGGTCGTGGGCTATCAACATCAGAATCACTCAAGGAACATTTAAAAATAAGAATTCCTGGGTTTCATTCTTTGAAAATTCAGGTTTGATGGGTTTGAGGTGGAACTTCAGGAATCTGCATATTTAGTTAACTTTCTAGGTGATTTTGGAGTGGGGCATCCAGATTGGGGAACCATTATGAACAGAAGTCAGCGTTTTATGTTCTGTTCTCTGCTGAGATTGGCCTGTGATAATTTTAGCCACTGACTAGATACTTGCAGGAAAGCTAAATTAGGAAAAGTCTTGGACCACTAAGGAGCCTCTAAGATTTTAATCTGCAAGGCCAACCTCAAGGTGATTAAAGTATAGAGAGAGGGGAGCTAGTGCTGCCCTTGACAGATACAGATTGATTTGAGATGGAAGCACATTCAAGTACAGAATGGAAAGTGATCTAAGAACACTTGGTCTCTCCTCTCCCAGAGACAGGTGGCCACTAAATTAGAATTGGCAGCTTGACTTCACTTAGGAAAACATCATTCTGAAACAAAGGACACCGGTTTAAATATTTTAAAACAATATTTGATGGAACATACTTTAAAACTGCTTATAGAAAAGGTAACAGTAAATCGTTATAAATAATAGACCAAGATGGGAGGTTATATTTTGCCAACTTTTGAAAAATAAGAGCTGGAAGGGATCTTTGAAACCTTTTAGTGAAGGGATTCTAGACACGTCTGAGGGTGTGGCCATCCTTTAGTAACTCTGGCTCTCTAAGCAGAGGTTCTCAAAAGAGACCACACCTCCTACTGATAGCATTTGTTGTTTTGCCTGTCTGGTATTCTTTCCTTCCTTTTAATAGCACTCCAATTTTACTTTAGGGAATCACTCTTATCTCACTCTCACTCTATGTGGTTCTCATCCGTGGGTTCCAGGGGTGGGAACATGGCCCAACCTGGGCCAATAAGCATTCTACCCTTAGCCACAACAATTGCATCAGGATGGGCACTGGGCCAATGAGCACCAGCCCTGAGCTTTTGTTAGAACTACTAGAGAAGAGGAGTTCCCAGCCTTTCTGTTGGGCAAGGCTACACCAGCAAGACTAATGTTGGAGCTGTTGGTAGGCATTTTTCCACCATGAAAGGAGGGACTGACTTAGGAAAAAGTCAACATAGACTAAAATAGGGCCAAGAGTCAGGGAATGACAGATTTATGAAAGTATCATCTGAGCATCTGGTCCAGATATTTCTGAAGCTAGATGTTCTTTTATGTTTCAACTAGTTTAGTTAGGCTTCAGTAACTTACAACCAAAAAAAAAAAAAAAATTCCTGGCTGCCATGACTCCTCAGGGATCAGAATCTGGGCTGTGCATTTAGAAAAATCCTGATAATTCTGATACACTCATTGAGAGTGGACAGGATTTGAAAACAGGAAATGGGAGTATGCATTTACTCAGTGGAGCACTTCTAGTTGAGAATAATTTAAGCTAGTTGAGGAAATTTGGCCAAAATCACATGGCTAGAATACAATAAACCTCTTGGGAGCTTGATTCTGTCTTCTTTTGGGGAAAAAAAAAAAAAAAAAAAAAAAAAAATATATATATATATATATATATATATATATACATATATGTATATATATACTTTTAAAAAGTAAAGGCACACATCACTTAATATAAATTTGCTGACAGGGACGATGTGGTAAAATTGCTTCATTTTATCATTCAGGGATATCTGACTTTTATTGATGCAAAAGCCACACAGAAATTTGAAGAGCTATTTTTCACACAGTGTTCCCTCCACTGATGTAAAAACAATGACCACATTTTAACAACAGCAAGTTTTATTGGAACATAGGTAATTTTCTAGAGGCCAAAGTCCCTCAATGTTCCTCAATAAGAATGCATGCATATCACACACTGTGACTCCTGTCATCTTCTATGTTGGAGCACACCAATGCTGCTGGGGTGGTCAGCTCACTTCACTGCCGTCTTCTACCTGTAACTTCTTGGTGGGCCCCACTGCCTCACCTGGGTTTCTGTTCCACCTGTTCTTCTAGAGGTCCACAGACATCCTCAGCTCTCACAGAGAAAGATGTGATGGGGTGTAAGCATTTTCCACCTATCCTGATCAGTGATTACAGCTCCTATACAATAATGTACCGCTTCTACAACTCATACCAGCTTAGCAGAATGGAGTGGCCAAAATCCCAGATGCAGGCTCCCAGGTCAGACTTGCTAGCCGTATGTTCATGGACAAGTTGCTAATTTCATTAGTAAAATAGAGGTATTCAGAGTAACCACCTCCTGGGGTACTTGTGAGGCTTATACAGTATTTAATCTGCAAACCCACTCTATGACGATCATTATTCACATTTTGCAGATGAGTTTGATTAGCTTGTCCCAGGTCCTAGAGCTAGAGGAGGCCATATTGGGATGCAAATCAAGGTCTCCCTGACTCTTAAACACATGCTGTTACCACTATGCCCACTGCCCCAGAGAGAGAACTATTGTGGACACCAACAGGATTGACCTACAAGCAAAAAAAAACAGAAAACATGTGTCATGATTCATTTATTCTTTAGACCCTTATAGAAGTTACTTTTGCCTCTTTCAAGTCAAATTTTTTGCATGCTGGCTTTTAGAAATAAGCTCCACTGGTTTGTAAATTATTTAGGGGTAAGGACAATTTTTTGCTCATTTTAATTTTCTTTGTATCATCTACCATAGTGCTTTGCACATAGTAAGTGTTCAATAAACATTTTCAGTGAAAAGCTCTACCAAAAGCTCTATGATAATGGAGACACATCAAATTTCTGAGTGGCGTATCTGTCTATCTGGCAGTTTACAGAGTTCTGAATTTTTAATATATATTTTGTCTTTAGGCACTTTGTAGCATGGTGCCACTGATGGATATGATCCAAATGAATCTTTCTTTGCTTCTTAACTGGTTGTATAGCTGTGGGAAAGTTACTTTGCTATTCTAAGACTCTGCTTTCTCATCTGTAAAACAATACTATTATCATAGGATTAGAGTACGGATAAAGCCCTTAGGATAGAGGCTGACTCATAGTAAGTGCTCAGTAAATGTCACCTATCGCTATGATTAAATTAAAATGTTAAAGAATATGTCCTATATTAAAGAAATTTTATTTTAGAATTGTTAAATATGTGTGTATAGACAGGGCCAAGAGAATGAAGTATGAACAATTATCCTGAGATCTGGCATTATTAAGAGGACCGATTTCTGGGATACAGATTTGCTGGGAATTACTGTTAAAAGCTCCAGCTAGGGAGGATGCTCCCTCTGGGGCATCTCTGAGTAGTACTGACCACAGATGTGGATTCCTCTCTGGGGATAAAAATTTCAAAGGGCATAGGCTTTCTGAAAGTGCTAGTGTCAAGCTTCTTGCCTTTTTACTCCCCATGGCTTAATTCAGTCAGTTCCCATCCTTCAGTTTTGTGAACCAGGTCTTAGGTAGATCTGCAGTGTGT
Organism: Homo sapiens; assembly: GCF_000001405.40. Taxonomy (NCBI): domain Eukaryota; kingdom Metazoa; phylum Chordata; class Mammalia; order Primates; family Hominidae; genus Homo; species Homo sapiens. Next base: position 93,804,509 of record NC_000010.11, on the reverse strand, counting down.
GTGTTTAATAAGGATTTACTCAGGAAATAAATTGTGTCTCTTTCACCTTCAAGCCTACCCAGGTTACCAGTGGGGAGCTGGCAGACTGTCAAATCCTATTCTTTTGGGGTAATCCATGGCCAGAAGCTTTTGTGGAACTCACTACAGGGGATGTGGCTGCTTGTCAGAGATGCAAACAGGAGCACTGAAGCTTCTGGGCTTAAGTGAGTTGATTTTCACCAAGTTTTTGGACCCTCTTCAAAAAGTAGGACTATTCTAGGAGCTTAGGGGAGGGATGGATGGAAGAATCACAGATTTCTAAGACACAGTCCTGACCCTCAGAGATGTGTAACCTGGTGGGACAGATGGATATATTGACAGCTAACCATAATGCAAGGTCAAGTGAAACATGAGCCTTGCTCATGGTACAAAGCAAGGGGCCAAGAAACCCAGAGGAAGGAGAAATCACACCTAACTAGTTGGTTGAGAAGGACTAAGATTTCAAAAGCTAGAAAAGCAGGGAAAGGGCATTCTGGGTGGTTGGAGCCACTGAAGCACGGAAGCATGTCAGTGCTTAGATGAATAGAGATTGGCAAATTGTGTGGGTAACTGGAGTGTGGGCAAGGTAGAGGATGCAGGAGTGGGCGAAAAAACAGGCCAGATCTTGAACTCCACCTTCAGGACTTTCTAGGGCCATTTTAGGTCTTCTTGAAATGTGTTGTCCCTGGAGGCCCTGATGCTGTTGATAGAAATCATATTAAAATGCCTTATATCCCACATTATGATTGATATGTAATGATAAGAGCCGAGTTGAGTGAGTTGAGCTGTAGTTGTTTCAGTTACATATAGATGTGGTCCTGGGACCAATGCCAGTCCAGGGAGAGTTTGGAATCAGTTTGGGATAAGTACAGAACTTGAGACATTACCACATCAACCAAGTGTGTGATCGTTTTTCTAGTAATTCCTTTTTAATTTCCAAAAAGATTGGTTCACAATATATTGGTCCAAAATACACTGGAAATTATAAAATTTTGATGGTTCAAAAATTTTCATACATTGGAATTTTTACATAAAAGTTTAGAAGCATTAATCTGATTGAAATAATAGTACATTTTGAAGACATTTGACATTGAAAATGAACTTGAAGATAGAGCAATAGAAATTATACAGTCTGAACTGTGGAAAGAAAAAGGATGGAAATACCTAGTACTTACCATCATATCTACATTACAGTAAATTATGCCTAAACCTTCTGAATTAGTTGGAGATAATTTTGTGACAAGTACAGAAATCCATTCAAACTAACCTGAAACAAAACAAAATGTGTGTGTGCATGGGTTGTTGTTAGAAGGTTATAGAAGTCCCTTGTATTAGTCTGCTTTTATACTGCTAATAAAGACATACCTGAGACTGGGTAATTTATAAAGAAACAGAGATTTAATGGACTCACAGTTTCACATGGCTGGGGAGGCCTCACAATTATGGCGTTAGAGCAAGGGGCATCTTATATGGCATCAGGCAAGAGAGAGCTTGTGCAGGGGAACTGTCCTTTATAAAAACCATCAGATCTCGTGAGGTTTATTCACTATCAGGAGAAACAGCATGGGAAAGACCCTCCCCCATGATTCAATTACCTCCCACGTGGTCCCTCCCACAACACGTGGGAATTGTGGGAGTTACAATTCAAGATGAGATTTGGGTGGGGACACAGCCAAACCATATCATCCCTTGAGGAATTCAAGGGCAGGGAGCTGAATCCAATGCTAACCAGCATGGAGGCTGTATACATATAAAGACCTGGTCCCCTTGATCTAACTTGAGACAACTGAGAAGGGACATCCCAGCTCAGTTGTCTCAAGTTAGAGCAGCTACCAGGTTGCCTGAGGCTTTTATTGGAATTTTGTCACAGTTCAGTGCCTCCCTCCACCCAATCCTATTTCCATTTTCTCCTTCCCAGGTGATGACCTCAAGAGGACTCCTGAATTAATGTCTGTACAGTAACTTCTCAGAGTCTGGTTACCAGGTAACTCAACGAGGAACACTGTACCTCCCCATCTTCCTCTCACTATCCCTCCCTCCTCACTTCCTCTTCCTTTTTGCTCTCCCTTGTTCCCTCTTTTCCTCCCTCTTTTTCTCACCCTTTTTCTCTCTTCTTTCCTCTCTCTATTCTCTCTCCTGCTCTCCCTCAAACTGCGTAGTTTCTCACCTCTGCTCCTTTCTGAGCTCTCATGTCATTCTCTTCTCATTTTCTGACCAGTTTCCTCAGCTCTTCCGGCACATGGACCATGATGGCTGCCCCCAGATGGTGCCTTCAGCTCCCCAGTCACCATCACTGTGGTATATGCTGTTGGTATCTCACCCCGATGCCTTTACTGGGCTGATGTCCTCATCTTGCAGCTGCTGTGGGTGTCAGTTAATAACAGCTCATATGTGTACCCTTCTCTGGAGGACTATCCTTTACCAACTGGAAGCTTCTCTCCTGGAGATGCCCAAAAGGTTTTGCCCCACATGCCTTAGCCAATGACTGTCAGATGGGTGGGGGCATGCAAAAGTCCATCCTCCTTGCCTCAAGGCAGGACACACTCTGTGGTACAATTCACACTCTGGACAGCCCCCTAGGATCAGGTGCAGGCTGCCTTTTCCTGTCTTTGCATAGCATCTTCCCCTGTTCCATGTTGCTCCTCTCACTCCCTTCAGGTGTAGCCTCGGAGCACTCCCTCAATCAATCCCTCTGCCTCTAAGGAGCCTGATTTAGGCTCATCTCCTTACAGATCCTGTGCCTGTGGCAAATTGGCTCAGCCTTTGCTGTCCTAATTCCAAATATCCAGGAGACAGAACTCTCTTAAAGTTCTTTCTCTTTGAACTCCCATTCAAAGACCAGTGCTCCCTACGTGCAGCTTGGCTCAGGCTGAGCTCAGCCCAGCATCTAGGACAAACACCTGGAGTTCATTTCAGGTGAACACTGGGAACACATTACAGGTGCAACCTTCTGTGGCTGCAGAGGAGACAGAGTTAAATAGAATAGGGCAGATGAAGGGTACATGGAGAGGGGACAACTCTCAGAAAAGGCTAGTCAGTTCCTGCAAAGGTGAACCCTACCCGTGTCCTCCTCCTCAGTCTTTCTTGAATTAATTTTCTTGGTCTTCTCTTTACCCCTCATCAATCTTCCCATCTACATGCCAAGTTCTAATCAGATAGTGAATGTTTGAAAAGTGGCACCACATGATGGAGAAAGGACTAGGCTGAGTGTCAGGATGGAAGATGGTCCTAATTCAGCTAGCTCGCTTCACATACACCTCTGGGTCTCCAGCTTTAAGGTAAATTAGAGTCAATTTGCTAGCTTCAACAGTCAGTGCTTTTCTGAAAACAAGAAGGGCTGGCTGGGTGCTTTGGCTCATGCCTGTAATCCCAACTCTTTGGGAGGCTAAGGTAGGAGAATTTCTTGAGGCCAGGAGTTGAGATTTACCTGGGCAACATAGCAAGACCCTGTCTCTACAAAAATTTAAAAAATTAGTTGACTGTGGTGGTACATGCCTGCAATCTCAGTTATGCAGGACGACCACTTAGCCCAGGAGTTTAAGGCTGTAGTGAGCTATGATTGCACCACGACATTACAGCCTGGGCAACACAGCAGGACCCTAAAATTAAAAAATAAAAACAAATAGAGCAGAATCTGGGTCTTTTAATCTCTGCATTCCTGAATTCAGCACAATGCCTGGCAGAAAAAACATTGATAACGTATTTTTTAAAAGGAGCTATTCTCAGCCGGGTGCGGTGGCTTATGCCTGTAATCCCAGCACTTTGGGGGGCCAAGGCAGCGGATCACCTGAGGTCGGGAGTTCAAGACCAGCCTCATCAACATGGCAAACCCCATCTCTAGTAAAAATACAAAAAAAAAAAAAAAAAAAAAAAAAAGCCAGGTATGGTGGCAGGTGCCTGTAATCCCAGCTACTTGGGAGGCTGAGGCAGGAGAATTGCTTGAACCTGGGAGGCGGAGGTTGCAGTGAGTCCAGATGGCGCCACTTCGCTCTAGCCTGGGTGACTGAGCAAGACTCCATCTCAAAATTAAAAAAGGAAAAAAGGAGTTATTCTCTAAAAAATGAAATGATGGAGAGTTACATTAAGATAATAAGGTAGAGCATGATCCCAAAGTATGCACTATTCTGAGTGTAGGGTGCCTGTTGGCAATAACTATCACTTGGTAAGGGCTCAGTTGTGCCAGTTCCATGTTAAGTATTCTACTGCTGTTGTGTAACAAATCACCCAAAAACTTAGCCATTTAAAACAATTTAAGCCATTTTATTATGCTCATAGAGTCCGTGGGTCAGGCCTTTGGACAGGACACAGTGGGGATGGCTTGTCTCTGCTCTGCAATGTCTGGGGCCTCTGCTGGGAAGATCTGAAGTCTGGTAGTGACTTGTGAGCTGGGGCTGGGATCACCCAGAGGCATCTTCACTCACAGAACCGGTGGCTGAGGATGGCCTTGTCTGGGTCTGTTGACCAAAGCACCTATGTGTGGTTTCTCCATGGGGGCTGGGCTTCATCACAGAACAGTGGCCTCAGGCTAGTAGGACTTTTGAAGGTGTCTGCTCACAGCTCCAAAATCAAGTGTCCCAGTTTACAAGATAGGAGAGAAACTTCATCATTTTTATGACCTAGCCTCAGAAATCAACTATATTATTCCCACCACATTCTTACAAGCAAGTCATAAACTAATTCACGTTTAAGAGTAGGTGAACTAGGTACTGCCTCTTGATGGGATGGGGGAGAGGCTGTCACAGAGCACATGCGATGGCAGATATTGTTGTGGTTATATTTGGGAAATAAAATCTGCCTTGCATGTACTGTCTCAATCCTTCCATTATCTTTGGAAGTAGGTATTATTGTCCCTCTTTACAGGGAAAGAAACTGAGGCTCAGAGGGGCTAAGCAACTGGCCTATGGACAAGGCTAGTACATGGCAGAGTTGGAGTTCACCCTAGTCTGTACAGAGCAGGTGTTCTCCAGTAGCATATGATGCTGCTTACAGGAAAAGGGAACTGAAAAAAATAAGACATTCAAAGGCCAGTTCGGGAGTGAGGTATTCTTCTCTCCCATAATCCTGATGTCAGAGTTAATATCTTCCCCATATGGGAATCTGGTTCCTGTGCATAACTCCCCAGGGAGTTGCTTCCCAGAAACTATGTAAGTATGTGTGTACCTTTGATGCCTCAAGTCTTCCAGATATGCACTGTGTGCCAGCAGCTGCTGTCTGCCCTCCCCGACCACACTTATATGGCAAAATAGTCCAGCAAACAATGAGCAGGAGCAAGCTCTGACCCCCTCCGTGAAGGCAGCACACAGAACCAGTTCGTGCCAGGAATATCTTCTCTGCCGTGATCCCCCTTTAAAATTACATCTTCCCTTTAAGTGCAAACAAGAACCTAGACTTCCAGAAAGTCATCTTGATACTCCCAGGATACTTATAATCTGGAATCTTTAGAAGGTACTTGGCACTCACTGCTTGCTCTGTAGGATTTTTGTGTTCTAACACCCCAGTTAGTCTTCTAAGGCCTCAGAGGGCAAGGTTCATGCCCTATTCTGCCTCAGTCCCCCACCCCTGCTATACAATACCCCATTCTTAGTAGGTAGGCAATAATTAGGTCAAAAGGCCTCAGAAAGTTTATTATATTATAACAGGAGGACACGTGCTTCTTTAAAAGCATTTTTTGAGAGCCTACTCTATCACCGGCATTGTGCTAATGACCCATGTGATCTAGAAGCAGAAATTTAGAAAATCAAATATGAGCCTTTTGGGCATTCTGCAGCAGGTAAATAACAAATCAAAATTGGTATCTAGAAGTGAAGCATCCTTGGTCAGATTAAGAGGCCTTCATGACAGGTACATTTGAGGCAAGCACTGTAAGGTTACAATCTCTATCAGCTGTCAGATGTTTAGAAAGACCCTAAATAGGGTATTGAGATCCTAATTCTTGATTTTACTTTCTCCTAGAAATTGTCTGAGTGATGATTTTAGCTGGGCTTATCAGTCAGGAAAGGATGGGTCTTGCTGTCCTTAATTTCAAATCAGTCTTCTTGTAGTAGGCAAATTTCTCTACCTTTCTTTTAATTTGTCACCATTTCACCTCAAATTATCCCTAAAGGCCATGACCTTTGGAAATACCTTTGAATGTTCAAAATCAGCTGATCCAGCCACAGATAAACCTGGTCATAATCAATGGGTAATCAATATCATATTACCCATAATTTTATCTTCACTCATTCTTCACATCGTAAATCCTTGATCCAAATACAATACTATTATATAAAACTATTTCTTCAACATACCAACAACAAGAATGAAACAGCTCCTGTAAATAATTACCTCTGGGATATGAAAGAAAATGTAAACATTTTATTTGGCAGTTGTTTCTGTACACATGAATAAATAAATGGAAAAGTACATATTAATATTTCTTTTTGGAGTAACAGATACCATTAAACGCTTATTTACACATCTTCACTGCAAAGAACAGTTACACAATTAAATTTTGTCTTATAAAAGGTAACTTCCCACATCACTGGACTGGACAGTTAAGGATGGAGATACTGGTAGTGCTTGGTTCTAGCAGTCTCAATGTTTGAAAGGCATTCATTTGCAAGTGTGATAAGAAGAGTCATCATGCATTGAGTTCATCCGGGTCATGTACTGTAGAAAATTTCTGATGGCAGCCACAGAATTTGGTGTCTCATGCGCTTAAGTCAACTATGACATGTTTGTAAATCTGTGTATTTCCCTTAAAACTGGAAGCAAAAAGAAAATTACGCTTATTAATGGACACATGTGTGAATGATCTTGGTGCCTGAACATTTAATTCCTGAAATTTCACAAATTTGGCTTTCTCTGCATCCCAGTTATACACTTGAGTAAAGGAGTAATCACTTCCAAGAATTGCATATTGGTAATTATTTATTTGAAGAGGCTGGAACACCATGGATCCTCGCGATGGCATCCTCTGAATATCCTGGAACGAGGAGCCTCCCCATTTCATGACTTTGGAATCACCAATGAATCTTGTCAAGCAAATGTACACGTCCCCTTTCACTGAGAAGTGCTTCACTGCGTACACATCCTCCATGTTAGGAATGTCAGTTTGGTTAGTGAATAATTGTGTTGCTTTGTTCCACTGATAAATTACAGGACGCTGGGAACTACTAGACAGAATTAAATGAGGCGTTCTGAGTGTCTGAGGTGTTCTGACTATTTCTAGATATTCCACATCAGTGTCCCTGTACCACGCGTGTAAGGATTGATGGGAGTAGAATCCGTTTCCGTTCCATTTGTAAATGGTAGTAAAACCAGCTTTTGAACTGTCAGCAACAACAAAGTACCAGTTGTTTTCAATCTTGAATGTTTCAATGTCATTGGGTTTTCGGATTTTGAGAATTTCAATATCCTGGATTTTTATGAATTTATTTGCAAAACTGTCTCGCTTATAGATGTGAGAGCCACCAAACAGCTGGGCCACAATAACATAGAGCTGAGTTTCAATGACTATAGGCTTGCATACTACAGTGGATGTGCCTGGGAAAAGACAAAGGAGAGATTAGTTGTGTGGCCATCCTCTTTTGGAGCATGTAAACATGCGGGCTGGGGCCATACAACTTCCACCCAAATCAGCCTGAAACAAGAGATCTCCTTGGTTGATTAGGCAAGGCTGGTCTCCAAAGCCCAATGGCAGCAGTGTCCTAAAGTTCCGTGCCTTTGTGCCTCGTGGGGCCTTGTTGCCAACAATTGAGTTGTTAATGTCATATCTAGCCTGCGCTAGACGTTCAGGACACACAGCTATGGCCCGAGTGTTCTCCTCTTACTTCTTGCAGAAAGAAAGCATTAGTTTCCCTGACACAAATGAGTTAATCATAATTCTAATGAAAACTACTGTTTACTGAGCATCTATTATGTGCTTTCTCAATTTACCTCATTAATTTTCCCAACAATCTTAAGAGATAAATATTATCCTTTTTCCACATGAGTAAACTGAAGCTCAGAGAGGCTGTTCTGGTAGCAGAAGGCAGAGTTGGGGATTCAAAGCCAGGCCTACCAGCATCTCTATGCTTTTAACCCAAGCTGGGGACAAGTTAGCTATTCCAGGACTTCAAATTTGGTTTATCTAAGATCTTAGATAACCAAAGGCTAGCGTTGTGGTCTGGGTAGCCCATGGCTCTACTGTAATTGTTTTGCTCTAAGTCTGAACTGCTTCCTGCTCTAGAATAATTTGCCTTTCCCCTGCAAAGAAAGGAGATGCCACTTGTCACTTTTCTGGAGCTTTAGGTCACTGGTGGCAGGAGTGAAGAGAAGGAAAAGGAATCTTTAAAAAAATCGAAAGAAGGGTGCAGCCATGGGCACTGCTCCTGAAAGTTATTTTGGAAAATCACAGAAAATGATGTGGGATCTGTCAGTGGCCTAGCTTGGTATCCTTTGGGGAAGAGTTTGACATTTATCAGTAGATTCTGATCTTGCAGGAGTTTGGCTCTAGAAAATCCAGAGACAGCTGAACAAATCTGGGCTTTAGGCCTCTTCTGACTACAGCGCTAGTGCGGGGCAGAAAGTTCTACATTAATTCTTTCTACTAATTGGCTTCATCCATAGGCAAAATAGTTTTATTTCTGACTCTTTTCAGGGCTAAACTGATTGTATGATCTTAAGAAAATCATTTAACTTCTCTGAGGCTCAGTTTTCTTTTCTGTACAATGAGACTTTAGACTAGATTAAGGATGGCCACCAGATTCCAACACATGTACCAATACTGATTGGCTCATTGCGTGTGATTGTCTGGGGAACTGTGTTGAGAAGGATTCTGTGGCCGTGTCTGCACTCTACATGAAAGATTCCCATGATAGATTAGTGGTGCCTGTCTAGAGTGAAGGAAGGGATAATGACTGAGTATGGGGCATATATTTGTCATCTGCTATGGTTGGAATGTTTCTGTCCCTCCAAAATTTATGTTGTAGCTTAATCCCCAGTGTAATAGTATTAAGAAGTGGGGTGTCTAGGAGGTGATTAGATCATGAGGACTCCACACTCATGAATGGAATTTGTGCCCTTGCAAAAGGGCTTGAGCGAGTCTGTTAGATCTTTTTTTGCCCTTCTGCCATGTTAGGACACAGAGAAGGCACCGTCTTTGAAGCAGAGAGTGAGCCCTCACCAGACCCTAAATCTCCTGGTGCCTTGATCATGGAGTTCCCAGCCTCCAGAACTATGAGAAATAAATTTCTGTTCTTATAAATTACGCAGTCAAGGTATTTTTTGTTACAGCAGCAGGAAGGGACTAAGACATCATCCTAGACAAGATGAGCTCTGAGATGCCCTCAGAAAGTTTGCAGATGTATGATTTATTTCTCTTGTAAGTGCTCATCTAAAGAGTCATTCAAAGAAATTGATGAACCATACACAAGTAAGAAAAGCCTGGTTTCGACCGCACAAAACCCTGCTATAGTCCACTGGAAAACTTATGGGGGCCTAAGGAAGCATGACCTTCTTCCTTCAGAGAGGAGGATTCTAAAAGAAAGGAGGATTCCAAAAGGGTCTCAGTTTGGAAGGGATCCCTTTATTTAAGCAACCCCAGCCTCAAGCAAGCCCCAGACCTGTCTTGGTCCTTTGAGCAATGAGGGTGATGGCTACCAGCAAAATCTATCATGACCCTCCATGCCTTGTCTAAAGGGTTACCTTTTATGGGGAGGTGTGAGTGCTCTTGAGAGCAGATTTAAAGGTATTAGAAGCTAAAACTGATATTAAAAATTGTAGAGGGAGCCCTATGTTCTAACTTATGACTTATAATTTTAAAAATTATTAAAATGGGAAAGAAACTTAAGAGATCAGCTAAGTAAGCCCAGGCAAGGTGGTTTACTCTTGTAATCCCAGAACTTTGGGAGGCCAAGGCGGGTGGATCACTTGAGGCCAGGAATTCGAAACCAGCCTGACCAACTTGGTGAAACCCCATCTCTACTAAAAATACAAAAAATTATTAGGGCGTGGTGGCACATGCCTGTAGTCCCAGCTACTTGGGAGGCTGAAGGACAAGAATCGCTTGAACCCAGGAGGCTGAGGTTGCATTGACCCCAGATCACGCCACTGCACTCCAGCCTGGGTAACAGAGCAAGACTCCATCTCAAAAAAAAAAAAAAAAAAAGAGAGATCCAGATAAGTAAAAGTTTTCATAGAAAGAATTAGATTCCGGCCGGGTGCGGTGGCTCACGCTTGTAATGGCAGCACTTTGAGAGGCCAAGGTGGGCGGATCATGAGGTCAGGAGTTCAATACCAGCTTTGCCAATATGGTGAAACCCTGTCTGTACTAAAAATACAAAAATTAGCTGGACATGGTGGCACGCACCTGTAGTCCCAGCTGCTTGGGAGGCTGAGGCAGAAGAATTGCTTGAACCCGGGAGTTGGAGGTTGCAGTGAGCTGAGATTGTGCCACTGCACTCCAGCCTGGGTGACAGAGCGAGACTCTGTCTCAAAAAAAAAAAAAAAAAGAAAAAAAAAGAAAAAAGAAAAGAAAAGAAAGAATTAAATTCCATGGCCAAATTAAGGGTGAAAAATATTGGAAAAATTTCCTCACTGCAGGACTTCTCAGATCCACAGATGTCTGTATTATGAACCTACAAGACCAAGATATGGTTCATGAATTTATTGGACCACAAAATCCTTTTCATTACAAGGCATACATTAACATTTTGTAGAAGACACGTTTGTGTAACAAATTTGAGACTTATTGATCTAAAATAACCTTCTTATTTTATAGTTAAGAAAAAGGGGTTGAGGGGTGTCAGTGAGTATGAGCAGCTTGCCCAAATAGACTGTGGCAGAACCTGGACTAGAACTCATGATTCACCATCCAATACTTTTATTTGAAGAAAAATAATCAAATATTTACTGTTTATGTATTATACTAGACCCTATGCTAAGTTTCTTGAATATGTGTTCACATGATCTTATTAACAACCTTGTGAGTTAAGTATTAATATTATTCCCGTTTTACAAGTGGGGAAATTATGGCTTAGAGAACAATCCCAGGTCACTTAACAAATGGTAGAGTTGGAATTCAAATGCTAAAGCATTCCCCTATACCACTCATCTTTCCTTGTTGCCCTTGGCTGAAGCAGTTTAAATTACCACTCAAAATATCATTAGGCTTTTCATACCTGTAATGTTGTCATAATTCCGGAAGGTCTTTTCCACATGGTCCCATTCAAGGAAAATGCATTTTCCAGTAAAAGGCTGAGCGATGACTACATACTCATCATTCAAATAAGAAAAAGTGTCTATGGACAATGATTGATAAGGCAGGTCTTGAGACTTTGCAAATTCTGCAAAAATAGGAAATAATAAGTAACTGTGAGCTAATACCTCTTTCCTTGGCTAGATCTTAAATATTCACAAGAAATACATTTATTTCAGAGAATAGTAAAATGGCCATTTTACTTTTAAACACATGAAGCATTGTCAATGGTTCATAATTTTTTTAAAATTAAGTTGCTCAGCTAGTTTTTAAGATATAAAAAATATCAGTTCCTGCACATGAAAAAAAAAGGTAGCCCTTATTTTAATTTTTTGAGGTGGAATGATGATGAGTACATTACCTGTAATGATGCAATCAAAATCCTTCGAGGAGAGACTATTGATTTTGCGCTTCTTGTATTCTGGGGGGCCTTCGCAGTAGATGTCTTCAACAGTTGCATTGGTGTGGCCAAGCCATTCCACTAGCCATTTCAGTTTACAGTCACAATTAAATGAATTACCCCTCAGGTCCCTGAAAGACAAACTTCAGCTGCTTTTGCTGTACAAGGGCCCTACCCACGCAGGAAAGAGTTCTACATCAACAATTAACATGTGCAGAATGACCTTACCCGGCGTTGCATCCTGCCCTATAACCTGCCTGGAACCTGACTGACCACTCATTCACTTTGGGCTCAGAGAGTTAGCACCATGCACACTTGAAGACTACCCAGTCAATGGAACCTCATCACTTACTCCCTCTTGAATTCCAAAGCGGCTTAGTCTAGGGCTGTGCTGTCAATAGAAACAGTATATGAACCGTAATTGTAATTTAAAATTTTCTATAGCCACATTAAAAAAGTAAAAAGAAGCAGGTATAATTCATTTTAATAATATGTTTTATTTAACCCAATACATACAAAAGATTATCATTTTGACACATCATCAATATAAACATTATTGAGATATTTTACATTCCTTTTTTATACTAAGTCTTTGAAGTCCAGTGTGTATTTTATACCTACAATATATCTCAATTCAGATGCTAAATTTTACCAGAAATAGGTGATCTATATTTAGATGTCATAAAATTCATAATTGAAAAAAATAGGTGTATATACCCAAATTATTCCAAGCGTACTTAACATTTTCCAATAATTGAGCTGAGAATCAGCTTTTAAATTTAAATTTAACTGTTAAAAAATTAAGTAAAATTTAAAATTCAGTCTCTCAGTTGTACTAGGAGCACATTTTAGGTGCTCAGTGACCATAAGGTCTGGTGGCTACCCTATTGGACAGCACAGGTCTAAAGGACAGAATGTAGTGATTATTGTAATGTATTTAATCAAGTGAGCTATTTGCTTTTCTTCTTCCTCACAGACATAATTAATCCTGATCCTCTTCCGTGGTCTACAAATTCAGTTTAAATAGGAAATGACTTTGACACAGCAGAGTTAACACAGGCATACAATCGCTCATGCCTGTAATAAGTTATACAGCATAGACCATTTACATATCCACATATGACCCCAACTCACCAAGTTCTCTGTGTATTTGCATTGCTTCTGTTCAGGAATTCCACCTCCTTTCCTGGTCACACAGAATTCTTAAGATAGGTGCTGCCTACTCTTCACACCACACATAAATAATTTTTAAACGCCCAAACATTTAAAAATGTTTTTTAGAGGATACTTTCAAGAAAGCCAAGAAATCCACTAAAAGGCAAGTTGGCATGGATCCTTGTACTTCTAAGATAATTCTTGATTTGGGCATATTAGAGTAGGTCCAAAAGGCTAAACCCATCTTGGGATTCCCATGAGAGACTGAGCCAATTTCAATATTTTTTTGTTTTGTCTTTCACTAGTGTAGGGTATAGACTGACACAAAAATGGGGTAAAGGACCCCCAATGAGCTACATCCCACGTCACCCATGGAGTGTGTTCTAACTTCCAAGACACTCCCAGAACTGACCTAGTCTCCCAAGAGAACTCTGACCCACACTAATGAGTGGCAACCTTTCAGGCTACTGTAAACCAGAGAGGATAACTATGGTCTGTCCAGGACTCTCTTGGAAGAATCCTGATTTGGGCATTCTCCTGGAATTAAACCATATCATTCAGGAATTGAGGTAATAGACATGGAGGAGGGGCTGGGGAAATACTGCAAGGAACAAAGAAAGTTTTTCATTAGGCTACTGATTTGAAGTTAAATACTGGGCTTGGAAGAAAGTACTTGACTCAGATTTTCTTTTTGTTTGTTATTGGAGAAAAGTTGTTTTGAATATATATTCTACAGACAAGTACCTGAATAATTTTTTAAAAAAGCTTTTGTTTTCATATATCCTTTCATTTGTTCCTGTCTTCCACCTTATGACATTTAAATACCTTTCTAATGTTCTGGAAGGCAAATAATGAAGCTGAATTGCTTTTGAGAAGTTTAGGCATATATTACTTGCTTTGCTTACAGCAAAATATACAAATTCCTTGCAAAGATCTTTCACTCGGAGGCTTAAAAGTCAAAGTTTGAAAGCTCTTTTGTTTGAAAAAGGGTCAAAAATAATTAAGTTCATTCCCTTCCTGGGGCTTAAGCCAAATTCCTGGGGATTAAGCTTAGAGTTGTTGTTCAGTCTAATGAGAAAAAAGGCAAACTTTTCTCCCTTCCCCCACTTCCTGTTCCATTTCTCTGTTGATTGACCAACCCAAGGATGTAACCTTTCATCTTTATTCTGTCAGTTTCCCAGACTCCTTTATGTTTTTCCTTTGTAGCCCTATTTCCTGGACCTCATGAGAAAAAAGGGATTTTGAAATTTCTAGCCGGGTCTCTTCCCACCCCGTCAAAGTCCTTTATCATCGCTCCCTGCCGTATTGACACACACTTTGTCAAAGGAATGCCTGGGTGCCATGTATTCAGAATTCCCAATGATAAATACCATAGAAGACTCAAATGTTAGTCCATGTAAATTTAAATTTTTGGCCAGTTAAAATTTAGATTTAAAAATCCTAATTTTAATTTAAAAGCCAATTAAAAATTATAATAATCAATACCAGGCTTCCTTGTTAATGACTGCAAATTAATTAATTGTTCAGTGATTTCTTAGGTCCTCTTACACATTTGTTAAAGAATCCAGGCCTTTGAAAATATCTTTTGGGAGTGTCTGGAGATTGTTGTTTGCAAGGCTCCTGGAAAAAAAAAAAAAAAGGTGATGTAAACTGTAGTGATAAATTAAACAAAGGCATTTAATGATAAAGCTTAGTGATGAGTCTCTTTTGTCATTTCCAGCCTACTAAAAGACTTGTGGTCCTTTTTTTTTCTTCTGAACTACTACTCAGATTCCTGCTATTGTCCTTTCAGTTCCTAACCTGTTCACTTCAACACCCACTCCATATTTATTTACTTTTATTTCTTGAGACAAAAGTCTCGCTCTGTCACCCAGGCTGGAGTGAAGTGGTGTGACCTCAGCTCACTGAAACCTCTGCCTCCCGGGTTCAAGTGATTTTCCTGCCTTAGCCTGCCGTAGCTGGGATTACATGTGCCCGCCACCATACCCGGCTAATTGTTGTATTTTTAGTAGAGACAGGGTTTCACCATGTTGGCCAGGCTGGTCTTGAACTCCTGAGCTTCAGTGATCCACCCGCCTCGGCCTCCCAAAGTGCTGGGATTACAGGTGCACTCAATATTTAAACAACACTTTATGTTGGTTAAAAACAACAATGATTCCTGGGCATTGATCTTTCCATTTAGAACAGAACACGAGAGATTCACACTCTCAGACGCTCAATCTAGGGGATATCTCCCAAATGATGACTAACCAAACTGGTGAGTGTCCATCTCCAAAATGCGCCCCCTCCTCTTGCCTGGGCTGCCCCTTCTGCCTGCTTCCTCCTCGCTTGCTCCGGAGAGCAACCAAACCTCCAACCCACAGTGCCAGTAGCTCTATCTCTTCCCCAGTACATCCTTTCTCCTTTCTAAAGCCCACGCCTCCTTTTCCTTTCTAGCACCATTCATTCCACCTCAGAAAAAAGTTTTCTTATAAAAACCTATCCATCTATTCTCTTTAATCATCCCCCTCTTTCTCCTTCTTCTGGTTCTTTTCCTGTGATCACAGGAATGTTTTTCCCTTTCCCTTTCTATTTGTTCTTCCGTAAATCACTAGAATGATTCTAATAAAGGTTAATGAGTAAAAAATTGTCCTGATAATGTCAAGGAAAGGGAAATGTGTCCCTAGTACACAAATATAGACATAGCACAGTGCTAATGCTGTATGACTGGGGAAGGTCACCAAGTAGTGTAATTTTCTATTTTTAACCAGCACCATATATATACACGTTATAAACTTTTCTTAGAGGTGTTTTTTTTTTCCACAATAAAAATAAAAAACTAAACTAAAACTAAAGAGCCCATACCATTAGCCTCTAAACCCTTGAAAATTCTCTCAACTTCCCTTTAAAACATTCTCAAAAGTCTATGTCTTCTACCTCCACTAATTAAATATAAGGTTTCTCAAGTGCAAACATTCATGAACTTTAGAACTTATTTTTAAGTTAGTTATGTTGTTTTTCTAGGTTTTAGAAATTACTGCTAGTTTGGAAAATGGTTCTCAATGAACCTTGGAATGCAAGAATAGGAACTGAGTCAGAATGTTCCATTGTCAATGACGGTCCAATTGTGACAAAGAGCATGGCTTTTGGAGTGATTCTGAGCTATGTTTGAATCCTGACTCCAGCATTTACTGGCTGTGTGACTTTGGTAATGTATCTTCTTGGAAATTCAGTTGTTTCATTTTTAAGTGAAGATAATAATACCTTATCTCATAAGATTATTGAAAAAAGGAAATGAGATAATCAAGGATGGTGCAGGTGTCTGAACTACTCTCAGTAGAGTGGCTGGTGTCAGAAGAGAACAGCTTCTGTACGTATGTTGTCCAAGAAACAACGTTTAGAAACAGACCACATGAATGAACTGCTATGGCTGTCCACATACAGCAAAATTAATAAAATGCTGCTAAGGAAGACTATTCAAGAGAATGTCTCCATAATTCATCTTACTGACTGGTGTTTGAATGAAGAGATTTTCTGATGTCTTGGACCAGTCCAGAGTCACTCCCATGTTATGTGTCTCAGTTTATTTTCTGGCACAATGTGGCTTAAAGTTATCATACTAACTTCTAAGTGGATGTCCCTTCCTCTGAAGCTGGTAAAAACTGCAACTGGCTGCAGAGCATAAATTTAGAGGAGGCTGAGTCACAGGACAGTGGGCATGCAATGATTAAGCAGTCAAATCCTGAATTACTACTGCCAATAGGGGCTATACAGGAGAAGGCACCATGCTTGTCTTACTGTCCAAGGGGAATTCTTTTTTTTTTTTTTTTTTTGAGACAGGGTCTCACTTTGTTGTCCAGGCTGAAATATAGTGGTGCAATTACAGCTTAATGCAGCCTCAACGTCCCTGGCTCAAGTGATCCTCTGGGCTCAGCCTCTCCAGTAGCTGGGACCACAGGTGTGTCCCACCATGCCCAACTAAGTTTTTTTTATTTGTAGAGACAGGGTCTTGCTATGTTGCTCAGGCTGGTCTTGAACTCTTGGGCTCAAGCTATCCTCATGCCTCTTCCTCCCAATGTGCTGGGATTACAGGTGTGAGCCACTGTACCCTGTGGGATTCTTTTAAATAATGAGTGAATCTGGAAGTTCTACTTCCTGCCCAAAGGAGTAGAGCTTTAGGCCTCACATGATCCACGTGCAAGCTAACCACAGAACAGATGGCAAAACAGAGCTGCAGACTTGGAGCTATGGGGCTTCCAGAATGGAGAGGCAGTATTTTTGCATGACAAGATGGAGGGCTTCTAATTCACCAGAATTGTGAGATGGGGCTGAGAAGGACAGGCTGGCCCGATGGGCTGTGGAATGAGGCATTAAATTTCCTGAGAACCTCTTGTGACAGGCTTTTGCCTTGGGAATCAGAGGGTGGGGGAGGCAGGGGAGCCAGAGGGAGAAATGGTGGGTGGATTCGCTGAACCCAGTGTCAACCCTCTGATGCTCCGCTACCAAAAATTCAATGAAATCCTTGCCCACAATGAACTGCTCTTAGAGGAGAGAGAATGAAGCTTCATGTCTAGGTTTGGTGAGTGATGGGCATGAGAAGGCTGCCTGGATTCACTAAGAGAAGCAGACTCAAGAGGAAGCAAGATTCAGAAATGAGAGTGAGGCTTCCAGACATCCAAGGCTAGGGAGCTGGAGTTCAGACAGCTTCCCTAAGTCTCTGGGAGGCTCCAGTGACAGGTTACATTTAGATAAAAAGAAAGTAGGCAGAGGGATTTGGGCAGAGAACGACTTAGGAAAGCAATGCTGACAGAGCCTGAGAATTACTCTGCAAAAAATGTAACAGGTTGCCAGGGCATGGTGGCTCACGCCCGTAATCCCAGCACTTTGGGAGGCAGAGGTGGGCGGATCACCTGAGGTCAGGAGTTTGAGACCAGCCTGGACAACAAGGCAAAATCCTCTGTCTGCGAAAAATACAAAAATTAGTTGGGTGTGGTGTGTGCCTGTGGTCCTAGTTACTCTGGGAGGCTGAGGTTGGAGGATGGCTTGAGCCTAGAACTTGAGGCTGCAGTGAGCCATGATCATACCACTGCACTCCAGCCTGGGTGACAGAGTGAGACCTTGTTTCAAAAACAACAACAACAACAACAACAAAGAGATATAAGGGATCATGTAAATAAACTATGGTCCATATGTAACACGGAATATTTTGTAGGAGATTTTAAAAATGAGGTAGGTGTAGGGTTACTGGAATCTTTCACTTTTCTGTGTAAATACATATTTATGTTGTGAGTTTTTATCATCAAGCATGTATTATTATTTTATAATCAGAAGAAACAAAGAATAAAGTTGACTTTTTGAAAGGATCCTGTTGCTTAGTATTTGTATATATCTATGGTTCTGTCCAATGAGGGTTCAGTCATTCGAAATCAATCGTTTGGCTGCATTTGTCAAGTTCCAAAGCTACCTACAGGGTTAGATTAGGAATTACCGAACTCGGGGGCCTGAGTGGTCAGGTCATGCAAATGTCTTTCACAAGACCTCCTGCAGCGGGGAGCTGCCTGTTTCCTAGAAAACTCTCATGCGGTTTCAGGCCCTCACCCTTTAGGGAGGTTTGGGGCTACAGGGCAGCCGAGGCTTGAAGCCACCGCTGTGGTTCTTTGCGCCAGCTTAAAGCCAGCTGTGATGAGGGCCTGTTGCCTCCACAAATCATCATGGGCATCTGAGGGCTTCAGGGAGATTTGCTGCAGCGGAGGGCTGCTGAGGGCACCGGGCTCAGGGGCAACAGGAAAAAAAAAGGGCAAGTCACGCGACGTTCCCTGAAGCCTCCTCAGCATTTAGTCATTAAAAAAGGGGTAAGTAGAATGAGATCCTGTGTCTATCAGGGAATTTTAACAGCTAGAGAGACTGAGATAGCACTTTGTGGGTTAGGGTTAGGGTTATTTTAGGGTTGATATTAGGATTATTTGATTCTTCAGATTCCACCTCTGCACCGAGTTTTGCTACCAGAAAGCAAAATACCTGGATAAAATTTTCCCAGTTCTGTCTTCATCCCACTCCCAGCTTCACAGAGTAATGATATAATAATATTATTATTAACTTTTCCTCAACAGAAGCTCTAGTTGCTATACGTGCTAAGTATTTTTAAAACTGGTTGTAGCTATTCTTTCCTGCATCACTTAGGGGAGTATAGTGGTTTAAGTGCCAACTTCGTCCAAATCCACCAGGGAATAAATTTGAACGTCATCACTCTTAGGAATGTGTCCTTAGCCAAGTTAATTTCACCTCTCTGGGTTTCTGTTTTGACATCTGCAAAACTGAGTAAAGGATATGAATTTCACTTATTGTGAGAATTAACACATGTAGCTACTAATATTTTTATATACATATCTTTGTAATGGATTCCAGGAAAAACTGTATCTGCAGGTGAATTTTTAAACCTTATGTGTTAAGACCACAAAACTAATCTTTTTCTTTGTTGTTATTGTCATTAAACAGTGATATTAAATATCTAAACACTTTAAAATATTTGCTTCAGGAAGCTGAGATCATCTATTCTTTCTGCCTCTCTTAGTAGGGATAATCCTATGCATTGGTATTCTTAAAAGTCCCATCTTTTACTTTTATTGATACACACACACACATATACACACACTACATATGCACATATATATGGAATAATAATTATTTCTTCACTTCAAGAAAAGTTGGAAAGTGCAAAAATTATTTTTTTAAAAAAGGAGAGAAATAATAATTATCATAGCAGAAGTAACCACTGTTAAGATTTAGTCATGTTTTCTTCCAGCCATTAATACAGAGCCCATCAAAAGCAAGTGATTCTGGAACATCATGTTATGGATCCTGGCCCACAGAGTGTCTAGTCCTTCTCTTTCCTCTAGAGTGTCATGACTAGAGAGAGTGTCACGACTTGAGAGAGTGTCACCCTGAATTGCAGTAGGGGACCCTCCTTCCTCTGCAAAGATCTGTTAGCCAAGAGCTGTTAAGCAGAGCTGAATTTTAATACTAGATATAAGAATTCTTAATTCTTAGGAATAGGAGGAAGAAAAATTATGAAGGACAGAGAGGCAAGGAGTCCCAGGTAGCCACCAGAGTTGTCAGGAAAAAGACTTTCTACATGTTTTGGTTTAAGGAGTACCAGGCTCCTGTGTTGGCCAAAGTGGACCCCTTGCCAGTCAGACTCACTTTAGGGCCCAGAACTCAGCCACAGAGTACAGGGGTGACGTGGACAGGGAAGTGGATATCTGAGTTTGAGCTCAGGCTATTCCCTTTTCTATAAAGTGAATGATCACTGGGTCAGAATGATCTCCAAGTCCTATTCTTGCTCTTAAATCACAGCTTTGTCATTTTCACTGAGAGGCTATGGCTTCATCTTTAAAATTAATAGATGACACTAGGATAGGTGATACTTTAGGCCACGTACTTAGGGGTCAGTGAGTTTGACAACAGGCTTTTCCAGGGCATGGAGGTCACACTAGGTGGCACTAGAATATCTGACTGGGGTGGGGTGGAGCCGATTGGGAGAGGGGTGAAGACACAGTCAATGAGAGACTTGAGGAAACATTTAATCAATGTTCTTTTATTTCTAGGATAATTCTGCAATGAGTACTAGAAGGATGGTTCTCTTTCCATTATCTGTAGTGCTAGCATAGTGCCTGGCACAAAGTAAGCCCTCAATAGATACTTTTATTTATTTATGTATTTATTTATTTTGAGATGGAGTCTCACTCTGTCACCCAGGCTGGAATGCAGTGGCGCTATCTCGGCTCACTGCAACTTCCGCCTCCCTGGTTCGAGCAATTCTCCTGCCTCAGCCTCTTAAGTAGCTGGGATTACGGGCATACGCCACCATGCCCGGCTAATTTTTGTGTTTTTAGTAGAGATGGGGTTTCACCATGTTGGCCAGGCTGGTCTTGAACTCCTGACCTCAAGTGATCCGCCCGCCTTGGCCTCCCAAAGTGCTGGGATTACAAGCATGAGCCACCGCACACAGCCTAATAGATACTTTTAAATGAATGAATGAATGAGGCAGGCTGGAGTAGACGAGAGGACGCGTACATATCTAGGCAAAGAAAAGAGCAGAGGATGCTCCTTTGAGGCCCCCTGTGCCAAGGCACTGGGGGAGAAAGCTCAAAGCCCTGTGAGTGACTAGTGCAGTCCCCACCAGCTGGTGTGGACCCCCACCTCAGGAAGGACCCTCCCTCCCCACAGCCCCACTGTGGTAGAAATCCCAAGGCAACGTGGAGGCTCTTTAAAGTTGCCTTCAACTAAGCACCATTCTCTAGGTCCTGGTTCAAAGTTCACCTAAGAAACATTCTTTTATTTATTTATTTACTTATTTATTTATTGGAGACGGAGTCTCGCTCTGTCACCCAAGCTGGAGTGCAGTGGCGCGATCTCGGCTCACTGCAAGCTCCACCTCCCGGGTTCACGCCATTCTCCCGCCTCAGCCTCCCGAGTAGCTGGGACTACAGGCGCCCGCCACCACGCCCAGCTAATTTTTTGTATTTTTAGTAGAGATGGGGTTTCACCGTGTTAGCCAGGATGGTCTCGATCTCTGACCTTGTGATCCGCCCACCTCGGCCTCCCAAAGTGCTGGGATTACAGGCGTGAGCCACCGCACCTGGCCAGAAACATTCTTTAAAACAACTGAGATATTGCGCAGCTGAATGTCTAGTTACCTTGAAACTGGCTGAGTAAGGTCAAGTGTTCTCAAAGGCAGACGGCCATTCCTTCTTCACAGAAATGATGACCATTTCCTGCCCTTTGGTGTTTTCATCATTTACCCAAGAAAACCTCCGATTGTGACTGTGGAACCCACTGGAAAGTCTTCTCTCTAAGGCAGACCAGACTGGCTCAAACACCGCGTTTGTTTCAGTGCCACCGGGCTCTGCTGCTAAGAAAGCATCGCCCACAGCCATCTGGGGTGCACCAGCCCCCCTGCAATGCAGATTCTCAGCTTGGGTTTGTGTCTCTCTGAACCTGCGGCGGTGCAAGTGCAGTTACTTTAATTTCATAGAAAGTGTTTAAAGGGGATATACACTGTAGCATTTAGCATTCTGATTCAGGACTAATGGAGGTTATGCAGTGAGTTTTAGTTTTTTCCTACACAGTGGTGCTTACTACATACCAGGCCCTGTTCTGAGCACTTTGTAGTTACTTAAATTTCACAGAAAATGTTTAAATGGTATATACACTATAGCATTTAGAATTCTGATCCAGGACTAATGGAGGTTGGGCAGTGAGTTTTAGTTATACAGTGGTGCTTACTACATACCAGGCCCTGTTCTAAGCACTTTGCATTTATTAACTGACTTAATCTCAAGACAACCTTGGGCACTAATACTCTTAAATGCCTTGTTATTCCCCATCCCATTTTAAGAGATTATTATTATAACCCCATTTTACATGCCCAGTCTGTAGCATAGTGAAGCTAAATGGCCTGCCCCAAATTCCACAGCTGTTAAGGTGCAAAGCCGAGGAACTGATCTGAGGTGGAGAAAAGTGCACTTTGAAGCCTAAAGTCTTAAAAAGGAAACTAATGGCTCAGATAGATGCCAGATTTATTAATAAGTAGTAAATAATGGAAAATAAACTTGTCCTATTGAGCTGGCAGAGAGACAGTTGAACCCAGGCAGTCTGGTGGCAGAGATCACCCTCTTAGCTGCTACATTGCACTACCTCTTTACATATAAGGCAATGTGAAGGCTAAAACAAAGACATCCTGTGCAACTGATTGGGAACACACAAGCATCCTGAGTTTGGGGACTGTTATATAGTCCTTTGTACCCCCTCAGTGCTGAGCAACCATTGGATACTCTACAATACATATAGATTGATGATAATTTTCTCCAAATATTTATATATATGCATGCAAACAATGCTGGCTCCACTGGGCCTTAGCCACAGTGACACTTAATGGCACACAAAGCAATCATTACTAAAGACTCATAGGTATTACTAGAAGCCAATACATAATGTTTGAAGATTTTGTCATCATTGGCCATAAATTAATTTTTTATTCATAAACTAATTTTTTATTCATGTTTTCCTGATTACCAAAATAACATATATTCATCAGAAAAATTCAAATATACAAAAGATTACTAAAATATACAAACCATTCAAACATTAAAGTGAAACATGCATAACATTAGAACAATGATTCAAAACAAAGTAATTGAGAATCCCAACATTTGACAGGCTTTGAAAGGACTTAACTTTAAGAAGTCTCTCTCCCTTTTTAAGGGTTAATTTGCAGGGTTTTAAGGGTTAATTTGCAGGGGAGGGGAGGATCTCGCCTGATAGCCAGGTATATATAATAACTTTTTTATATTTATTTATTTATTTATTTATTTACTTCTTAGAGACGGAGTCTTGCTCTTTCACCTAGGCTGGAGTGCAATGGCGTGATCTCGGCTCACTGCAAGCTCCGCCTCCCGGGTTCATGCCATTCTCCTGCCTCAGCCTCCAGAGTAGCTGGGACTACAGGCGCCCACCACCACGCCCGGCTAATTTTTTGTATTTTTTAGTAGAGATGGGGTTTCACCATGTTAGCCAGGATGGTCTCGATCTCCTGACCTAGTGATCTGCCCTCCTTGGCTTCCCAAAGTGCTGGGATTACAGGTGTGAGCCACCACGCCCGGCCTATAATAACTTTTAAGTTATCTGTAAATGTCTCTTAGAAGAGAAATCTACTGACATCTCTGTATAAGAAGGTGAGAAAGTGCATTGTTTCTTAGGCGTGAACTAAATTTATATAAAGGCGCAGGTAAGGGAGTGGCTTTAATGTTAGGCCAGAGTGGGAACCAGCTGGACCTGAAAGTATACGTCTAATCCCAACTATCTGCATTTTGAGATGAAATATGAGGGTAGGTTTCCTGTTTTCAGGATCTTTTCTTTCTTCTCTAGTCATATTTTCTCCTCAAATCATGTCCCATGGAAGGATCCAGCCAGCTCAATAAAAGCTATCTGGTCCTGCGGTAACTGGCACAGTGGACGTAGCACTGGACGTCTCATCAAAGACGGTGGGAGCTGTCTGGCTTTACCACTTAGTAACTGGGGAGCAGCTTCAACTCATGGTATACCTCCACTTGCTCGTTCATCTATGAACCTAGTGCTACTGCCCTGTCTCTTTCACGGGGTCGTCAGGAGACTATGATGAAGTCAAGAATATGAGAAAGCTTTGTAACCTCTTCCTGCAATGCATGCAGGTTAGAGGGTGAGGTACTAATTCCTCACAGCTTGAATGTTTGCCTTGATTGGGAAGGATTGATCTGAGGTGGAGAAAAGTGCACTTTGAAGCCTAATGTCTTAAAAAGGAAACTAATGGCTCAGACAAATGCCAGATTTATTAATACGCCATAAATAATGGAAAATGAACCTGACTTACTGAGCCGGCAGAGGGAAATTTGGGTTTCAGATCCTCCCTACTCCATCTCTCCTTGAAAGACAGAAAGGAAAGAAGGAAGGAATAAAAGAAGGAAGGAAGGAAGAAAGGAAGGAAAGAATGAAGGATGGAAGGAAGGAATTGTACCATGAAGAATAGCATAATTTGAAAGGAGAACATAACTTGGGGACAAAGGCACTCAGTGAGAAAATATTTGTCCAATTTCTCTTGCTAGCCTGAGCTTCTCTAAGGTGGGACTAGATCTTACTCATCTTTGTAGGCCCTACTCCTTGTAAAGCATGTGTCACATCTTAGAAACTATTTAAGATGAACCATATGGCATTGCCATTTTTGTAGATAAAAAACAGCCTAACATTGGCAATGCCGTATCAGTCAACCTAATAAGTGTTAGCTAAAGATACAAGAGACCTAAGGGTCATATTCATTTAGCCACAGCCTTAACCCCTGTTCCCTCATAACACCTTCCTACCTCCAGCACCAGCTCAGAGAGGTGGGACTTCTCTTTCACTGCCTGTTAAGAGTCATGCCTCTCTTTGAAGGCTGCCCTTGGTGTTCCTCGAACCTGAAATTTTCTGAATGTTAAGCGTGTTCTGTATCAGTCTCTCTCTCTTACAGGCTCCATACTGCTAAAGAAAGGGCATCATTAAGACCCATATTTAAATTCCCATTTCATTTGATACACATCATAGGCTCCAGTAAACAAAATGGGTGTCCTACACTAGGATGTCAAACAGACTTTTTCTTTCCCTTTTTCCTCTTCCCCTTCCCTCCTTTCTCCCCCTTCCCTTCCTCTCTCATCTTCCTTCCTCTTTTTCTTTCTCCCTCCCTCCTTTCCTCTTTCCTCCCTTCCTTCCCTCCTTTCCCCTCCCCTCCCCTCCCTCCCTCCCTCGCTCCCTCCCTCCTTCCTTCCTTCCTTCTTTCTTTCCTTCCCTCCTTCCTTCCAAGACAGGGAAACATTTTTTCCTGTTCTGTGCATGGAGCCTGAGAGAAACCACAGGCTTTTAGGCTGGAGAGGAGACACAGCTGGATGAATTGGGCTGTGCATCCTCCCTACAGCTCTCATGATGCTAAGCACTGGACAGAGGCCATGTGGATTGGGATGTATGTGAATCTAGTGGATTTCAAGTTGAGGTCATGAATTTCCATTTCTCCTTCCATATATTTGTTTCTTTTGTTTATTTGTTGTCTGAAAAATGAGGTTTGGCAGTGTTGAGCTCTGTGATAAAATTGCATAGCATTCATTCTGTAAACAGCCATCTTTGCATCATATCATGTCATTGACATGAAGAGTAGTATTGCAAACACTGTTTTTTTATTACAATAACTCTATACAGAAGCCTTGAAAGGCATGATTTTGTAAAATATATCTGGCTATTAGCTTCTCTTTGCTACAAAACAAGCAACAGGAGAGAAAGGGGCCTGGTGGAGGCAGAGTGACAACCGCGTGGACACACTGGAAATCAGGCTCAGTCCAAGGACAGGCATTTTTGTCTCCTTTGTTCCCTGCTGCATCCTAGGGCCTAGAGCAGAGCTGGGAATGAAGTATGATGAGAGAACAGGTTAAAGCTGACAGAATGACTATGACACTTGGATCTCTTGCATCTGTATCTAGAACTGATAAGATACATATTAGGTAGATTGAGAAATAGCTGTTGAAAGGATGAAGAGTCACTGCAATTCAACAATTAAGTAGATGTTCTCATAATTCCGTAACTAATCAGCTCACGAGGCATATATCCCCTCCAAGACTGTTTCCTCATTTCTGAAACAGGGATTATTGTGCCTGTTTGGCAGGATTATTGAGAGGATTAGATGAAAAGTGATGTAAATGTTAGTGCCTTTTCTTTCCATGCTCTTCTAGTTTCCTTAAAATAATCTGTGTGTATGTGAGAGTGTGTGTGTGAGTGTGTGTGTGTATGCACATGTGTGCCTGTGTGTGTGTGTGTGTGTGTGTGTGTGTGTGTGTGTGAATGTGTTTGTCTGTAGAGGGTGAGGGAGGCTAGAAGAAACAAATTGTTTGGGTCCTGTTGTTCAGGGTTTCTCAACCTGCCCACGATGCCACTTTAGGCTGGATAATTCTTGGTCGTGAAGGGCTGTCCTAAGCAGTAGAAGAATCCCTGCCTTTCACCCACTAGATGCCATTTACATCCCCAGTTGTGACAACCAAACATGTCTCTAGATATTGCCAAATGTTCCCTGGGAGACAAAATTGTTCCCTGTTAAGAACAACTGCTGTTAGCTGTAATCATCCATTGAGTAATTAAATATTTCACTGATAAACAAGTTGATCAGGTACTATGAAGACATCGCCTGTGGCTATATTATGTTTAAATGTATATAAAGTGAGGGCTTATAGAGGGAAAAAAAGCTGATATCAAATTATACAGTCAACTCATAATGATCCATGAAGCAAGTAATGATGTAGATAATAAAAGAAGTTATTTCAGGCACACAATTTCCCTGCATTAGATTGCTTTTCTAATTGTGGTTGGTTTTGGATAAAAATATTAATAGTAATCAATTTATTGAACACCCTCTGACAGATGACAGGGAAAGATGGCAAGTGTGCATGGAGAGAAGTCATTTGGGTTTCTTAAATTTTTATGGACACTCATAAAGTAGGTGCATTAACCACAGGTGATCAAACTGCATTGTCCATTAGCAAGCTTAAAAAGTAATAGCAACATTCATACTTACAAGTGAATTAATGACTTTAGTCCCCGGAAAGTATGTCTTGAAATTGACTTGATGTTGTTGTTTTCTATGAATCTGCAATAAGTTATAATATTTTTTGTCAAACAGTTACAGGAACTTGAGAGTACTTGTCCTGAATCATCATGTTTTAAAAAAGCTTTTTTACTTACAAATACTCTAGATGTGGAAGACCAATAAAAGCATCATCACTGATCACATCAAAGGAGTTCGATGTGAATAACCTGCCCAGAAAAAGTACACAATGAAAATGGTGAAACTGACAGATTGTCAATCTTGGCTGCTTTTATCTCTCAGAAAAATGAGTGGGAGTTGTATACAGAAAAATGTCTGCATGGCTGTCTGCTACAGTGTTAGTTATGCAGATAATCTATGCAGCATTTTTTTACTCCTAATCATCTCCTCATCAAAGGCTCATCAAGGGGTGCCTGGTGCCCGATTCCTCACAATGACTGCCACATACCCTGGGTGACATTTTGAGATACAATCAGAGCAGCTATGATAGCCAAAGCAGCCAAAGCAACATTTTACATATTTTCATGACAAAGGCACTAACAATCTTTTCTGCTTGTTCTAGAAACCTCTGGAGTGTTCTAACTGGCAAAAACAATGGTACTTTGCGGTTTTGAGCCTGGGAAACCTAAAAAAAAGTAAGCTGCATGCCTGGTTGTGCTGTGACATCTCGTAACAGACAGGCAGTTGACACTGGCTCCATGAACAACAGCCAACCTCCTCCTTTGCACACAGACTGAAAATGGGAAACATGAGGTTTGGGAAGAGTCTTAGACCCATTTTATTACCAAATAGTTGAAGCTTTTACTTGGACAAATATATTTGCAATTTCAAAATCCACAAGGATTTGGTTTAGAAATTACTGATGAAAAAGAACATCAATCAGCCATCCCACACCCTGTTGAACTCCTTGGAGAACTGAATGAGAGGCTTAAAAGAGGTAGTTTTAGGCCAAACAGTACAAGAATATATTATATTATGTCATAATGTAATAATAATAATAGTAATTCTGTTAGTAAAGCTTATCACTTTTACTTCTGAAGCCAGGGATTAAATATAAGTACCACTAACTAGCTTAGTGAATTCACCGCTGAACCTGTGAACTACAGGAATTAAAACTAGGAGATCTCACTTTGTGAACATTTATGAGTAATTTATTTGTCATCTGGGATTGCTTCAAATAATCAGAGGAGGGGGACAACAAGGGGTTAGAGAAGAATTGGCATGAGTTGATGATTTTTGAAGCTGAAAGATGGATACATAAGAGTGAATTTTACTATTTTGTCTACATTTATATATACTTAAAATTTTTCATAAAAATGTGGAGAATGGGGGGTAGGAATGAACCAACCAAACAAAATGAGATGATTTCTTGCATTTCTTCCTAAACTATCAATCCTAGAGTGGTGTTGGATTGTCTTCTAATCCCTCATGCCTCTAATGTCATGGATTTGTACCCAAGTAATTCACGAGGCTCTGAAAAGCCAGTACTAATGAACAGTGACACATGTTAGAATTCCATGTTACTAAAACAAATTCAAAGCTGTATGATTTCCATCACAGCTTTGGCAATTGTGTCTCTTCTCACTTCATGGCTCTGGAAAACAAGAAGACTGCTCAGCTTGACTCCAAGGTAAGCTAACACCCAAAGGCTTCCTTAGGTTCCAGACTTTCATTGCATTCAGTATAGGCAGCATCAGCAGTGGAGAGAATGGAATAAGGAAGAAATTGGTACACACAAATATTATACCTCCCACACTCACTGATTTGAAAAATGGCCCAAGGACCAGGGACTTCTCATATTCCAAGTTGCCAGAAGAAATAGTTTCCATTGCTACTTCCCTTTATGTTAAATCAGATGCAGGACATAGTGGGAAATGAATATTAGTGGGCAGAACTTGCCCATGCACGTCACGGGAAGAAAAGAGAGGATTTCTGCTAGATTTTTTGTCTGCTTGTTCATTTCTTATCCCTAGCACCTGTGATACAGCGCCTGTCCTCTAGTGGACACTGAATAAATATTTGTTGGACAAAGAGGAATTCACCTTACACTAAATTCTGATCATTACGAGACTACTGGATTAAATATTTCTTACAGCAGGAATTTGCCCTTATTTGTTTTGGTGTCCCCAGCCCCGGGCACAGTTCCTGGCTGAATAATGTTTGTTGAACTACATTTCAAGGACTAAAACCTCTGGTGAGAACTACAAATGCATATGCAAAACTAAGGATGAATATTCAAGGAAAGGAGCCAAAACACAATAAAGTACATCCTATATGACTGTACTTATATAAAGTACAAAAACTAATCTATGCTGCTAGAATCAGGAGAGTGGTTACCCTTGGAGGCAAGGAGTAATTGGAAGAGAACACAAGGGGCATCTTTTGGGGTAATGATAATATTGAGTTTCTTGACCTGGGTGCTGGTTACAAGGGTATTCACTTTGTAAAAAGTCATTGAGATGTACATTTATAACGTGCACTTTTTCTTTATGTATATTATACTTCAATTTAAAAGTTTCTTATAAAAGCTAAAAAAACACCCTCTGGCTAAGATAATAATGAATACCATAATCTCTCAATGCTAAATTCAATTGTAGTTTCTATGGAAAAAGATGTATAAAATTATACATACATTCTAAAGATAGTTGAGTGGGCTATCCATTTTATTATCCTACGTATACTTAAAAAGACTCCTACATCATATTCTATACAGAGGATGAAACTCTGACCCTTAATTTGTATGGATTCCTCTAAATATGTTTGATTTCATTATTATAATTTGTTATTGAACCAGATATGTTAAAGTATTCCACAGTCTCTGTTAAGGGAAACCGTGCCCAACCCACCCCACCTACACAAAAAACAGAACTGGGGCAGACCAGGGTGGCCGTGTTCTACACTGCACAACCTCTGTCCCTTTCCACAGAGTAGCCAGTCTCTAAATCAACCAGCATCCCATGGCCCAAGTAGCCTGGTTTAAAAAGGTGAGTTGGGCTAAGACGACACCCTTCTTGGGGATCTGGAATTGGCAGACTGAGAAATGGAGCCAGCCGGTAGAGAAGCTAAAGGATAAAGGATGCCTTAGGGTTGAATTGGATCCATGGTAGGTAAAATTACGTGCAAAGAATGCTTAGGAGAGTGTAGAATTGTGGTGGAAAACCCACCAAGATAAGTTTTTTGAAGACTGGTGTGGGAGAGATACCTAGATCTGTGTTGAAACCTGAGCCAATGCTTCTGAATCCTGCTTGCTCTTGGAATCACCCAGACAGCTTTAAAAATACTGATACTTGGTTCCCACTCCTGGAGATTCTGGTTAAATTCTAAACGTGGGGTGTCACCTGGGTTACTAAAAAGCTCCCTAGGAGACTCATATGCAGCCAGGGTTGCACATGGTAAGCTTGCCAAGTCAGTCAAAACACTGTCCCCTTTACCTGTGGTGACCAAGGGGTCTCTGCTCCTTGCAGCAAGTCTGCCTGGAGCCGTTGGTGTGGGGAGTGGAGGAGCTGTGGACTTTCTTGTCCCTATAACTACGTGTAGCCTAGAGTCTGCAATAATATGAGTTGGAAGTGACAACTATCCTCACAACAGCAGCAGCATCATGGAGGGGTTTATGAAACCAATGTACCATCCAAATGACCTCGTTACTCTGAGCCACAGATCAGAGATCTGGACCCTGTAGGCCTGCCAAGCAGCCAGCCCGTGGGTTTGTGCAGAGGTTGTGCGGAATTTGCCCTCTGCCCCAGTTCCATGGGAACACTTGAGGTTTCTCCTCTTTTTTTAGGGAAGCATTTTCCTAAGAAGCCAGGCATTTTCCCCTAGAATTTTGGTGGAGGTGGACACAGGGGTGTGCCTGATCTGTCTACACCCTCCCCAAAGGGCTGTGCACTTATTAATTCAGTAAGAAAAGGGGCTGTGGGAGGAGAGGGGAGGCTTTTTTCTTCTGCAACCACGGGAGTATGTTTCCTTACCAAGAGGGAGATTTAGAAAAATCATTTATATGAACTATGAATTCCAGGCAGGTACTAGCTTATTCTTTGAATAATGATCTTTGGCTTCATAATAGCCTACATGTCATAGACTCCTGCCTGGATTTTCTTATTTGGTCTTTAGACAATTCTGTGAAAGTAGTAAAGCAGGTAAGATCTATTTGACAGAAGAGGAAACTGAGGCCCAGAAGGCTACCAAACACTTTCCTTGAGGTCGCAAGGCCCAAGACCCCTGGTTCAGTACCCTTTTCCACACACTGGGTGGCCTCTCAGCACAGGTCCCAGGTCACATAATGGCATAATAACCACGTTCTGGCGAGCAGCCATAATAACACCACTCAGCTCATACGGATTTAAGAAATGTAATTAAACAATAATGCCTTTCTTAGAGGAATTAATTAGAGTAAGCAGTCTTAAAATCACATCCAGATAATATCAATCTGTGTTTTTCAAGTAGAAAGTTTGAAAATTTTGAACACGCTTTGTGAGGTTTTTCCAGTTTTTTTTTTTTTGTTTCTTTTTTTGACAAAGTCTCGCTCTGTCACACAGGCTGGAGTGCAGTGGCGCGATCTTGGCTTACTGCAACCTCCGCCTCCCTGGCTCCAGCAATCCTCCCACCTCAACTTCCCAAGTAGCTGGGACCACGGGAGCGCAACACCAAGCCTGGCTAATTTTTGTATTTTTTTTTTTATAGAGATGGAGTTTCACCATGCTGCCCAGGCTGGTCTTGAACTCCTGGACTCAAGTGGTCCAACCGCCTCGGCCTCCCAAAGTGCTGAGATTACAGGCATGAGCCACCGTACCCAGCCTTGAATACACTTTGGTGAATTCTGTTTATAAATAATATATGCTCATTGTGGAAATTCTGGAAAACACAAAAGCTTAAAGAAGAAAATGAAGTGCACCATAATCATACTACCCAAAGACACTGATATGCATAAGCATAATGCATATATGATATATACACATATGTATTTATAAAATTGATGTAATATTATATCATTGTGTATCCTTCTTTTCATTTGCTTATTATATCATGAACAATTTCTCATGACAATCAATTTTTCAAAAATATAGTTTCCATAGATGAGTAAGTTTTGTATTATGGATATATCATGATGTAACTTTTTAAATTATCGATTCCAATGTTTACTATTATAAACATGATTATAACCATCCTTATATATAAATATTTTTCCTATCTCTACTTATTTCCTTATGATAGACTTAGGATAGATTTCTAAAAGTACCATTATTAGATTATAGAAGGTTTTTAAATCTCTAGTTCTTTACTGCTGACTTGTACCAAATTACATGTCCAACTCTGAGTAAGGAAATGCCTATCTGACCATATCCTCACCAACATTTAAAATTATCATTTTTATTTCTCTATGAAATCATGTCCTTTGACCCCTTTTGTTGCTTTCTAAGCACTTTTTATTTATTAAGGATATTACTTCATCTTTTCCTATTTCTTTTGATGCTAAAAGTTTTTTCCTACTGATTACCAATTTGCCTTTTCATTAATGATTTTTAACATATAGAAGTTTAAATTTGTATTTAACAAAATACATCAACTCCTATTATGTATTATTTCTTTGCGTTTAATCTTTTTTTTTTTTTTTTGAAACAAAGTTTCACTCTTGTTGCCCAGGCTGGAGTGCCATGGCACGATCTCGGCTCACCACCACCTCCGCCTCCCGGGTTCAAGAGATTCTCCTGCCTCAGCCTTCTGAGTAGCCGGGATTACAGGCATGTGCCACTGTGCCGGCTAATTTTTGTATTTTTAGTAGACACGGGGTTTCACCATGTTGGTCAGGCTGGTCTCGAACTCCCGACCTCACGTGATCCACCCTCCTCGGCCTCCCAAGTGCTGGGATTACAGGCATGAGCCAGCGCGCCTGGCCTGCCTTTAATCCTTTTTTAAAAAAATTATAAATTTAGGGGGTGCAAGTGTAGTTTTGTTACATGGATATATTGTGTAGTGGTGAAGTCTGGGCTTTTGGTGTAACCGTCACCCGAATAGTGTGCAATGCACTCGTTAAGTATTGCATCATCCCTCCCTTCCTCCTACACCCCCACCCTTCTCAGTCTCCCATGTCTATCATTCCACACTTTATGTCCATGAGTACATATTATTTAGCCCCCACTTATAAGTGAAAACATGCGGTATTTGACTTTCTGAGTTATTTTACTCAAGATAATGGCCTCCAACCCATCCATGTTGCTGCAAAAGACATGATTTCATTCTTTAAATATCCTTTCCTGTCTTGAGATCAAGGAAATATTGCCTACATCTTCCCCTTAACATTTTCTTTTTAATATTTAACTCTTCAATACATTTGGGACTTACTTTTATGTATGATGTGAGGTAAGACACAGCCTTGATATTTTCTAAATATTTACCCAAATTTACCCAAGGCTTTCTGTTGAATAATTAACAGAATTAACAGAATCTCCCCTATTTGAGTATGTGATATCCTTCAAATGTCTGGCACATTTTTTTTTGGCATTTTCCAAGGATCAAATCTTCGATTTATTTTTTTATTCCCACTGTTTTCTAATTTATTATTTTATCTTTTCTTTATTGCTTTTCTCCTGATTTCCTTAGGATACTTATTAAGTTTAGTGCTCAATAATATACTTTTATTCTTTCTGATTAAAAAATGAAAGTATTTAGAAATGGAACTTTACTTTGTGTAATGCATCCAGTAAGTTTTGCTCTGTACTCATCTTTTAAAATTGCGTATTTGATTTCAATGGGAATTTAGAATAATATTCTTAAAATTGCCTGTAATTGTTTTTTTTAAAAAAAAGCTTTCATAATTTCATTATTAATATTGCTCTGGGATCAGAGGATGTGACCTGTAAAATGCTAACATTAAGCTCTAATTCCTCCAGATTCTGCTGTCTGTAGGGACGGGTCATGACTAAGTGACACTTTCACACCAAGGTCATAAAGCTATTAGGGGGTTCCTGGTTGAACGGAGAGGTAGGACACACAGAATTTACTTCAAAAGGAACGGAAAAGTAGGCAACAGGGTTAACATGGAGCTCAGAGTTCAGAGGGAACCAGGGCCAGCAACAGAGAAGTAAATGAAGAAGCAGAGGATCTAAGAATGAGGATATAGCTACAAGGGGTCAAGGGTAAGGCTGCCCAAATACCGGGTGAGAGGCCAGAGACGGGAATGCATAAGAGCGAAAGGACTGGGCAGGCTCATGTGTTGGTGCTAAGTCTGGTGGGCCACTGAGGTGCTTTCCTGCCCTGGGGCCTCGCCTCTTCAGAGGCCAGGGAAGCAGCACACTGAAGAGTGAATCAGGAAGCCTAATATAAATTTGACCATACCTTCTGTGTCCTAGAGCATACCACTTTTCTCTATGTTGTAAAGCGAGGAGACTAGACTAGATCATTTGTGAGGTCTTTTGTAGCTCTAAAGATGTGTGAGTCTATGCTTATAGCACTGTAGCCTTCATTCATGAAAGAGTAGGCATGTGGAATCTGGGGAGCGGGGAGGCTGGTCTGCAGATGGCTGAATGGTTGGGGGAAGGGTGACTCCTGCTAAGAAAACTTCCCATTGTCTCAAACTAGACTGCTCATTTGGTCCCGTGCCAGGCACCCTGGCTCTAATGACATGTACTTCTTCAGACTCTCTCCAGTCACCTATAATATCTTGATTGCCATTAGAATTGTATCTGGCCCATGAGTGGCCTACATCCCATGTTTCAGCCTAGAGCAGATTTTCCTGGCTATGGAGGGGAGATGATCTAGGAGGCTCTTCCAGATGATTCCCAACTCCACAAAAACCACTCTGATTAAGAAGGGAAAAGTGAGTAGCCAGTGCCTGGTTGTCACTTGGAGAATGAATTGATTGGATTCAGAATAGAGAATCAGGTTTCTAAGCTTGTAACTGCCAGTTATTATTGTATGTTTACACATCAAGTAGGTAAATCTGTTTCATCATCTGTTAAAATAGGATTGAGGATGCAAAAAGACTTCCTGGATGATTTTAAGAATTATGTGAGATAATGTGTATGAGCATGTCTCCAATGCTTCTGCCAAGGAATAGCTAAGTAAAGAGCACAGACATCAAATGTCAGAGCTGGAAGAGCTCTTACTTAGATCTAGGAAAAGAACACGTGTTTAACTGCTAAGGAAACTCAGGTCCCGTGAGGATGTCACCTGCCCCAAGAAGACTTTGATGGACATCTAGGATATTAGGTAGGACACGGACAGTGTGTACAAACATGAGTGTGCACACTCCCAAGTGAACATGGGTTTATTTGCATATGTATATGTATATGTAAATGAAAGAGCACAGGATGCACAGGTTATAGCTGTTGGAAGATATGGAGGGACAGCTGGAGGGGCTTGCCAAATTGCTTAGAGCTGGCTTTGCTTAAATGATCCAAACCCTTTGGTTTTTACTAACACTCTCCTTTATCCAAAAGAATAGGGCTGGTTAAATGATAATTAATAATAGGCTGATGATTCACTTTAGTTAAATGCACACATTATAAGTGCATGTGCCATGTGAATAATTCACATTTGAATATTTAAAAATATGCTCCTAACACAGAAAAGCATTAAAATTGGAAGCATCACACACAAGTACATTATTTGACAGTTCTTTTTGACTCTCAACCTTGAAAATTCAGCTGATCCTTAATTAGATTACCAACTCTTCAACCTGGATTGATTGGAATAACCTTAATTTGGTTCCACACTAATCTGAGGGTTGGGGGTACTCCAGAGAGATACGTAGTCCAACTCCTCTTTTTACAGATGAGGAGACTGAGGCTGGCAGAGGTTAAGTGACTTAACCAAGGTCACATCTTTTGTCAGTGGTGGGGCTAGGATTTAGGATGTGGATTTCAGATTTGCAGGGATGTCCTTGACATGCACACTAGCAAACATTCGAGCATGGACCCTCTCCTTTTG
This sequence comes from Homo sapiens, assembly GCF_000001405.40. Classification (NCBI taxonomy): domain Eukaryota; kingdom Metazoa; phylum Chordata; class Mammalia; order Primates; family Hominidae; genus Homo; species Homo sapiens. The sequence goes on along the minus strand of NC_000010.11, from coordinate 93,768,662 downwards.
GAGTGGTAACCCCCTTTTGGTAATCCTCAATCCTCCTGGGATTATCTCTCATCCCAGAGCAGTGGAAACTCTTCCTTTCTAGGAATTGGCACAGCTAGTCAGCAGCCCACCCTCCCCATGTGTTTATAAAATCACCCTGGATCTCCCCAGTCCTGGAACATCAAGGAGAAGGGTCTACTCCATGCCAGGCCTCATCTTCAACAGCTTGACATCTGATTTTAATCCTCAAATGAATACTAAGATGTAGGTTTTATATTCTCCACGTAAGAGATAAAGAAAACCGAGGTGAGGGAGGTGAAGTGATTTGAAGCTTGTAAGTGGCAGAGCTGGGATTCCAGGCTCAGGCTTCCTCTCTCCCTCCCCGACTTCCCCAGGACTGGTGAGTGGCCATGAGGAAGCCAGCTCCCTCTTTTTAGTATCAGCTCTGCCTAGTATCTGCTGCAAACCTGCAACAGTCTTGCCCAGAATTTCCCAGAGTGTATTCCCTGGAACGCACGATCTTCAAAGGGTTGAGAGGTTTATGTACACAAAAACTGGCAGATACATTTAGGAAAAGTGGGTTAAAGAAGTTAATCAGGGTTCTTAACTGTGCCTTTTCTATCCTTAAGTAAATTGAGACTCTTCAAAATGGAATTAAATATACAGTTTCCTGGTCTCATTGACAATGCGACTCTTTTATCATTGAGCTTCCTACAAAATGAATATTCCATGGAACATACCCAGGGAAATGCTTGTTTAGCCATTTAGAAAATAGCTGTGATGAAATCTGCTCCAAATAAAAACAGTGACAGTGTATATTTACACACTCAGAAGCCTTTTCCTGTTGAATGAGCTGCAAGAAGTCATCTCCTTCCTCCCAAAGATGGAGATCTACTGGGAGGTCCCTAAAGAAGGGGTGTGTGCTAAATTGCTTGACCAGGTAGAGAGCCTACTGAGGAGCCTGACTCCCAGAGGTCACATCAACGAATCCACACTAACAAAATGGTCTTGAGTTGCTCCTTATATGGAGACAGACCGTTTAATGTATCCACTAGGATGAGATTCTTTCCACCTGCGTATCCTTTGCTATCCAACCTCTCTAGAATGAGGTGGGGTACAAATAGTTAAGCTAAAAATAAGATGAATTATCACATGCATATATTTCCAAAGTACTGTATGTTCCATAGAACCAATATTCTATGGGATGTTAAGAAAAGTGAAACAATTTTGAATAATTTCAGAGATGTTTCTATGCCAAGGTAACTTCATTGTAAATAACCAAGCAGGGATAGAACGTGCAGTTTCCCAAATTTATTTGAGCACAGAACTCTTCTTTCAGGTCAACTGCTCCACAGGACACAAGTTTAGACAACAGTAGTCTAAGGTGTAACTTTAAAGTAAATAAGGCCTTTTTCTTTTGCTTTTTTCTTTTCTTTCTCTCTATTTTTGTTTAAGCAAGGAGATCAGAGCTTACACATATAAATGAGAGTTGCAACCTAGGGAAACTAGCTGCTCTTGCCAGCAATGCGGCCACTCTTTCAAAGGGCTTTTGAAACTCCTTTCAGTCATTGTCTCCAGGAATTAGGGCACATTCTCCTGAAAACTCTTGTTAATGGCAAAGGTTGACCCTTTGAGAGGGGATTTGATTTTGGGAACAAAACTATGCAAAGTGAAGCATGATGATTCATGTTCAGGAGGAAGTAGACAGAAGTGGTTAAAAGTGAGGACATGGGTTTAAACTCCAACTCTGCTACTTAATAGGGGCGTGACATTGAGGAGGTTATCTTTTAGGACTCAGCGCTTCATTTGCAAAATGGAGATAATTATATCTACCTCAAAAGGTTACCATGATGATGACATTAAAAATGAGATCTATAGGCCGGGCGTGGTGGCTCACGCCTGTAATCCCAGCACTTCGGGAGGCCGAGGCGGGAGGATCACGAGGTCAGTAAATCGAGACCATCCTGGCTAACACGGTGAAACCCCGTCTCTACTAAAAAAATACAAAAAAATTAGCCGGGCGTGGTGGCGGGCGCCTGTAGTCCCAGCTACTCGGGAGGCTGAGGCAGGAGAATGGCGTGAACCCGGGAGGCGGAGCTTGCAGTGAGCCGAGATCGCGCCACTGCACTCCAGCCTGGGGGACAGAGCGAGACTCCGTCTCAAAAAAAAAAGAGATCTATAAAATGCTTAGCACCAAGCAATACAAAAATAACTAATGTCTCTAATAAAACCTTGCCTGGTTTTATTGCGTGGCTTGTAAACTGGCAATGAAGACAATTCTCAAAGGAGGGTCCAGAAATCTTTAGCCATGGAAGCACAGTTGGGCAAAATCTATGGCCCTCTGTGAAGTCAAGAGTTATTTGTATGTATACATTCTAGTTTGTATTTTTAAAGATTTATTGCCTTTTGATCACATTTTACACATGCAAGCACCTGCCATCTTGCTATATAAAAATGGGCCTAACAATTTTTTTCCAATCCTTGCTCCATGAGAGGGATACTGAAACATCATTTTATCATCAACCACCACAGGGAGAGCCTGGTAAGGTCCCTTTGGACCTGTTTGGGAGATTGGGAACTACAATTATTGTATTAATAACCTTATAACAGCCAGTTTCATATTATGAGTTTCTTTCAATGAACAACCTAATGTATTGGTTTGTTAGAACTGATTCAATAATCTTTGTCCATTTCTTTTTTTTTTTTTTTTTTTTGAGACGGAGGCTTACTCTGTCGCCCAGGCTGGAGTGCAGTGGCGCGATCTCGGCTCACTGCAAGCTCCGCCTCCTGGGTTCACGCCATTCTCCTGCCTCAGCCTCCCGAGTAGCTGGGACTACAGGCGCCCGCCACCACGCATGGCTAATTTTGTGTATTTTTAGTAGAGACGGGGTTTCACCGTATTAGCCAGGATGTTCTCCATCTCCTGACCTCGTGATCTACCCTCCTCGGCCTCCCAAAGTGCTGGGATTACAGGCGTGAGCCACCGCGCCAAGCCATCGTTGTCCATTTCTTTAACCATGCCATTTCTATATTATATTAACGTAACTGTTTGTAGAATACAACAGAATTTTAAGATAGGAGGAGACCTTAGATGTAATTGAATGCAAGGGTCTCAAAATGCCAACTTATATTTGTTTGGTCTTTATCCTGTTTAAAAATCTACTTCCAGAATTCCACCTTCCCCTAAAAATGAGGAAGATAGGGCTCCATGTGCATGTACCACAATCCCATCAGCAATAGTCAGTTGGAGCAGAGGATTTTTAGGTAAGACATGTCTTCTCTGGTTTACCTCAGTCACCACTACTCCTTATTGTCTTATACTCAACTGCTTCCTTCATTGGTCTTACCGCCCCAAACCCCACTAGCATTTGAGTTTCAGAACCACAGTTTAATCTACCTCTAATATTTTATGCAATAAAAGCTGAGGTCCAGTGATATTTTGTGACCTACCCAAACTATTAGGTAGTTTTGTGACCTACCCAAACTATTGGATCACGCAGCCCAATAGTGGCCAAACTGAGTTTCAAACCCATGTTTCCTGATTTCTAGTTTAGGCCTCTTTCTATGCTACCATAGAACCACTCATCTGAAGACTGCCAATATTAATTATTTAAACAAAATCTGGCATGTTTTACAAAACGTGGTGCCAGTCATTTTATTCATGAGGAAGAAAGGAGAGGGTTATGACTTTTTTTTGAAAGGTAAATAGTTCATGTTTCCTGTAAGAAGTATTTAAAGAAAAGATTTCTCAGCAAGTTCTGCTGGGGAACTGTGTGTAGAACCACAAAATGTTTAAAGCTGAGATTATCGGCAAACCCAGATTATACAATCAGACACTAATCTGATGTTATGGTAGTTCCAATTAAAGTGATTTTCAGATACTGTAATAAAGCTAATGTGTATTGAGTTACAGGAACCTTGCAAAGCATTTTTCATGCATTGTTTTACTTAATCCTTACTGTAATTCTGTGCAATAGGTACTACGGTTCTTCCTCATTTTGTAGATATAGATATCAAGACTTGATTAAGCTTGCCCCAAATCATACAACTAGGAAGAAGCAGAGTGGGGATTTGAACCCATGCTTATCTGCCCACAAGTCTGTGTTGTCTGCCTCATTGCCAGCTCACCAGGGTCAGCTGTTTTGATATTACAGCTGATGCTGTAAAGCCCTTGCAGACATTCTGTAGCCCGTATTAGCCACAGGATCAACAACCAGCAAGCATCACCATCATCACTAATCAACTGAATCTCATTTTGAACAAAATGAGAATGCTTATCAAGACTACCTTATAATACATTTAAGGAGGCCAGGCACATACCCATAATCCCAGCACTTTGGAAGGGTGAGGTGGGAGGATTGTTTGAGGCCAGGAGTTCGAGACCAGCGTGGGCAACATAGCAAGACCTCATCTCTACTTACATAAAAATAATTTTTTAAATGAAACTAATGCATTCAAATACAGGCAAAGTATAATTTACCATATCAAGAATCACTACCAGCTTGGAGCTGCCATATCAGGGTGAAAAGTGACAGCGTGTCACTCATCTTTGTGTCCTTCACAAAGCCCAACATTGTACCTGCTACCCAGTAGAGCCTCAAAACATGTCTGCTAAAATGGGAGGCTTTTGTTTTCATTTTGTTGCTGCTTGCAACTATACAATAAATAAATACTTATTTTGGCTAAGCAGTACTTAAATCAAAAAGGAAATTATCTTTGTGTTATTGATTTTTCTTTTCATATTAATAATGCTTAACTAACATTTCCCTCTGGATGTCCGGTCAGGCTGGATAAAGGAGCATCTTACCCTTCCCAGGACAGACTAGTCGGCCTCTGCAGTCTGACTAAAAACCAAGGAGACCAAATGTGAAGTCAGCGTGGGACACAAGAGATTCGAGCGGTGGGTCTAAGGAAAGGCTTAGATGCTTTGCCTTTGAAATCTGGTATGCTGGAAATCTCTGCTGAGGAAGTTTGAATTCACAACTTCATGAGCAAATATCTCCTCGAGTTTTTTTAGTTCGGCTCACTTCCCAGACCTCCACACTATTAGTCCACGTGAATTCAGATAGGGTGCACCAAACATCAGAAAGAGTGTGAACATGACCAGCATTATCTGCTGAGAGTAACACAGGAGTCTTCAGCACAAAATCGATGGAAACATAAACTGGATTCAACAAATACATGGGAAAACATGTCTGGGTTTTTCTCTGGGACCACAGTTTATTGGTGATCCTCCATGAAAGACACAAGGCAGATACAAGCACCATAACTCTAGCAAATGGCACACAGTGCCAGACATCAGTAAAGTCTAGAGAATTTGAGAATCAACAGAGGTCATAGAATGAGATCCTGCAGAACTTGTTTGGGCACGTGTGTGTGTGTGTGTCTGTGTGTGTGTGTGTGTCTGTGTGTGTAGAGTCAATGATGTGAGTGATAACCTTGGACAAATAGAAAGGGCCAAACACTATGGATGCCAGCTCAGGTGTCTGGACTTTCTCTGTTTCTAGGGAGTCATGAAAGCACGGAGAGCTGTGTCTCAGGAAAGGCAGCGCTAATGGAGATGGGTCAGATGGGAACTGAAAGCAGACAGTGAGGCGTGGAGGCTCCTGCCACAGCCTGTGAAACAGTGAATGAAATGCAGCCTCAGTGAAAGCAGTGGTGCTGTGGTGAAGAGGAGGAGGCAGATTCTCATGCTGTCGGACAGGATGCTTGTCCAGGTGGAAGTGGAGAGTGAAAGAGAGGGGTCAGGTAACTCTGAAGTTTCTTGCCTGAATAACTGAAAGGATGAAATACACTTTCAGAGAAAACAATTGTGGTGAGTGCTAGTTTGTGCAGTTACGAGAATTAATTCACTTCAAGTAACAAACCTGTACATGGACCCTCGAATCTAAAATAAAATTTAAAATTATTTTTAAGAAAGTAAAAACAAAAAAGAAGTAATTAATTAAAAAGTTAAAGATTAGATCTATGGATCATTGGGCAAACTGTAGACAAAACAGCCTAGATGACTGAAATTTTTGCTTTTTGGTCCATCATGGGGGCATCAGCTGGATACAAACCAAAACGTGCTCACCTATAACCAGCTAATAATTCCTCCAAAAACACCCTTGGCTGATAGGTTTGGCTTGAGTGGTCATTGAAGACTGCTAAATTGTAGGCTTCTAATATAAGGAGGAATAGAAAAAGGTAGCAATTGCTTTAAAGGTAAAGGAGGCCATGGATATTTTTTCCTGGACAGATCATATTTTGAAGGACTAAATGATAAAGCCTTAGTAAGGATGGACTTATTCCTTCTTTTGTTCATGCCTTTTGCTTTTCCATTTGTTTTTAGTTTTTAATTTCTTATGGATCAGGTATTTATGTGTTGATTGTGGATTAATTTTTAAAATAACGCTATTCCCCTCCTTTGACCCTGAAAGATCAATTCTGTCTTTCAAACAAGACCACATCCAATTGGAATACTAAGAAATTTTTTCTGGTCATGTCGGATTCTTACGTGCAGTGTTTTTGTTTTGTGTTGTTTTATTTGAGCATGATACTAAAACTACCCTGGAAATCACTCCCTGAAAATAGAACACTCTCGGGAATTACAGGGGTTTATAATTAAAATATGTTATAAGTGGGTGGCGAAGTGGCCACATTTTGTCCTCTTAAATTTGAATTTCACTTCCATCATGAGCCCATATCATTGGGGACTTCAGTCTGTAGTTGAGAAGGAACAGGGCTGTAATGTGTGAAAACACATTTCCCTAAACTGCATTCACTAAAAGTACCACTTTCTATCACTAAAAGCAAGCTAGAACGCATAATCGTTGTCATTGGTTATGTTTCGAAACTGGCCCTATGTAAAACATGAATGAAATTGCATTTGCTTGGGAAAGGTTTTTATTGTTATGTTTAAACCCATAAATGAGATTTTTAAAAAATGTATATTACAACTAATCTAATGAATTTTTATTGAATAATTTTATTCTTTCTCTCTCTTCTCTACGGAATGTGGGTTTTTGTTTTTCTTGTTCTCCAACACAAACTGCCAGCCATGGCCTACCAGGATCTTTTCCCAAACACTGCATGTAACTTCAGATACCATGTCTATTTTCCTCAGTACCCCAGACTGACATTTCAACAAGTACTTCTCATCATAGCTTTTTCAGAAGCTCTGAAAAAGCATCTGGGGGCATACTGACATTATCAGATTTTTAGGGTGGATGATGGAAATAGGACATTTGCTTTAACCCTTCCCAACAATAAAGCAAGAAACCAACGAACTGTCTTCCTACGTCAATCAAGCCGAATTGATTCTGAAATTTATCTCTTCACAGTGTATGATGGGTGAGTGTGGCAATTCACAATCACAAATGCTGTTGGAATTCATTGCAAACCTCAATGGCTTGTGTGATCTAGGCCTAATCTGGTGGTCCAATGCCATTGGTCTTCATGTTCCAAAGGGGGATTGGCAGCCCATATGGGGTTTTCAGGGCACTGGACAGCCCTGTCTCACAGAAGAGATCTTTCTCTGTGGGATCCATGCATTCCCACAATTGTTATGATCGTTTCATAGTTCATATTCAGAGCCTTCTCATATATTTCCTACACACCGCACATGAGTTTATTAGACCTTTTCCTGAGGATAGGCGGAAGCAGAGAATATTGGGCAAGAAGGATGGAGAGCAGAGTCTTCAGGCACAGGGTCCTGGAGATTAGGGACAAACTTTGGCCCCTGACAATTTTGCATAAGTTCAGCTCTGGCACAAGTCTACCATGTTGAGGTTAGCCAATCTGAGTTAACCGAGAACACACTGGGAGAGAATTACTCGCCTTTTGTTATTTCTGAAACCTGAACTGCTTTTAGAAATAAAGGCTGGAATGTTCCATAGGAACTCGGAGCATGGGGCACGGGCATGGCACACACTCGGTTGGGCTATTTAAAAACCAGTCCCTTGGCTTCCCTCTGTGATTCTAAATACGTGAAATCACATTACCCTGCAGCAGCCGGTAACTATTTCTATAACATTGTCCAGCATCTGTGCTTGCCGTGACTGGGTCCACCCAACAAAAACAAAGTGGAGATGTGGTAATTGATTAGGTTAATCACTCCAGGCTTTCTGTGCCACAGCTAATGTCCATCTAGTGTCTACTGACACTACTCCTGGAATTTTAAGGACTGATCTATGTAACTAGATCTATGTAACTTCCTAGGGGAAGGGAGGTGCCTTAGCATATCAAAAGGATGCTTTTTAAAAGAGCTATTTATTCATTTAACAAGTGAGGACCAGAAACACAATTTATCACTTTCTCAGAGACAGCAAATTCTTATCCTATGGAAGGATCCCAGCATTAGAGACTCTGCCCCTTTCTGTGGGAAAGAATCTATCTTTTTTGGATTTGTTTGATGTGCTAACTAACACTTCCCCCAGTCACACCACTAGCCATCAATCAAACAGATAAACCCCTTAGGAATATCTAGTCAATTGCTAATCATTTGAAGACATCAGCCAGTAGAAGGGCATTAGCCAACATCATTACATAATGTCAAAACAACTGATCAAGTTTGTGAATCCAATGAAACAGTCAAACCAGTTTAGGAATTTCATATACACAAAACAATAGATGAGTGACTTTTAGCTTTTTAGCTTGATATAAAATTTTTAAACCCTACCATTTATAAATGTGTAAGCATTTGGCACACCCTATGCCAAGTGTTTTATCTACTTAAACCTTGGAAGTATGTGTTCTCACTTCCATTTTAAAGATAAGAAGACTGAGGCTTAGTGAGATATACTAATCTGCACAAGACTACATGTTTAGGTTCTATGAGTGGCAGGGTGAGGTTTAAACACTTGTCTCTCCAACGTCCACTCCATGCTGTTTGCCTCTGTGTATGTAACTTCAAACAGCCAAAATGGCCAAGTAAGGCAAGAAAATAAAAAAATAAAAAACAAACAAGTGAAAGGCCTGGGTCCTGAATCATGCAGTTAAGATAGCCAAGACTCAGCTGATCCACAATTGTCTAATTCTGCCCATATCCGTCCAGCTACAAACCAAGTCTGCGACCTGATACCTGAGTCCTGGGAGACCTCTTGACCCCCATGTGATACCGCTGTAAGGACTAGGACTCCAATTGCCAAACATTACACATCAGAACAAATTTTATGTGTTCCATTATGCCTGTGAACAGATCTGATTTCTTAGTCAAATATTATTTTTTTGAATATTTTCAGGCATAGACTGAGTATGTGGTTCCCTTGTGGCCAACTCAAAACATATAGCAGAGAGTAATCCTTTGCACTATCCTATATTAATATTTTCTTTCCCTCCTTGTAATGGAACTAGTTATAAATTAGATGAGATTAAAAAACAGTCTCTTGAGAATTAACATTTTAAGGAATTACCTAGAAAGAGCTGAGGTGTTTTTTTTCCCCACATGGTAAATCATACAGAGTAGCAGCCTGCCCCAGATCCCCGGAGACAACATCTTGAGCGCATATGTTATGCTGGGTTCTGTATTGACTAATTCAAAAACTCCAGGGCAAAAGAACCCAAGTTCCCAAGTTAAAAATGAAAGTAAAATAGTGGAATGGAATTGGGATCATTGTTGCAAGATTCCAACAACTTCATAAATAGCCATTAAAGTAGACAGCATGACAGGTTAACAGATTTACCATTGTAAGAATCAACCTGCACTGTTGGTGTGAAGTCGCAAACAAACCCATCTACCTCTCACTTTACGGATATTCTGTTTTCTCAGAAATAGAATCACATTTGACAAAATTAATATTGAGATCATTTTACTAGAAGGCTTATCCAAATATATGCCATATTAAAAATAGTCATGATATAAATATTTCTCACAAGAGCTGCAGCGATGGCGTGAATAAAAAACTCCCTTCTGAGATTTCAGTAAAACCAGATCTCACAAAGGATCTGAAAGAAAACAAAAAAGAGAAAACAAACAAACAGACACACACAAAGAGACACACACACACAGAACAAACCTTATGTTAATCCGGTTTAGCATAACAGTGACTATTTTGACACTATTTTATGAAGTACGATACTATTCCTTCCCAGATGAAGTAAGAGAAATGAATCGGCTACAGGTTTCTCATGATAATGTTCAGGGCTGGGGGTATCTAAGCATGTTCAGTAGCAGCTAAAAAAATCAAAAATTCTAAATGCAGCAAATGTTAGCACTGTCAAATGGCCAAGCATGCAAGAGGAATCTCTCTCTCCATGCCCTTCTACAAATACATGCAAAGCCCCAAATCCACCGGCTGGAATTTTTAAATCGTAAATTAGATATCAAAATGCTTACGGGCCTTACAATGAGATAACATCAGGAGGAACGGTGCGTGGAATGGATCTGGCATTCTCACATAAAGCATTATCTTTGGTACAAGTACACACGGCAGGGCATTTTGGCTTCGCTGGTTTCTTCCCCTCAGTCAGCAAAAGCGCAGATAAGAGACATAGGAAATAAGCAATTCTTTTCAGGGGAATGCAGGCATTTCCCATCCTTTTGCTTCTTTCTGATTCCATGCAGTCGAGAAAATATCCCCAACCATGAACAGGGCTTCTGGAATTCAGATGGTGATTGTCTTGCTCTAAGAACAGGTCACATAGGAGTCCACCCTTTTCCTCTGCCTCTGTATCTCTGCTTTTTCAAAACAGAGACCTGCAGCTGATTCGTGAGCTTCTCCTCGCTCCAGCAATGCACTGCTCGGGGGAAGAGACCTGTGAGGTACTGTGAGATGGGAGGGATCCAACTGCTGGAGGAGAGAGCCGACTTGCATCACCACGAAAACACTGAGCACAGACCAGCCTTCGAAGGCAAAGTGAAGTGATGTCACAGAAAATAAACAGCTTTCTGCTTTCACCGGGAGGCCCTTTAATTGTTACCAAAAATAGGACGGCATTATGTCTTATTAGTGAGTGGGTGGGCGGGTGGGTGGGAGCAGTCATCTTGCATAGGATGTCGGCAATCTCAGAAACCTCTGGGAGTCTGCTTTTCATGTAGCAAACAACCTAGTAAGAAAAACTAGCTTTGGAGCCAGCCCCGGCTGGAAAAAATGAAGCTAAATGAAACTCTCTCCACAATATTGGGCTAAAACCTTTTGATGTTTCTTGCTGAGCCTACCTGGCTAATGCCATCAGTGAAAGACAAATCAGAACAGATGAAGAATGTGACTTTCAGGGGATGAATGTGAGTACATACTTTTCTGACACTTATTAACTGTCATGAATGATTGATTTTCCTATCCCCCTGGGTCCCCCACGTAATTCATTCTCTCCTTCCATGACAAGGAAGGGAAACAGAAGTGCGGGACCCTCTCTGTGTATAATCCACCTCCCTCTCTTCTCCCACCCTCCCTTCTTTGGCAGTAGCACCAGAAGCCTGGAAGGAACTCCCTGCCAGCAGGAGGCGGCCAGCTCTAGCTTCCTGGGGCTTTGAAAAAGGCCTGGCTCAGCCCCGAGGCTGTGACATGGTGGGGGAAATGCTGGACTGAGAACCAGACACCTGGCTTTGAGAACGCAGGTCTGCTGTGAACTTGCTGAATCTATTCTCCTGTCTGTAAAACGGGGATGATAGTAAAGACATTCTGGAATTAAATGAAAATGATAGGCTATGTTACTCGTGTACTTGATGTGAGCGGATGGGCCCTTGGAAAAGAAAATTCATTTAAAGAAGCAATCAAGAGCCCCTGGCCTTGGGGTGGGATAGTTTAGTCCAAGAGAGTAGGAAGACCCTTGGGATGGAGGAAGATGAGGAAAACAGACCCCCGGTTATCTCACTATGGCGAAGGCGGCCATCCTTCAAGCTGGCACGAACAGCCTGGGATATCAGTCCACGTTCCTTTCTCCTCTAGCTTCTTAGACTGAAAGTATTAAAAGGACTGCTTGAGCAAAGGCGATTTTGACATAACCTCATTCTGCATCAGAGCTGAAAGCATTGCCATTCTACCCTTTCGCTCATGTAGCTGGCCCCATGCTAACTTCAATCCCTTGTTCAGTTCTCTGTAAACTCTTTGCGGGGGACAGTGCCATTCACGTGCATTCTCACATTTGATAACTGTCTGTTTACCCCAGAAGATTGCAAGGTCCACGAGGTTAGAGACCCCGCTAGGGAACCCAGGGCCTGTGTAGCATTGTGCATGTAGTGGGCAACCTGGATGGCTATGCCAGCAACAGCAGAGTGTACAGTCCATTCATGGTCATGCCCAGCCAAATAAACTTACAGTTGCACCTTGCAGTTCTAATAAAGAGATCTAACCTAGTCAAGGAAGTCAGGGGCCAATTCCCTGAAGTAGCAGTGATTGAGCTGAGTTCAGAGGTAAGGAGGAGTTACAGAGAGGGTTCGTGAGAACACTCCAGGTAGAGGGAACGGCATACATAAAGTCTGGCTCATGATCTGCAGAGCAATGGGACACCTCTGTAGAATCAGGCAGGGGAGTGATATTAACTGGTTTGTGTTTCAAAAGGACCAGTAGGTTATTATCACTAAGTCAGTTTTTGTGGGGTTGTAAATACTGTGTGTTGTTTTTTACGGAAGGGAAAAAGAAAAACTCTTCGTTGACAAGAAGTCATGATTTTAAAGTGTATTCTACGAATGCTTCACTGTCAAGGACTCTGTGGAGGAGGGAATGGAGGGCAGTGTTTTTAGAAACTGTGACCTCTGCGCAAGCCTCACTTTAAACAGTAAAAGTGTCACTTAAAAGTTGGCTGCAAGTCGGGTTTTTGTAAATTGAACCCTGCTTCAAGTGCCTAGTGGAAACTTGCTCCGTAAAATAATTATGTGGTAAAAGTTTTATGGAGGATTGTTTTTATTCAAAGTCACCCTCTAAATCAACTGACTTGTAAATGATGTGTTCTGTAACTACAAAATGAAGACATCGAGAAGATTCAGGGACCTCAAAGATCCTGGATTCGATCCCTGCATATTACAGATGGAGAAACCGAGGTACAGAGAGGACACACAGAGACCACCACTCTGCATGGGGTAAGCCCCATGGCAGAAACTTGGTTACAATGACTAATGTAATCCATCAGGCTAAGTCACTCCCTGTGTTTCACTTTCAAATGTTTCAAATCATGAAGATTGCTTGACTAGCTGTTGGCTTTGTGGTATGAAGACACAGCCGAAGAAAGGGTGAGCGGTCTTTTTCTTTTGACTTGGTAAAGCTAGGAAGGCAAATGAATGAGGGGAAGAAATCATATCCATACTATTCACTTTGCAGCTGTATTTATCTGGCAGTTCAGTTTGTCAGTTCAAGGGGGAAAAGGACCATTGGGGAGGGGAGGGGAGGAGAAACTCTAAGGACAAATTACAATGGGCATTCTGAAAAGACAGTAACTTTTTATTTTTCTATGGCATTTAAAACCCAGACTTGAATTCTTTATTCAATTAAAAACACCCACTAAGGTCAGACAAAATTTAACCATGTAATGCAGGATGCTGGCGGCCTTTTTGGGAGGAGAAACCACTTCCTGGCTCCAGAATTGGATCTGAGGAGAGACTCGGGGAGATGAGGGCAGTTCGCTGCATTGAAGTCTTGAGAGGCCTGAAGAGGAGGCCCCATTGCTGATAATGCTTCCCATCTTACTGCTCCAGGAAGCCCCAGGGAGCACAGAGATGATGTAGGAAGCAGGAGGTGGAAGCTTAGGGGTTTCCACCATCTTGGAGGCCTTCAGATAAGGTGTGGCCACCCACTTGTGGATCACAATAGGGACCCTGGGGAGAGGGGCTTGGAAAGGATTAAAGCAGAGTTGGAAGGAGGCCCAGGGAAGCCAGGAGGCCTAGCTGAGGCAGGCTCAATGCCCAGTCTGAGCTGTAGAGGAGTAGCTGAGCTCTGCACTTTGCCAGCCATATGACCATGGGCCGATTTACCCTTCCTAAGTCACAATTTTCTCCTCTGTAAAACGAGGATAATAATAGTATGTATCACATAGAGTTGTTGAGAAAATGAAACATGATAATGTATCTAAAAGTGCTTATTGTGCAGTCTGATACGTGTGAAAGATTTAGTATCATCTTCACCGTCATCACCATCATTCTCATCATGGTTGCAACAGGACTTGAATTCTGAACATGTGACTTCTGGGACCTGGGAAGCAAAGCTCTCAAATAAAAATGAGGTTAGCTGAAGCGTATATTCACTCTGGGAAGCAGGCACTTCTGAGCAGTATGACACACTGTGGCCTTGTCAAGGGTTCCGCCATGAGAAGGAACCAAGCTGCCTCCTGGAAAAAAAAAAAAAATCTCACCAGTTTGGGTGAGAGTAGGAGCACGCATGCTTAGCCCAAGGACAAGGTCTACAGGTGGAGAAGATTAAGGTGGTTGTGAATACAGGATGAAGACTTTTTTCAGCCTACTGCCCTTGAACACGTGTAAGTTAGAAGGGAGTAAGAGGAATCTCTTTTGGGATCCCTGTAAAAAAGTGGGACTTCTCTCTAATGTGGTGGGCACCATTGCATGGCATGCAGGTGCTATAAGGAACTATGCACAGTGGTGACACCAGAGGCTGCTGAAGAGGTGAGACAAACAATGCTCCCATCCAGGCCTGGGAGTCAGACTAAAGTCATGGAATTTTTCACCAGCAGCAGCTCAGCCTTGGTGGCCCAGCAGCAGTGACAGCCCTGCAGACATCAAAGGCACTGGGAAAGGATCCCAGCAGGGAGGCAGAGCAGAAGAGAAGGAAAATGAGGGACAAGGAATGATGTTTGGGAGCACATGTACAGTGTTCCCTGGACATCCTCAGAAAGACCAGAAGGGGGTTCTCGTCTGGGGGCTTCTGGTGGTTCTGGAAGAGCTGTTGAAAGCAGAGTGAGAAAGGAACAGCATGTGCCTGGTTATGATCCCAGTTTTCCCCTCAGGCTGGTGTGGCCTAGGAAACACACATTGTACAAGTAAACAAATCACTATTAGGAGGCTTAGAAGATCAAGCTTGGCCTTGCCTCCTTTTACAAACACTCAGACATGCAAACTGGTGTCATTTTAAGCAGCTTTCTCAACAGAGCAGGGTTTGCAAAGCTGCGTGTCAGATATGATAGTGGATCGGGACATCAATATCAATCTAGTGAGTACAAGTAGAATTTGAAAAATAAATCATTTCAAATACAAAATTGGAGCATATTGCACCAGTAAGGATAACTATTGCCTTGTGAAGCCTTTGTTTCCATTCTTTGTGTGTGTATGAAGGCACAGCTGTGATATAAATCATGCTTCTTTCAGTTTACAACCAAAAAAAAAAAAAGAAGAGAAAAGAAAAAGAAAGGGAAAAAAAAACTGCATGAGAGGATGCTAAAGATCCTTTCCCAACCCAGGAGTCCAAAATGGCAGGGAAGTGATCTTGACTCCAATAAATTTCACTTACTGGTTGAAGTTAGCAATTAGACCTGTCGGAATATTGTTTCTGTTCTTCACTGACTGTGTGAACTTAGGAAAGTTGATTAGCTTCTCTGTGCCTCATTTGCAACAAGGAAGTAAAAATAACAATACTATCTCTGCATTGTTGATATTAGGATTAGTGATGATGTACATGGAAAGAATGTTGCAAAAAAGGCACTGGACTACTGATAGTTCCACTGGAAATAAGTGGGAAGGGGATTGAGGGCCAATCTTTAAGATTATTTGGCAGTAGTGTGTCATTAGGACTCTTTGGTAGCAAGTGACAGACACTGACTCTGCCAACATAAGTGTAAAAGGACCTTGTTGCCATGGTGATTGAGTGACTCACAGAATCCAAGGAAGGGTTGACCAAGCAGGATTTAGAATGAAGGAACTTGTGAAAGCTTGGGAATCTATGTGGCAGGAGCTAATGGATGATGCCCTCTGGCAAATTCAGTCCAACCTGTTCTTATCCTTATGTTCCTCCCCAAAAGATGAGTATGGTGGACTGATCTTGGGTCAGGCACCCCTGCCCATTGCCCTGGGAAAGTGGGGCACCTTGACTGGCAATCTCACCAAGAGTGCACATGGTGGGAGAGAGGTGGTTCCACAAAAGCAAGTTGGGTACTGCTGTCAGAGCAGAGAGAACAGGCTGGGCAGGTGAAATCCAGCGATGCTCATTTGGGTAGGAGTGCTGGGCTCTGATAGCTAATATCATTGGCCCTTGCCCCTAACTCAACCTTATGGTTTTAAAGAGAAATGACCAGAAGACAATTTAGACAAATAGATATGAATACTTTCTCCAAGGACAGCTAAACTCGCATGTTCTAACTGTGGAATCAGGGGATTTTCACCTTTTATAGTCCATGAGAATAGAACTTGGGCCAAGAAAGGGGTTGAGAAGTAATAATAATGAAAGCTGACTCTTATAAAATGCGTATTATGTGCCAGCTGCCATTCTAAAGCACTTTACCCATATTAACTCACTTAATCCTCATAACAATCCCATGGGCTAGATAGATATTACTATTATTTCCCCTATATTAGCAGAAAAGGAAACAGAGGGTCAGGAGGTTAAGTCGTGTGCCCAGGGTCCTGTAGCTAGTGAAAGGTGGTGCTGGTATCGAAATTAGGTGTCCTGGCTCTGATGTCCACAGCATTAGCCACTGCTGGACACTGCCTCTCTGATGGGCTGTGTGGAATGAGGGATACCGTGAGCTGCTTCGGAGCTGGTAGCACCTCACTGGCTGGGCGCTACTATTGTACTACAATTCCCAGCATGCAACTGGGCTGGCTATCATCTTAACCCCTTCTTCACCAAAAGTTCCTCACTGTCTTGGGTAAAATCTTTTTTATTGGCAAAATCTGATCTCCCTCATGGATAATTATGCAATTGAGGCATAAATGTAGATATAAGTGGCAGCAGATAGGGGAGAGGGTAAGATTCTAAGTTAAAGTACCCTCCACATTTTTTAGTATTTGAAGGAAGACATTGGAGATTACTATGGGAAAGATTTTTTAACTTAGAAATGTGTACTATGAAAACGTCGATGGGGATGTTTTAAAGCACCCATTCTCAAAGTTGGCTACACTTTCGAATCACCTGGGGAATTAAAAAAAATACTTAAAGTTTGGGTCACATTCCTAGAGGTTCTGATTTAATTGGTCTAGGGTATGGCTGTTAAAAGCTCCCTATGAAATTCTAGAGAGTTCCCCATGGGTATAAAACAGGAGGCACAGCTTGTCATGCAGTGGGGGCATATGGGGAAGCATCAGGGCTGGTCAGGGGCCCGAGGGAGCAAGGGGAAAATGCAGACAAGAGCCTTTATTGTGATTTCTGCAGGAATGGTAATGCAAGACAGGGTAAACAGGCTCAGGATTGGCTCCTTTGAATAAGTTCAGTGAACTTTGGGGCACAGGGACTGTCCCTAGTTGTCTGTTACTGGCCCTGGGGTGATTAGAGTAGGTGGATGGTGGCCCCGAGAGACGGCCCAATAAAGGAAGTGATTGGGGGTATGGATACTGGATCGGTTGGTTTGCATAGGAAAGGTGCGCCCTCCCACGTGAGTCATTTACTGTTTCTCGGAATTGGCTAACCCTGGGAGTGGCAGTCCCTCCAGGGTCATCAGCACAGCCCCAGGTGTCAAAGCATCAGGATACAGAAAATTTAAAAACATGTTGAATGTATCCTTCCACTCTTCAGCAGAAAGCAGCTGACCGGGCTTAAAGAGAACTGGGAAGAGCTTGAAGCCTGGGGAACCATCCCATTAGGAATGGTGGTCTGCAGGGAAGGAAGCAGGAGGGCTAGTGAAACAAGGAGAATTTCAGCCATGGCTCTATTTAGTTTATCAAGATTCCAAACCTGTCACGGAATGACACCCAAGCGAATGGGAAGAAAGGCGGCAAGTTCTGCCTTTAAAAGCCTCCTTGTAGAGACCTCCGCACTCCCATGTTTACTGCAGCACTATTCGCAATAATCAAGATATGGAATCAAGTTAGATGTCCAACAACAGATGAATAGATAGAGAAAATGTAGCATATACACACCATGGAATACTATTTAGCCATTAAAAAACAGTGAAATCCTGCCATTCATGGCAACATGGATGTTGGAACTGGAGGACGTTATGTTAACGGAAATAAGCCAAAAACAGAGAGTTAAACACCACATGTTCTCATTCATACGTGGAAGCTTAAAAAAGTTGATCTCATAGGAGTAAAAAGTAGAACAGAGGATACTAGAGGCTGGGAAGGGTAGGGGGAGGTGGAGGGCATACAGAAAGTTTTGTTAAAGGACATAAAATTACAACTAGATAGGAGGAATAAGTTCTAGCGTTCTATACCACTGTAGAATGACAATAGTTAACAATAATAGAGTTTCAAATAGCTAGAAAGAGGATATTGAATGTTCCCAACACAAAGAAATGATAAATATCTGAGATGATGGATATGCTGATTACCCTGATGTATCAAAACATCGCTATGTGCCCCATGCATATGTACACTTATTATTTGTCAATTAAAAAATAAATATTTAAGAAAGCCTCCTTGAAGGCAGTACCCACAATTTATTTATCTTTTTATGCCCTTGATTAAATGATCATTACCTAGCAGAAACAGTTAAAATGGTCTTATAAAAGAGAAAAGTTAGTTTAGAGATGTGGGCTGGTACTTTGCTCTTAAAAAATAGAGTTTTTCTTAATTTTTATTACCAAAGTTAAGTATGCTGAATTTATACATTTCTATACCTGCCTTTAAACTCAAGCAGAACCTGAATTAACCATTGATTGGAGTTTATTGCTTATGTCCCCAAGGGAAGCGCCTCCTCTGGCTCATGCTGGTGGGAGAAAATGAACCAGCCCTGCTTTCTCTCCCTGGTTCAATTCCCAGCAAAGGAAAAACAATGTAATTCATGATGATGATGACAATGACAATGACGACAACAACAATAACCAACCTTTAACACATCCTTATAATGTGCCAGACCCTGCGGTAGGTGCATTAGAATAATTACCTCATTTAATTATTGTAACATAGTTTGGTTAATTTGCCCCCATTTTTCATATGAGCAAACTGAGGCATGGAGAGGCTAGGCAGCTTGCCCAAGAATAAGAGGCTGTGCTGGCTTGAAAGTGAGGCATTCAGACATTAGTGTCACATGCTCTTAATCGCTCCACAGCACCATCTCCTTGGATCGGAGTGATTTCCTGGAGCAAAGGTAATCTGATCTTATTCACACAGGAGCAGGCAATAACTGCCTGAGTACAGAACTCCTATGAGGCGATTGGTGTTGGAACCCTGAGTAGTCTAGTTACATAACCAGCATAACCCTTGGAAAAGCTGTCGCATAAGGGAAGGCTGCCTCTGGGACTAGAAGAAAGACTATGCCAAGATCTGGTTCTGCAATAGATGAGCTGTTTGACCTTGGGCTCAACGCTTCACATTTAGGCTCTGATTTTCAAAGGAAGTTCTTGGGCTGGGTAATCTCTGGAGATCCTGTCATGTAAGCAGCCCCTGCCAGCACTCCTACTGGGGAGTGATTACCATAAAGACAAGGAAAGTGTTAAGCAGGTTCTTGCACCTCCCAAAGTAAGTAGCAAATAGCTGTTTGGGTGTCCTGAGGAGTTCTGAAAACACTGGGCCTAGTTGCCTCCTGCTTCATCTTGCACCATATGCCTGAAGCTAGTGAATGAATAAACATCACTCGTGGCTATTTCTGGATGCTCAAGAAACTTTGAAAAAAAAAAAAGAATTATTATTTTTGAGGAGAGTATTATAGAAGACCCAGGGGAAGACAGGGTAGGGAGGAGAGTGAGGATTCTCTTTGTTGTGATCCTAGAATTCCCATTAGGTGGACTGGAAATGCTAGACTTACCATTGTTGGACTGGAAATGCTAACATCCTGAAACTCTTAGGACCTCTGCATGAAGAATTGTCCTGCCCCAAATGCTCTTAGCACCCCCACTGAGAAGGAGTAAAAGAGTTTCTCACAGTGGAAACACTGCGAACCTCTTTATGCATTTTTCTGAACATCAGTCAATAATCCATTAACTCGGGGAAGCTGAATGCTCTTCATACAGGAATCCAAAATAAATTGACAGATATCCTCTGGGAAGAACTGTAGAAAGGCTCTGTGGGCTTGAACAAGGCATTTCATTTCCTTGGGCCTCAGTTTCTTTATCTTTATAGCACTAACATTCTATAGCTTCCTAATTTCTCTCCCCAGAAAGGAGAAATAATTTTTAAACACAGAGGCTTAGAAAGAGTTTGTTTTCCAATTCGGGGCATGCTAGGTACATGTACTGCAGTTAACCAAAATGCACATGGTAAAGTTTAAGCCAAAAGAATGCAGAATCAGGCCGGGCATGGTGGCTCATGCCTGTAATCCCAGCACTTTGGGAGGCTGAGGTAGGCGGATCACAAGGTCAGGAGATCGAGACCATCCTGGCTAACACAGTGAAACCCCGTCTCTACTAAAAATACAAAAAATTAGCTGGGCATGGTGGCGGGTGCCTGTAGTTCCAGCTACTCAGGAGGCTGAGGCAGGAAAATGGCGTGAACCCGGGAGGCGGAGGTTGCAGTAAGCTGAGATCGTGCCACTGCACTCCAGCCTGGGCCAGAGAGCGAGACTCCATCTCAAAAAAAAAAAAAAAAAAGAAAAAAAAAAGAATGCAGAATAAAATTATCCCAGAATATTTTTAATAAGGTATGATCTTAATGACTTAGCATTTTTTTCTGGAAATATATTTGAATTTTATCAGAACTAAGCACCAAAAATTTAGGCAAGGTCATGGAAGGCCACCCTTTTTACTGGCTAGACTTGAATAGAAATCTACTCAAGAAAAGAAGTTTGTTAGGGAATTAAAAAAAAAGGATAATTCTAAGTCATGGGCAAGGTGGAAATAATCTAGCCAGAAAATATATTTGGGGGTGGTACTAAGGAAAAGCAGTGGCTCTAAGAGGTATTGCCCTAGAGCGGGGCATGGTTATTGGAATATAAAGTTGAAAATATGATTACTCTTCTATCTTCCTCTTCTTCTTTATGGCTGAATCACTCCCAAGATAGTTCTTAGCAGGTTTTTATTTATTTATTTATTTATTTATTTTTATTTTTGAGACAGAGTCTCACTGTGTCACCGAGGCTGGAGTGCAGTGGTGTGATTTCAACTCACTGCAACCTCCGCCTCCTGGGTTCAAGCGATTCTCCTGCCTTAGCCTCCCGAGTAGCTAGGACTACAGGCCTCCACCACCATGCCTGGCTAATATATATATTATATATATATATAGTATTTTTAGTAGAGACGGGGTTTCACTATGTTGGCCAGGCTGGTCTGCAGTTCCTTTTTTTTTTTTTTTAAAGATACTTCTTCATTCTTTCGAGGAAGTTATTAACTGCTTTTGTTTTGTTTTAGTTTTTTGGTTTAAGATTCTGAAGTTAAGAGGAAAATCATGCAACTAATCTGTTCATGCTTTGGAAACTTGAACTTCATGATGTTGGATTTCAGCCTTTTTGCTTTTGTCTTATCCCTTTAGAAGGGATCTGTTTTGTTTTGTTTGGCTTTATACTGTCGTTCTGGAAGAACTCAGAGCTTTCCATTGCTGCCCGTGACTTATGGCCTGTGTTACACCCATTGGTTTCTGTAGGAATGATGACCCAAGAAGCTGGGAATGTGACCGCAGAAAATAGCAAAGCAATGAGGAAACTGGTTATGACCATAGGATTAGTGCCCTGAGGGTCCAGGGCAGAAATGGGTGTTAACAGCAGAGAAGCACAAGGCTTCTGCACCAGCCTACTGCTGGCTCACATTCAACACTGCCCCTATTGCTCCCAGCAGTGCAGCAAAGAAGACAAAGGAACCCATGCTTGCTGGGCCCCCTGCAGGCCAGGTGCTTCCCATACATTGTCTCTGTTGATCATTTCACCTGCCGTGTGAGCAAGGCATTATCCCCACTGAAGCTTACAGAGGTTAGACTCGTCCAAGACAATATATTTTGGCTTCAAACTGACTTCTGTCTGTTTCCAAAAATATTTTTCATGTGACTTATTTTTGATGTATATAAACTTATAGACAGTTCTTGAATTCTTGTCTATGTGAAGCACATATTGTGTGAAGTATTTGCATGGGGCCAGGCGCGGTGGCTCACACTTGTAATCCAGCACTTTGAGAGGCTGAGGTGAGCGGATCACCTGAGGTCAGGAGTTCGAGACCAGCCTGGCCAACATGACAAAACCCCGTCTCTACTGAAAATACAAAAATTAGCCAGGTGTGGTGGCAGGCGCCTGTTATCCCAGCTACTCAGGAGGCCGAGGCAGGAGAATCACTTGAAACCGGGAGGCAGAGGCTGCAGTGAGTCGAGATTGCATTACTGCACTCCAGACTGGGTGACAGAGAGAGACTCTGTCAAAAAAAAAAAAAAAAAAAGTCTGCATGGTATTGTTTGCTTATATGATGTTTAGAACAAGGAAACGACTGAGGCTGACCATGCTCTGGCTCTGGAGGCTCTCTGGGGATACCTGGAGGAGTCTTTGGGTCACACCAAAACACTAGGATGCAGCCTAATGTGAAGATTACAACTCAAGTCTTGGCTTTGCTATTTAGCAGCTGAGTGACCTTGGGCAAGTTTTCATTGTCTCTCAGCCTCAGTTTCCTCATATATAGCATGGAAATAATACTAGTGTTTCTCTTACAGGATCACTGTGAAAAGAACATGAGATGCCCTTTGCAGGGACATGGATGGAGCTGGAAGCCATTATCTTCAGCAAACTAACACAGGAACAGAAAACCAAATACTGCATGTTCTCACTTATAAGTGGGAGCTGAACCATGAGAACATGGACACAGGGAGGGGAACAACGCACACTGGGGCCTGTGGAGGGCAGGCGGGGGGAGGGAGAGCATCAGGATAAATAGCTAATGCATGCTGGGCTTAATACCTAGGTGATGGATTGATAGGTGCAGCAAACCACCATGGCACACATTTACCTATGGAGCAAACCTGCACCTCCTGCACATTTACCCCAGAACTTAAAATAAAATAAAATTTAAAAAGGACACGAGATAATGTAAGAAAGTAGTTAGCCCATAGAAAGCTGTTACTATTCCAGTATGTATCCTACTACCCACGGTGCCGCTTATATAAGAGCGCCCTCCTGAGGCTGTCAGAATAACTGGGGCGAGGCAGGGAATGAGAGGGGACACCAGGCCTGAGGAGTGAGGAGAACAGACTAGAATGGCTTCCTGACCGAAACTACACCCGCTCAACCCCAGGCCTGTGTAATAGGCACTTCCACTTTAGTGTGAGGGTAAATCCCAGAACACTGAAGAAACACAGCCCAGAGCTGGCATCCTTTTGGCCATTTCCTGAAGTGGAGCTGGATTTCAGAGGGCTGTCTCAAATGACAGTGTCAGCACTAGGAGCTGATGGTTAAAGCTCTGCAAGAAAACAGCATCCAGCATTTTCTTTTGCTACTCTCATGGGCCAACATGAAAGTGCGTAATGATGGACACAGGCTTTGCTTAAGTGGTGAGTCTATCATCCAACCTTTGACTATAATTATGTTGCTCAGATTAGAGCTAAGTAAACACTGGATTTGTTTTTTTTTTTTTTTTACTACGAGCAAATGAATTTTATTTCTTACTCAGCATAGTTGTCCCAGTTTGTTTATTCAACAAACGTTTAAGCGTGTTCTCCATGCGTGGTGCTTGTGGCACTGGGCATTCAGTAGAAAGCTAGAGGCCAGGCGTGGTGGCTCACGCCTATAATCCCAGCACTTTGGGAGGCCGAGGCAGGTGGATCGATCACCTGAAGTCGGAGTTCAAGACCAGCCTGGCCGATATCGTAAAACCCCGTCTCTACTAAAAATACAAAAATTAGCTGGGCATGGTGGCACATGCTTGCAATCCCAGCTACTTGAGAGGCTGAGGCAGGAGAATCGCTTGAACCTGGGAGGCCCAGGTTGCAGTGAGCTGAGATCGCGCCATTGCACTCCAGCCTGGGAAACAAGAGCAAGACTGTCTCAAAACAAAACAAACAAAACAAAACAAAACAAAACAATAAAAAAGAAAGCTAAACCCACAGAGTTCCTGCCTTCTAGTGGAGGAGATGAGCAATTAAACAAGAGAAAACAAGTGCGGTGAGGGTGATGTGCAGGCTGGCGGAGCAGCAACAACAGCACAGAATCCTGACTACGGTTTGAACTAAACCTAAAGGGCCCCGACTCTGCCTTGATCTCTCCAGAAAGCCTCCCAGGGCCCTGACTTCCCTGTGCATGTCAGGTGACCACGGTGGTGGGCAGCTTCCCACCTCAGCCTCTTCCCTCAGTGAGATCTGGGAAACCTCCTCCCTCCTTTGCCTCTGAATTCTCACAAAGAGGACCAAGGGTTTTGAGGCATAGTTTTTAGGAAGAAAACAGGGAACAAGGAGAATAATAATAAAGAAGAAAAAAAGTACAAGAAGTAAAAGGTATCTTGCCTTACTGGGCCTTGGTTAGGTGCTGAACATTGTGCTAAGAATCTTTCGATGTATATTACAATGTGTTGTTCATTTCTCTGAGGTTGATATTGTTGATATGTCCATTTTTCCCGATAAGGAAACTGAGGGTAAAGAGGAGAAAGAAATAGGTCATAAACTTCACCAAAGGCAGAGCTATTATTTGAACCCAAGAAAATGTGAAAGTTAATTGATCATTTCTTAAGGGCAATTTTATTTTGTTTTTTGCAGGGGCAGTAGAGGGAGACGTTGTTGTTCCCAGAAAGGGGCCTTTAGGGAGAATAAAGAAAGGAATCCTTGATAGGGGTGCTAAATCCTCCAGTACCTGGTAGTGCTGGCCACAGGAGGAGCTCAATAACTATTGAATAAGGCAGTGAGGGAGGGCATGAGGAAGGGAGTGAGGGGATGAGTGTGGCCCCTCCCAGCCTACCAGGACCTGTATGGCTTTTCTCTCATGAATCCCAGTCACGAGCCAGCTGCCTGCATCCTCTTTTCTTCCATCTTGCAGCTGCCAGGCGTTTAGGGTAGCTTGGTGGTTGGTTTCCACCACTCTCCTCAGTCCTTGAAATCCTCATTCTTACAACACTCGCTGTACCTGGGACTTGGTCTCCATGGCTTTTCCAGATGTTACTGCCCTGGAAGTCAATCCCACAGGACCATTTTATTTTAAGGGTCAGAGGGCTATAGTAGTTCAAGACCCCGGTGGATGCCTGAAACCATGGATAATACTGAACCCTATTTAATTGTGCTTATATGGGTATTGATGATATAATATTGCAAAATTACTGCAGACATTATAATTACATAAAAAAAATAGTAAGTTGAAGAATAATTCCATGACAGTAAATCAGTCTAAAATAAATTAAAATAGAAAACTCCAAATTAATGGCAGCAAGTATATTTAAAAAATAAGAATATGAGTAAAAAGACAAGACCTGACAAAGGAGAGTTTCAACACTACAGTTTATGTATATATTATACTAAGTTTTGATTTTTTGTTCGTTTGTTTTTGAGACAGGGTCTTGCTATGTTGCCCAGGCTGGAGTGCAGTAGCTATTCACAGGCATGATGGTAGCTGATTGCAGCCTCAAACTCCTAGGCTCAAGGGATCCTCCAGCCTCAGCCTCCTGAGTAGCTGGGACCAGGGCAGCATACTCTTTTTGATCTGATAACTGAGACGGCTACTAAGTGACTAACGGATTGGTAGCGTATACATTGTGGATACACTGGATAAAAGGATTATTCACATCCGAGGGTGGAGTGGGAGGGTGCAAGATTTCATCATGCTACTCAGAATGGTGCTTAATTTAAAACTTACAAATTATTTATTTTTTAGAACTTTCCATTTAATATTTTTGGACCTCAGTTCACCGAGGGTAACTGAAACTTCAAAAAGTGAAACTGCAGATAACAGGGAACTACTGTATGACAAACAGTAAATATGAGGAAGTTGTAGAGGTTATGAAACCTTCCCAACCACTCCACGAATGACCTACTTTTAGCTCTGGCTATCATATAGTCTCCCCAGAGTCAGACGACAGTCTTGCCACTTGCCACCTGGGTAGTGGTGATCTTTAGCAGGTTACTTAATCTCCCTAACCATGTCTGTAAAATGGTCCCCATCTCCTCAGGTTGGAGTGAGCATTAAAGATGGTTCTGTATTTGAAATCTCTTAGTACAAAGAAAATGCTAAATAAATGTTGTCAAGGACTGAATTTTATCCCCCCAAAATTCATGTTGAAGCCTTAACCTCCAATGTGACTATATTTGGCGATAGCGCCTTTAGAAAGTAATTAAGGTCAAATGAGGTAAAAAAGGGTGGAGCCCTAATGCAGTAGGATTTCTGTCCTTAGGAAAAAGGGGGCCCGGCGAGGTGGCTCACACCTGTAATCCCAGCACTTTGGGATGCCAAGGCAAGCAGATGGCTTGAGCTCATGAGTTTGAGGCCAGTTGGGCAACATAGTGAAACCCCATCTCTATAAAAAAATACAAAAATTAGCCTGGCATGGTGGTGTGCACCTGTAGTCCAGCTACTTGGGAGGCTGAGGTGGGTGGATGGCTTGAGCCTGGGGGTGGCGGAGATTGCAGTGAGCCAAGATGTGCCTCTGCACTGCAGCCTGGGCAACAGAGCCAGACCTTGTCTAAAAAAAAAAAAAAAAAAAAAAGAAGAAGAAAGAAAAGAAAAGAAAAATGGAAGAGACACCAGAGGTGCACATGCACAGAGGGGAAAGGCCATGTGGGGACACAGACAGAGAGTGACTGTCTGCAAGAGACCTCAGGAAAAACCAACCCTGCCAACACGTTGATCCTGGACTTCCAGTCTCCAGAACAGTGAGAAAATATATTTCTGTTGTTTATGCCACCCAGTCTGTGATATTTCGTTATGGCGACCTGAGCAGACTAATACACATGTTCAGTCTACTTCCTTTGCTTTCCTTGTTGTTTGAACACATTTGCCAGGCAGTGTCAGAGCCCCTGTATTGGGAAGTGGTCAGTGTGTGGGTTGGTAAGAAGAATTTACCAAAAACAGTATAGATTTGAAAAAGGAAAGTTTTAGAAAGAAAGAATGCTGCAAAAGGGTGCAGCGGGGCACCTCAGTGAGAGAGGACTGAGCACACAGTGGTGGATTTTCCTTAGGAGCATTTATGGACCTTAAGGCGGGAGCTTAAGGGTAATTTTGACCATATTAGCCAGGTAGGTCATGATACATGATTACATCTGTAGACATTTTGGTGCCTTACTGTCAGCAAGGGTTGCACAATGAGTTTTGACATGCATGCATTCTGGAGGTGTATAGAAATTCTAGTTATGACATTTTTGAAAGAGATCTAGATGCTGACTTTAGATACTAGGGAAGTTTAATTACTTCTAAATTCCTCAGATAAGGAGTTTTTGTCTCTGGAGACTGCTCGATGGTCACCAGGTGATTTTCCTCTCCTCATTTGCTCCCTGACAAATATCTTGGTCATATCTTTGACCCTTTATATTTATATTCCCCCATGTTCATGTCTACCTGCTGCCTCCTGGGGTCTCAAGAAAGGGAAAATGGTCCAGTGAAGAGGGGTGATGAGTCTGTCTGGCTACTTCCTCCTGAAAGGGGGCTTTGAGGGGATAAGTTGCGTTTTTCTCTTTTTTGCTCTGTGTCATAAAGGAAATGAAGGGTCATGAAAAACTCAGTCACGAGGGGTGGGGACTGGATTCTATCAAGAGGCCCCGTATAAATGGAAGTTGCTGTTGCAGGCCAGTATTGAGACTGCATAGTCATCTGTAGGTGGAATCGTTGTATTCTGGAAGATACAAACTTAATGAGAGCATTAAAAATGCAGGGAGCAAATATTAAAAGAAAAATGACAAGGAAAAAAGGTCCAAGGAATGGGAGAAGCCCAGTCTTGGTTACTTTGGGAAAGTGTGTATAACCATTTGGCTTGTTTGAAAATTTACTGGGACATTAGTTTCCACTTCTCCAGACAACAGATTTTGTTGATGACAGCACAGACTCCTCCTTGTTCAGGTGGAGGTAATCAAGAACTCATCTATTATCAAAAACCATTTCTGCTAGTGAGTATAAAGACTTTTCTAGTGCTGATAGACTTGTGCCAGTTTTTTCTAAGATTATTTAAAAGGAGATGGTAAGTTCTTGTAGTGTGATTTCACGGTAAGTAAAACCTCCCCAAATAGTGACAGTTGTGATAGTTTCCACAACTCTGGCCACAATAAGTCCTAGGACCCTTTATCTTCTGGAATGGAATTCTGAATTGGAAGTTATACTCCAGACAGTGATTTGGGTGGGAGCTATTGTTCCTAGAGTACAATCATCAGAACGAAGGGAATTATCAAGGTAGAATAGGGCCAAAACTTGAAAAGGGTTTAAATAATTATTGGCAGAGCCACAAAGTCATAAGAGTCCATGAGGGGGCAGGTATTATAGTGTGATGAGCTTATGAATGCATAAAATATATGTAGATATGAATCTATTTTATCATATACTAGTGCAAAACATACACAAATCTATTATACAAAGTTAAAATTTATCAAATCTTACACAAACACTTATGGACCATACATGGTGCCATTTGCAGTCAACAGAAATGCAGCCAAGCATGGTGGCACATGCCTGTGGTCCTAGCTGCTTGGGAGGCTGAGACAGGAGGATTGCTTGAACCCAGGAGTTCAAGGCTACAGTGAGCCATGATCGCACCACTGCATTCCACCCTAGGCGACAGAACGAGACCCTGTTTCAAAACAAACAAACAACACCCAAAAACATAAAGATGTGGTATTAAGTCATAATTGCATAAAATGAACCGTAGTAATACTATGCTACTGTAATAGTCTTGTAGCCAACTTCTGCTGCTATTGCAGTGAGCCCGAATGTTGGGAGTATTCACTTAAAACACCGTGTGACACTATCATCTCCATGTGAGCCGTTCGCTTCTCTAGTAAATTGCATATCGCAGTAAAAATGATTTCCTGAGATTCGTGCGCATTTTTTCATCATGTTTAGTACAGTGCTATCAACCTTGAATAACACCATAGGACCCATACAAAGTTCCACTAGTGATGCTGGAAGTACTCCCAGGAAGCAGAGAAAAAGTCATGACGCTATTTTAAAAAAAGAAAGGTGAATTGCTCGTTATGTAGCAGATTGAGATCTGCCGCTGTGCTTGCCCACCATTTCAAGATAAATGAATTCAGTGTAAAGACCATTGTAAAAGAAAAAATGGAAATTCATGAAGCTATCGCTGCAGCAACACCAGCAGGCACAACAACCTTGCAATTTTTGCAAAATTTTTTTATATTGATGCATAATAGATGCACATAGTTCTAGGGTGTATGTGATAATTTAATACATTGATTTATTTTGTAAAGATCACATTGGTGTACTTGCGATATCCAATACATTAAATATTTGTCTTTTTTTGTTATACTAGAGCTGTTTGAATTCATCTATTTTTAAATGTTCAAGATGTCATTCTAAACTATGGCTCCCTACTGATATATCTAACACTATTTCTTCTATCAAACCATATGTTTGTACCCATTTTTCCACTTTTCTTCATCCCCCTGACTCTTACCCTTCCTGGCCTCTAGTATCCACCAATCTACTTCCTATCTTCATGAGATCTACTTTTTTTAGTTCCCACATTTGAGTGAGAACATGTGATATTTGTCATCCTATGATTGGCTTATTTCACTTAACATAATGTCTTCCAGTTCTATCCATGTTGCTGCAAATGACAGGATTTCATTCTTTTTTATGGTTGAATAATATTCCAGTGCAGTATATATACCACATTTTCTTTATCCATTCATTCATTGATGGGCACTTAGGTTGATTCCATATTCTGGCTATTGTAAACAGTGCTACAATAAACATGGGAGTGCAGATATTCCTTATATATATTAATTTCCTTTATTTTGGATATCTACCCAGTAGTGGAATTGCTGGATCATGTGGAAGTTCTATTTTTAGTGTTCTGAAGAACTTCCCTACTGTTTGCCATAGTAGCTATACTAATTCACATTCCCACCAAACAGTGTATGAGAGTTCCCTTTTCTCCACATCCTTGCCAGCATCTGTTATTGCCTGTATTTTTGATAAAAGCCATTTTAACTGAGGTGAGATGATATCTCATTCTGGTTTTGATTTGCATTTCTCTGATGATTAATTATATTGAGCATTTTTCATATACTTGTTTGCCATTTGTATGTCTTCTTTTGAAAAATATTTACTCAGATCTTTTGCCATTTTAATATCTGATTACTTGTGGGTTTGCCTTTTGTTTTTGTTTGTTTGTTTGTTTGTTTGGTATTGAGTTGTTTGAGCTCCTTATGTCTTCTGGTTGTTAATTCCTTGTCAGATGGGTAGTTTGCAAATACTTTCTCTCATTCTGTGGGTTGTGTCTTCATTTTGTTGATTGTTTCCTTTGCTGAGCAGAAACCTTTTAGCTTGATGTAATCCCATTTGTCTATTTTTCCTTTGCTTGCCTGTGCTTTTGAGGTCTTACACAAAAAAATCTTTGCCCAGACCAATGTCCTGGAGTGGTTCCCCAATGTTTACTTCTAGTAGTTTCATAATTTCTTAGACGTAAGTCTTTAATCCATTTCAATATGATTTTTGTGTGTGGTGAGAATAGGGGTCTACTTGCTTTCTTCTACATGTGGATATCTAGTTTTCCCTGCACCAATTATTGAAGAGAATGTCCTTTCCCCATTACATGTTCTTGGCATCTTTGTTGAAATTGTGTTGGCTGTAAATGTGTGGATTTGTATCTTGGTTTTTTATTGTGTTCCATTGGTCTGTGTGTTTGCTTTTATGCCAGTACCATGCTGATTTGGTTGTAGTAAATTTTGAAGTCAGATAGTGTGATGCCCCCATCTTTGTAGTAAATTTTGAAGTCAAAGAGTGTGATGCCCCCAATTTTGTTCTTTTTGCTCAGGATTGCTTTGACTATTCGAGGTGTTTTTGGGATTCCATATAAATTTTAGGTGTTTTAAATATTTCTGTGAAGAATGTCATTGGTATCTTGATAGGGATTGCATTGAATCTATAAATTGCTTTGGGCAGCATCGTCATTTAGACAATATTAATTCTTCCAATTCATAGGCATAAAATATCTTTCCATTCGTTTTGTATTCTCTTCCATTTCTTTCATCAGTATCTTATAGTTTTTCTTATATAGGTCTTTCACTTTGGTTAAATTGAGTCCTAATTACTTTATATTCTTAGTAGCTATTGTAAATGGCATTGCTTTCTTGTTTATTTTTTTTCAGATTGTTTGCTGTTGGTCTATATAAATGCTACTAATTTTTATATGTTAATTTTCTATCATGCAACTTTACCTAATTCATTTATGAGTTCTAATAGTCTCTTTGTGGATTCTTTTGATTTTTCTAAGAACAAGATTATACCATCTGTAAACAGGGGTAATTCGGCTTCTTTCTTTCCAATTTGGATGCCCTTTATTTCTTTCACTTACCTAACTGCTCTGGCCGGGACTTCCAGTATTATATTGTCTTGTTCCAAATCTTAGAGTAAAGGCCTTCAATTTTTCCCTGTTCAGTATGATGTTGGCCGTGGGTTTGTCATATATGGTCTTTATTATTTTGAGGTATGTTTTTTCTATAGCTAATTTGATGAGGACTTTTATCATAAAGGGATGGTGAATTTCATTGAATGCTTTTTTTGGCATCTATTTAAATAATCATATGGTTTTAGTTTTTGCTTCTGTTAATGTGATGTATCCCGTTTATGGATTTGCATATGTTGAACCATCCTTCCATCCCTGGGATGAATCCCACTTGATCATAATGAATGATCTTTTTAATGTGTTGTCAAATTCAGTTTGCTACTATTTTGTTGAGAATTTTTGCACCTATGTTCATCAGTGATATTGGCCTGTAGTTTTTTTTTTGTTGTTGTATCCTTGTCTGGTTTTAGTATCAGGGTAATGGTGGCTTTGTAGAATAAGTTTAGAAGTATTTCCTTATCTTCAATTTTTTTGGAAGAGTTTGAGTAAAATTGGTATTAGTTCTTTTCTAAATGTTTGGTAGAATTCAGCAGTAAAACCATCAAGTCCTGGGCTTTTCTTTTATGGGAGACATTTTATTACAGCTTCAGTCTTGTTACACATTATTGGTTTACTGAGTTTTCTATTATTTTCATGGTTTAATCTTGGTAGGTTGTATGTGTTCAGGATTTTAACCATTTCTTCTAGGTTTTCCAATTTCTTGGTGTATAGTTGTTCATAATGTTACATAATGATTCATTGTATTTCTGTGGTCCTAGTGGTTATGTCTCTTTTTTTGTTTCTAATGTCATTTAATCTGGTCTTCTCTCTCTCTTTTTTTTTTAGTCTAGCCAAAGGTTTATTGATTTTGTTTGTCTTTTCAAAAAAACCCAACTTTTTGTTTCATTGATCTTCTGTACTGTTTTTAGTCTCAATGTCATTTATTTCTGTTCTGATATTTATTATTTCTTTCCTGCTACTAATCTTGGGTTTGGTTTATTCTTGCTTTTCTGGTTCCTTGAGCCGCATCATTAAGTTATTTATTGGACGTCTACTTTTTAAAATATAAATGTTTGTTGTTATAAGCTTTCCCTTTAGTACTGCTTTTTCCATATCCCATAGATTTTGGCATGTTGTATTTCCATTTTCATTTGTTTCAAGAAGTGTTTAAATTTCCTTCTTAATTTCTTCATTGATCCATTGGCCATAATTTAATTCAGAAACTATACAAACACATAGAAATTAAACAACATGCTCCTGAATGAGTTTCCTCTTATTGTTGATTTCTGGTTTTATTCCATTGTGGTCAGAAAAGATACTTGATATGATTTCTACTTTTTTGCATTTGTTCAGACTTGTTTTATGGCCTAAGATATGGTCTATTCTTAAGAATGTTCTGTGTGCTAATGAAAAGAATGTGTATTCCACAGCAGGTAGGTAACATATTCTGTGAATGTCAGTTAGACCTATTAGGTCTTGTGTGTAGTTTAACTCTGCTATTTCTTTGTTAGTTTTCTGTCTGGAAGATCCATTCATTACTGAGAGTGAAGTATTAAAGTCCCTTGTTACTATTGTATTTCAGTCTGTCTCTCCCTTGAGATCTATTAATGTTTGCTTTATATACTTGGGAGCTCCAGCGTTGGGTTGCATATATATTTGTAATTGTTATATCCTCTTGCTGGATTGACCCCTTTATAATTATATAGTGACCTTCTTTGTCCCTTTTTACAGTCTTTGATTTGTAGTCTATTTTATCTAAGTATACCTCCTCCTGGTCTTCTTTTGGTTTCCAGTTGCATGGAGCATCTTTTTTTACCCCTTCCCATTCTGTCTATATATGTCTTTATAGGTGAAGTGGGTTCTTGTAGGCAGTACATATTTAGGTCTTTTTTAAAAAAAAATCTACTCTGCTGTTCTATGCCTTTTAATTGGAGAATTGAGACCATTTATATTCAGTGTTATTATTGATAAGCAAGGACTTACTATTGTCATTTCGTTGCTTATTTTCTGATTGTTTTGTAACTCCTTGCTTCTTTTCTTACTGTCTTCCTTTGTGGTTAAGAGATTTTCTCTGGTAGTATGTTTTAATTTGTTGCTTTTTATTTTTAGTGAATCTATTACAGGTTTTTGCATTGTGGTTACCATGAGGCTTACAAGAAATATAGATATAAAAAGTTATTTTAAAGAGATCATAACTTATCTTGGATCATAAAGAATAGAAACAAAAAAATGAAAAAAACTATGCTTTAACTCCATCCCTTCCACATTTGACTTTTAGTTATCTCATTTACACATTTTTATATTACCTATCTCTTAACAGGTTGCAGTAGCTTTTTTATATAGATTTGTCTTTGGGGCTTCGTACTACAGTTATGAGTAGATTGCACACCACAATTACAGTATTAGAGTATTCTGGGTTTGTCCATGTATTTAATTTTACCAGCGGGTTTTATACCTTCGAATGTTGTTGTTTCTGCATGTTAACTTTTTTTTCAGATTGAAAAACTCCCTTTAGCATTTTTTAAGAGACAGGTCTGGTGGTAGTGAATTTTCTCAGCTTTCGTTTGTCTAGAAAGGTCTTTATCTCTCCTTCATTCGTTTTTTATTTTGTTAGTTTTTTTGTGGTATAATATTCATAATATAAAATTCTAATTTTAACAATTATTAACTATTCACTTCAGTGGCATCATATGCATGAACAATGTTGCAAAAATGTTATTATTTATTTTTAGAACTTTTTCATCATCCCAAACAAAAACTCTTTTTTTCCCTCTCTTTTTCATATTTGAAGAATAACTTTGCTGAATACGGTACTCTTGGATAGCAGTTTTTTTTTCTTTTAGCACTTTGAAAATGTCGTTTCACTCCCTCTTGGCCTGTATGGTTTTCACTGAGAAGTCTGTTGCCAGACAAACTGGAGCTCCTTTATATGTTATTTGCTTTTCTTTTGCTGCTTTTAGAATTTTCTGTTGTCCTTGACATTTGAGAGTTTGATTATTATGTGCCTTGGGGTAGTTTTATCTGGGTCAAACCTGTTCTGTATTCCCTGAGCTTCCTGTATCTGAATATTTATGTCTTTCTCAAGTTTGGAAAGTTTCTGTTATTATTTCTTTGAATAAGCTTTCTAACCTTTGCTATTGTTCAACTTCCCCTTCATCACCAATAATTCTTAGATTTGGCCTTTTGAGGTAGTTTTCTGTATCTTGTAGGCAATCATTGCTTTTCATTCTTTTTTCTCCTTTGTCTGTGTGTTTTCAAATAGCCTGTATTCAAGTTCACCGAGTGTTTCCTCGACTTGATCTATTCTGCTGTTGAAAGCCTCTAATGAATTTTTCAGTATGACAAATGTATTTCTCAGTTCCAAGATTTCTGTTTTTAAAAAATTATTTCAATATCTTTGTTAAAATCCTCTGATAAATTTCTGAATTGCCTTTCTGTGTCATCTTGGAGATCACTGAATTTCCTTAAAACTGCTATTTTGAATTCATCAGATAGCTCACATATCACCATCTCATTAGGGTCAGTTACTGGTTTCTTTGCTTTGTCTATTTGGAGAGTTCATGTTTCTGTTTGCTGTTGTTTCTTGTGGACCTACATCTATGTCTTTGCATTGGAAGATCGGTTATGTATTTCTCCTCTGTCTGGCTTGTTTTGGTTTTTATTGGATATGTTTGCTTGAAGTTTCTTTACTGCTAGGTCACAGCCTCCTTTTTGGCTCTAGGTGGTGCCTTAAGCCCAGGTTCACTTTGGCTCCAGTAAACGATTATAGCACTGTCCTTTCCAAATAGGGGAGGTCCCAAAGGGGATGCACTGGTAATTTGGGAAGGCTGTCTAGAGGTTTGTGCCCAGGGGACTTGTAGGATGAATCCCCTACAATGTGGCAATGCAGAAAAGCTGCTCTGTTTTGGTGCCTCCTTTGGCTGAGTGAAACAGCATAGTTTCCAGGGCTGTAAATGGCAGTCTTAACTCCCCTCTTTGTCTCTGCCTGTTCTCGGGAATATTTCTCCCTTCAGGTGCTCATGATGCTTCCCATAGGTTAAGGCAAGGAGAGGTCTCCTGACAGGGAAACCAAAATGTTGGAGAAACTGGTTGTCCACCTCAATTTCACTTTTTTGAGGGGGATATCTTTCTGTTTTGTGCTGGGAAGAATGGAAGGAGGGGTACTGCAGATGTGGAAGTCTGAGTATATTACCATCTGCTTAAAGTTTATTTATTTTTATTTTTTTAACTTCGCTGTGGCCCCAGAAACTCTCTCATGTTGATATTTTGGCTCTGGGATATTTCTGGTTATGATCTCAGAGCTGTATATTTGTTTTTGGTTTTCTGTTGGGGAGAGTGAAGCAAGCTTGTTTCTACATTACCATTTTGGAATCAAAAGCTGAAATACCCTTTAATCTTGTATTGAAAATACAGCTTTTACGTGGATGCAGGACTGCTATAAGAAAGGCATACCCATAGACTCTAATATGATTAGTGAAAAAACAAAGTCCTTACATAACAAAGCATAAGGAAGGTGAAGGAACTAAAGCTGGAGCATTTAATGCCAGCGAAGTATGGTTTGATAATTTTAGAAAGAGATTTGCCTTTAAAAATGTCAATATAAGAGAATAAGCAGCCCTTACCAACCAAGAGGCAGCAGATAAATTCCTGGACACTGTTAAGAAAATCATTGAGGGCTAAGTGCAGTGGCTCACACCTATAATTCCAGCACTTTGGGAGGCCAATGTAGGCAGATCACATGAGGCCAGGAATTCGAGACCAGCCTGCCCAACATGGTGAAACCCCAACTGTACTGAAAATACGCACACACAAAAAAATTAGCCAGGCATGGTGGTGTGTGCCTGTAATCCCAGCTACTTGAGAAGATGAGGCAAAAAAATCACTCGAACCAGGAGGCGGAGGTTGCAGTGAGCCAACTCGTGCCATGGCACTCTAGCCTGGGTGACACAGAAAGACTCTATCTCAAAAAAAAAAAAAAAAATCATTGAGGAGAAAGAATATCTACCTGAACAAGTTTTCAGTGCAGATGAGATTGTGGATATGGCAAAAAAAAAAAAAAAAAAAAAATGGAGGGAAGTTGAAGGTTTTCAAGATGATCCTGGAGAAATTTAAGAGCTAACAAACACCTCACCAAAGACAGCAGAAGACAACTTGATGGAGATGAGTGATTTCAAACCAGTGCCAGGTGATGAAGACGATGTATGGAAAGCAGTTCCAGAAAGCAAATTGACATTAGACAATCTAGCAGAGTGGTTCTGATCATTCATGACTGCTTTTGACTTTTTTTCTAACATGGACCCTACTAAGATATAGACACTGAAACTAAATCAAATGGTGAAAGAAGGATCAGTACCATATAGAAAATTTTTAGAGAAATGAAAAAGCAAAAATCAAATAGAAATTATAATGTATTGCTGTAAAGTTACACTGAGTGTACCTGGTTATTCCACCTTCTCTTCCACCTTCTCCATCTTTTCTGCCTCTGCCACCCATGAGACAGCAAGACCAACCCCTCTTCTTCCTCTTCCTCCTAAGCCTACTCAACATGAAGATGATGAGGGTGAAGATCTTTATGATAATCTACTTCCGTTTAATGAGTAGTAAATATACTTTCTCTTCCTGATGATTTCTTTAATAGCATTTTTTCTCTAGCTCACTTTATTGTAAGAATACAATATATAGAAAATATACAAAATATGTGCTAATCAACTATGTCATTGATAAGTCTTCTGGTCAACAGTAGGCTATTAGTAATTGAGTTTTTGGGAAGACAAAAAGTTATGCACAGATTTTTGACTCTGCAAGGGGTTAGCACCCCAACCCCTGCATTGTTCAAGGCTCAACTGTAAAATAACATGTGATTGTGAAGGGTTTTTATTAACAATTTTAGGCATTGTTGTCATGTAATGGAGATGTTTGAGGGCCACAGGGAGAACCGCTAGAACTTTCCAAATCATGCCAATTAAGTGCCCACTTGGTCACACGGTTATTGATTTTTACCTTAGTGTAAGAGCACTTACTCCCTTGTTACCTTAAATTCCTTTTGCCACCCATCTGGTTCTCCAGTTTCTAATTAAAATTTGGAAGTTTCATGAAAATTCGGCAGGAACAGTTTTTATGAAATGTTCGCTACAGTGGAGCAGATTGTGCTGCTCATCCGAGGCAGCTCTCAAACTAATTTAACTCTCAGCTCTGTAGACTTCATACAGAAAGGCAGGGGAAGCAAAAATGGAGCTGTGATGAATGATGCCAGTTGAAATGCCTCATGCTTCTGACTCATTTCAGAACCATTATCATCTCGATAGAAACATCCCCTCTACCCTCCATATTTTTGCGAGGAAACGTTACTAGAAAAGCAAGGTCCAGAGAGAAGCAATGCATTAATGTTGTGATTAGGCTTAAAGATAAAGCAGCACTGGACATCCAGAGTTGTCTTGGTCACTGGATCAAAGGGAAGAAATAGCATTTGAAGATATGGGAAGGGAAAAGTCTACATACCTAAAGCAGGGCTGACATCATATGATGATAAATAGCTGTTACTTACTAAATATTTACTCTGTGCCTGACACCGTGATTATAAATAAATGTTCTCGTTTGATTCTCAGAATTGCTGAATTAGTCAGGTGAGGCTAACAGCCATAACAAACACCCTCAAATCTCAGTGGCTTGATATTTTAAAGGCTGATTTTTACCCATGGCACAGTATGGGCAGAAGGCGGGGGAGGGATTCAGGTTCCTTCCTGAATAAACTCACCCTCCCCAGGACCTTGAAGTTCTTCACTGGATCTTCTGCATCTCACTGGCAGATGAGGGTAGAGGGAGCAAGTTCACATGGCAGGGACCCCATGGGAGGGTTCTTAAGATCTAGGCCTGGATATAGCATGCATCACTCCTGCCAACATTCCATTGGATAGAATGCAATCACATGGCCTGCCTAGCTGCAAGAAAGGTTGGGAAAAGTGCACAACGACTATGACCAGGAGGAAAAAGAAAGTGTGAGGAACACATAGTCTCTGACCTAAGTACTTATCATTACCCCCATATTACAGATGAAGCTGAGTTTTAGACAGGTAAAGCAACTTGCCCAATAGCACATAGCAAGTAAATGGTAGAATCAGGATAGGTTTTTGGCATGGTAAGTTCTTGGAAGAGCCCAAGAACCTGACTACAAGTTATTGAGCTTTGCAAGTAGAGCAGAAACTGTCACATTTACGGAGCACGTTCTACAAACCTGGGCATTTTTTTTTTGAATTTGTGGACATTACAGTGAAATATGTAGACATTATAGTTTTCAACACTACGATGGAAAGACAATAGTGGGAACAGGGTGAGGACAAGGTAATCTAAAGGTGATACCTCTTTAAGTACTTGATTCCCCGCAAAGGTTCAGGTCTGGTCCCCTGGCTTGCTCCCCAGGTGTTAGATGATAGAACTGAGCTCATCTTTTGCTGCACGCAAGCATGCACCCTTAACCACTGCAGACTCTCTCAAAGATTTATTTAAGATTCCCTTGTTTAACAGCACCTACTTTGATATGGCTACAGGGGAACCTACCACATTTTAGACTTAGGTGCAAAGCATTAGATCTTATCCCACCACTTCCTTGTCTCACAGAGCAGTGGTAGTCCCAGTGTGTCACCTGAGGCCTAAGGTGATGAATTTATTTCCCTACGCTGTGTTCAGGCCATGTAGAACTATCAATATCCACATAAACTCACCATGTTCTCTTGACTCCCGGCCTTTGTACTCATTGTTCCCTCAGCCCCAATGAGTCTAGAATCACTGGTGTGGACCTAGATGTCGGCAATTTTCTTTAGCTACTCAGGTGGTTCTATTTTATGGCCAGGGTTGAAATCCAATGACAAGATCAGTCTAAGCCAATCGTGGCCAGTCACATTCTCCTTGGCCAGATCAGTGAATGAACATACTCCTTATCAATCAACATAGATAGGATTTTGGGAAGTCAATTCTCATGATATGATCACTATCAGTTCTCTGATTGTCATAGACTATCTTGAGTGTATTTTCAAGGCCCCCTTGTATTAGTCATTTCTCACACTGCTATAAAGAAAAACCTGACACTGGGTAATTTATAAAGAAAAGAGGTTAAATTGGCTCACAGTTCTGAAGGCTATACAAGAAGCATGGCAGCATCTGCTTCAGGGAAGGCCTCATGGAGCTTTTACTCATGGCAGAATGCAAAGTGGGAGCAGGCTTCTAACATGGCAGGAACAGGACCAAGAAAGAGAAGAGAGAGGTGCTACATGCTTTTAAACAACCAGATCTCATGATAACTCACTCACCTGCTATCACAAGAACAGGACCGAGGAGATGCTGCTAACCCATTCATGAGAATTCTGCCACCATGATCCAATCACCTCCCATCAGGCACCACCTCCAACAATGGGGATTACAATATGACATGAGATTTGGTGGGGACACAGATCAAAACCATATCACTCCTATAACACTTTCAGCTTGTTCCTATCATAGAATTCTTCCTTGTTATGCAATAGGCCAGCCTGGGAGATGCTGCCCTAATGATTTGGAAGACTGTCTACTCCTATGTGCCACTGTAGCTCAGTAGGGCACCCTAGGGCCACCGCCACTCTGCAGAACACTGAAGTGGTGACAGTGGGTTCTAGTTCTCTGCACCAAGTCTAAAATGTGGTAGAAAGGGGAACTTTCAAAGCATTTTGTACACGTTGTGAGGAAAGAATGATTGCCGCTTTAAATCTTGACTCCTCTGTACACCACTTGGCCCTCAATATAAAATCTGTAAATAGCCCTGCCTTTCTACGTCTCCCAGCTCCCCACCCTGCATGGATTCTGTGTCCAGACAAGTGAAGGTTTCTTGTGGCTGACCCTGAGTTTCCTGCTACTCTGCCTTTGGTCACACTGTTTGCTTTCCTAGTATGCTCATCTCTTCCCCTTCCCAAACTCCTCAAATGTTACCACCTTAAACTAAAGCTAAGGGTTTCTAGGTTCTCCAGCGGAGAGTGGAGTCAAGAAAAGGGTTCTAGGAAAATTTCAGGGTGTGGATGCTGCATCTGTTGATCCAGCCACCTAGGCACTATAGATGTACCTTAGGCACAAAGTGGCTCTGTGTGTGTAAACTGGAAGGTCGGCACCCCACAGGTGCTGTGACATCAGAAGCTCAGACCTGATTAGTGCAGTTGTTCCAAGGGTGGGCACAGTCCTGGAGCAAGAGAGAAAAAGAGAGAGGGAGGGAGAGACAGAGATAGACACACACACACAGAGAGAGAGAGAGACCATTTATCACCTAAAAATCTCTAAGAATCTTTTAGGACTGTCAATAGTTATCTGTCTTGATACTGTAGTAATATTAAAACAAATAGGGTCTCATTCTAGATAACTGAACTTTATGGTTTTTGCACTGATGTAAAGCAACACAAACAGCAGACAACAGAGCCCTTTGGTGGACTCACCAGACTTTCTGGTTTCTTCTATGAGGTAATATTAACTAATTAACAATGAATAAGTTAATCACTTTGGACTATCTGCTCCTGGTACTTCTATCAGGGTACTTCATGGGAA
This sequence comes from Homo sapiens, assembly GCF_000001405.40. NCBI lineage: Eukaryota > Metazoa > Chordata > Mammalia > Primates > Hominidae > Homo > Homo sapiens. The sequence goes on along the minus strand of NC_000010.11, from coordinate 93,727,739 downwards.
AAGTACCCTATAGGAGTAGGATAGGTTCCCCTGATCAATAAGATGAACTTCAGTTATTATGGTTTGAGCACCATATTAGTCTGTTTTCACGCTACTGATAAAGACATACCCGAGACTGGGTAATTTATAAAGAAAAAGAGGTTTAATGGACTCATAGTTCCACATGTCTAGGGAGCCCTCACAATCATGGTGGAAGGCAAAAGGCACGTCTTACATGGCAGCAGGCAAGACACAGAATGAGAGCCAAGTGAAAGGGGTTTCCCCTTACAAAACCGTCAGATCTTGTGGCACTTATTCACTACCATGAGAACAGTATGGGGGAAATCGCCCCCATGATTTAATTGTCTCCCACAGGGTCCCTTCCACAACACCTGGAAATTTTGGGAGCTACAATTCAAGATGAGATTTTGGTGGGGACACATCCAAACCACATCAAGCACTAAAACAAATGAGACATTATTTTGCACCAAAGGTAGATGAAGCAGGACATGCCAATCAAATTGATGAAATAAAGCACCTTTAATTTTGTGTCTCATTTACTTCCTCAAATTTCTGATGTACTGAAATGATTCAGTAAGTGCATACTAAGGGCTTGTCATCTGCTGGGCACTCTTGAAAGTGCTGGAGTGTGGCAGGGAACCAGGTAGAATGGTCCCTAACCTCAAGGAGCTTCTGGTCTGTACCTAGAAGCTCTTGCTCTGTTTTCAGAGTCTCTCTTTTGCTGGTATCTGGCTATGATAGAGGGAATTCAAAAGCAGCTTTAAAATGTTTTCTGCAGAAGAACAAAGCAGTAGTTACCAGTATGAGAAGAGGGGAATTGCTACTTTGACACCTACAAATTGAAGGATGGATGCCTTTGTTTCACATCTGTTTTCTCCATGTGAGAAGCAGCCAGCTCCACTGATTGTGTACTGTTGAGGGTGACCACTCCATTTTTCTCTCCTGGAAACATGTAATTTAATGTGAAGCATCTATTGATGAACTGCAAGTATGAAGAATTCTCAGGATAATGTACTTGATTTTCCCCTTGAAATGCAATTCACATTTATTAAGTATCTTTTCTATACAAGGCATGGAGCAAGGTGCTTCATGCACATAATCTCATTTAAGCCTCACAGTTGCCTCTGAGGTAGGTGCATCATTAGCCAGCTTTTATAGACAGGATAAAAGGGAAAAGAGGAAATGGTAGCCCAGGATTCCAAAAAGTGCAAATTCATTTCCAGTGGATGAATACACTTATGATTTTGTTTCTCTTAGATGGGTTATGATAAACATCTTTAATATTAATACCTGCCTTACATTTGCATAATTCTTTCAACTTTTCAAAGCACCTCTTTTATACCTTATTTGATGCTCATGCTAAGCCCTATGCTCCTAACAGTCTCGAACTCCTTGATGGTGTCTCTTTGAGAGCCTAAATCTCTGCAGAGCTGGCTTTTGTTGCATAGCTAAGGTTCAGGACTAAGCTAATAAAAATCTTGCTTCCAGACATCTAATCTGCATCTTCATTTGCAAGGTCTCCTTGGGATGGTGTGACCTGCTGTTTAGTAAGGACATCAGTGCTCTCATACCAGTGATTACTATGGTTACATCTGCCCCAACATTCTCTAAAGCCCTAGATTTTAGAAATATTGGTGTCTTTACTACCTTGTCCTTGTCTGGATCTTCCTGTCATGCCTGAGTTAATGATAGCCAAAGGGAAAGGAATGAAATAAAAAGAAGGAAAAAGACAGCTCTGCGAGCTTGTACACTGAGGTGCATATATTCTCAAAAAAACCAGAAACCAGCCTAAATGAAGAGGGAGGGGATGGTGGCAGATGAAGCATAAAGCAGGTGCTTACTTAATTGCTGCAGCTGGTGCCAAGTGTTTGGCATAATTTTTCTCCTTATTTTCAATTATTGGCACTGTTATTTTACTTTTTAGCTGAAGCATCTGAGAACAGTCTAGGAAGCTTCTCTGCTCCTCTCACTTTTACAGGAAAGCAAGCAGGCATTTTTTTTCCTGAAAATATTGTAAATAAACACAATCCTTGAAATTTTTTCTTGTGCCCCAAAACAACTCATCGACTATAGAAAAGGAAGAGAAATTGGCTGAAATGCAATTTGACGTTTTCATTCTGCCAAAATTACTATGGGTTGAATTTTTAATTTGATTCAGAAGACGATTCAACTCTTCAGCCTCATCTATGTGATTTTGATTTCAGAATAGCATGTCTGAGACCAGAGCTTCCTAAGCTGTTTTCTTTTAAAACACAGATTGTTAAATTCTCCAATTGACATGGCATATTCATTTTGCTATTTGACTTTTTTCTTTTAAGTAGTGAAGGTAAAAGTTGCAAAAATATTGGATGAAAGTCATTTCATGCCCTGTTATTCCACCAATTTTTAAGAAGAGTAAGCGCTGTGCCAAAACCTTATATAGAACAATGTGCAAAAAACAATACAAGGACCCATGAGGAATGCAAAGATAAACAAGATGTAGTCTTTTTCTTTCAGCAGATTTAGTCCTGAAAGGAGAATAAAATGAGTACAAGCAGTAACATAACAGTTTTGAGGGAAGTAACAATGATATGCTAAAAAAAAAACAGCACACGTCTATCAATTACTTTTGATGGCAGATCTAACATAAAGAAAATAAAAATGTTTCATCTTTCTCCCTTTTAAAGTAATTCTGCTTAGAGAATGCTATTTAATCACTGTATTTAAGGTGACATTTGAATTCTGAAGGTTTTATCTCCTATTGACTCTATTCTAGAGAGAGAGAGAGAGAGAGAATACGCATGTGCACAGTTTTGAGCAGAAAAAAATATTTTTATTTTAGAATTTTGTTTCAGATTGCATTTCAGGAAAAGGAAAGGAGAAAAATCGTGCTCCCAGAGGGCATTGGGAAATGTGGGTTACAGTCTTGTTTTCACCTTCAGCCATTTGTGTTTCTGGGTTCCTGAGTGCTTAGGCTGGGTTACTCCAAGTTTCCTTTCAGTCTTCATAGTCTGAGTGTGATGCCTCGCATCTTGTCCTGAATGAATCCAGTGGCTTTCCCATAGGGAGCAAAGGAAACTGAAGGCTTGAGGGAGTATCCAAGGTGCCAGGAGGTGTAGGGAAGAAAGAATGGTACTACTGGATGAGACACTCTTGGGCCTCTCGGTTTTCTTAACTTCCTATTTAAATACTTCATCATTTGTAGAAAGCCTTAAGTTCAGAGCCATTCACAATTTATACTGGGTCTGATTCCTTTTCATTCCCACTGTAGCATTGGCTTTTAAGAATGTAGAAGCATGGCCTAGCCAAAATATATATATATATGATTTACAGGCTAGTTAGAGTTTGTGCTGAGCTGTGTCTGCAAATAAGCCTTTAAGGTAAATGAAAGAAGTTCTAAAGAACCTGAAAAGGAAATGGGAGAGAGTGTGATGTGACAGTGAGGAATGTCATTTTTCTCTGTGGTTCTTTCCTGTCTAATTTCACAGCCAGCAACCTGGTCCAGGCTCTAATTAACCACATGTCCATAGGCTGCTGCTGATGCTCTAACAATATCCAGTCTTCAGACTGTTCCTGTCCAGTTTACACATCATTGTCCTTCCTCAAACACTCCCTTCACCATGGTGCTTCCCTAGGCAGTGATTTATTATGAGTCCTTGTTACCTGGTACAACTCATCTCTTTTGTTTATTTACTTATTTATTTATTATGATTACATATATTTAAAGTATACAACATGGTGTTTTGATATACATAGAGCTAGTGAAATGATTACTGCAGTCAGGCAAATTTACACATCCACCACCTTGCATGGTTACCTTTTTGTGTGTATTTGTGGCAGAAGCTTCTAAAATCTATATTAACAAATTTTTAGCATACAAAACAATATTATTAAACTCTAGTCCTCATGCAGTCCTTTAGATCTCTAGACTTATTCCTCCTACCTAACAGCAAGTTTATACCCTTTGACCTACATGTCTCCATTTTCTCCCAATCTCTGCCCCTAGTAACGACCGTTCTACTCTCTATTTCTATGTATTGGACTTTTTAAATATCCTACATACAAGTGAGATCATGCCATATTTTTCTTTCTGTGTCTGGCTTATTTCACTGAGCGTAGTGTCTGTAGGTTTATAAGTGTCACAAATGGGGATATCTCCTTTTTTTTTTAAGGTTGAATAATACTTCATTGTATACACAAGAATTGTACCACACTTTCTTTATCCGTTCATCCACTGATGGACAGTTAGGTTGTTTCCATATCTTGGCTATTTTGTGAATAATGCTGCAGTGAACATGGGAGTGCAGATTTAGCACTATGAGGTGCTAATTTCATTTCCTTTGGGTATATACCCAAAAGAGGAATTGGTGGATCATATGGTAGTTCTATTTTTAAGTTTTTGAGGAATCTCCATACTGCTTTCCATAATGGTTATACAAATTTACATTCCCATCAGCAGTGTGTGAAGGTTCCCTTTTCTCTACACTTTTTCTAACACTTGCTATCTCTTGTCTTTTTGATAATAACCATTTTAATATGTGTGAGGTGGTAACTTACTGTGGTTTTGACTTGCTCATCTCAAATCTTTAGCCCAGGGTTCGAGGTCCTTCATCCAGGAAGCATGGTATTAAAAATAGGAGACTGAGCTTTAGTTTTGGCCTTTGCAGCTTTAAAGCTGTATGATTTTGGGCAAGTTGTTGAACTTGAACTTCCCTTGCCTTCATTTTCCTCTTCTGTAAAATGACTTGGAATTGAGTTCTCCAACTCTAAGTGATCTCCTGGAACTGCTGGTCAAACATGGCCATCTTGGTATCACATTTCCCAGGAGTGCCCAGACTCAAATAAGCTGGCCTGTGGTCCTATTAGCACCTACCAGAAACTTGGCAGACCTTGGGTCCCAAGTTTTGATTTTAAAAATGTGGTCCCCATAGGTTTCCAAGGCTACTTCCTGTTCTTCTCCAAGGCTCCAGACAAGTCAATGGCCTCAGGGGCTCTGAACAAACCTAGCTGCTTCCATCCTATTTGTTCTGGCTGAGTCATTGCCCAGCAACCTGGAGTCCCTTACATTTACCCCATGGCTATCAACTCCCATGATGGTAACTTCAAAAGCCATATTGTTGGCCCCAGTGACCTTTGCCAATCTATTGATTTATTTTAAAGCTCCAATTGTTCCCCCAAGAGTATTTATTTTATTTTTATTTTATTTTTTATTTTTTGAGACAGGGTCTCACTCTGTCACCCAGGCTGGAGTTCATGGCTCACTGCAGTTTCAACCTCCTGGGCTCAGGTGATCCTCCCACCGCAGCATCCTGAGTTGCTGGGACTACAGGCGCCCACCACCATGCCTGGCTAATTTTTGTATTTTTTCTAGAGATGAGGTTTTGCCATGTTGCCCAGGCTGGTCTCAAACTCCTGGGCTCGGCTGAGCACGATGGCTCACTCCTGTAATCCCAGCTCTTTGAGAGGCCGAGGCAGGTGGATCACCTGAGGTCAGGAGTTCGAGGCCAGCCTGTCCAACACGGTGGAAACCCGTCCGTACTAAAAATACAAAAAAAAAAAAAATAGCTGGGTGTGGTGGTGGGCGCCTGTAATCCCAGTTACTTGGGAGGCTGAGGCAGCACAATCACTTGAACCTGGGAGGCAGAGGTTGCAGTGAGCCAAGACTGCGCCATTGCTCTCCAGCCTGGGCAACAAGAAAGAAACTCCGTCTCAAAAAAAAAACAAAAACTAAAACAAAAAAAAGAAACACAACACCTGGACTCGAATGATCTACCTCCTTCGGCCTCCCAAAGTGCTAAGATTACAGGTATAAGCCACTGTGCCTGGTTCTAAGAGTACTTTTTTTTACAACATGATTTTCATCATATACATGCATTCTATTATAGGCTATTTTTTTCATTCAACATTATATCATAGATACTTTCTCTCATTGTCCCATGTCTGGGCACTCCTGGGAAATGTGATACCAAGATGGCCATGTTTGGCCAGCAGTTCCAGGAGATCACTTAGAGTTGAATTCTTGGTATTGTATTAACTTTTCACCTAATGTTGGACATTAAAGTGTTCAGTCTTTCATTATTATAAATATCCCACTATATATAGCCTTTAGAATTATTTTTCTAGTTGAGACTCAGATGTTATCGTTAGATATAACTTTCTTATTTTTTATGTCATGCTGTAGTTTGGCGATCCTCCTTGTGTCCCTAGCTAATTCTTAGGCACTCCTTTACAGCCGGTGTCCCCAGCCTCAGGCTCCCCTGCTACCCTAACATTCAGCAGATGGCCTTGCCTAGGGCACTACATAATTTTGTCTCAAAGATCCTGCCTCTACAACTATTTCCTGATTTAGTAGTTCTCAAAGTTTAGGTGCATCAGAAACACCTGAAGGGCTTGTTAAAACAAGCCCTTTTTGCTGGACTCTCCTCCAGAGTTTCTGATGCATTGTGTCTGGGGTGCAGGCCAGAAATATTCATTTCTAACCGATTCCATGGTGATGCCCACGCAAGGACCAAACTTGGTGAACAACTGCTCTAATTCTTTCATCTGATCTCAGGGGAAACGGTTTAGATTCTCTGACTCCACCCCATGACCTGTCCTCTGAACCTCTTTCCCATCTTCACTGGGACCAAGCTATCACTCCTAACCTGTTTCCTTTCAGTGGCTTCAATACCTGCACCTTGAAACCCTCCCTTACTCCATCCTTCAAGGACTCTCTTATCACTGCTGTCTCAATTAACCTTTCACTTTCCAACATTACCCAACTCTAACCACTAACCCAAAAATCTTTCCTCCTGCTGTGGGTTTTTCTGAACTTGAACTTGTGACCTTCGCCTGCTGCTTCAGCGTCTTACCCACGTATTTCCTTTTTAATTTCCAGAAATTTCCCAAGGATGCTCTATTGAAATTATCTGGAAAGTTAAAAATGACCCCCTTCTTCCCAAAATCAACGGCCTTTCCTTATTATGTAATAATAGCAGTCAATATTAATTGACTTCCAATTGTGTTCCAGGAATTGTGCTAAACATTATATAGATAGAAACAGAAGTATCTCATGTGAAGATTATTCTTATGTCAATCTTATGAGGTAGATATTATTTTAGAGATGGAAAAAACTAGGTTCAGAGATGTGAAATAATTTGCCCAACAGACCAAGTGAAGGAGCCAGGATTGGACTCAGCTCTGCTTCCACATCCCTTGTGTTTAAACACTTCCAGAATAAGCACAGACTCCCTAAGCACCTATTAAACTGCCAATTCCAAGCTCCAGTGCCAGAGACGCTGACCCAGGTGTGCCCAGAACCTAGGAATCTGAATTATTAATAGTCCCCCTAATGATTCTGATATGTGTGATCCCAGAACCACACACGTTTTGAGGAATGGTCCCACTGTATTGACATAATTGGCCACTTCCTCTCCTTAAAGACTTCCCTCCGTTGCTATGATATAGCTTTTATTTTATTTATTTTTTGTCCCTTGGGCTCTCTGATTCTGTTGTTCTCCATCTCATTCGCTCTCTCTCTCCTGCCCATATCACTGCCCCCCAGAGTCTGTGCTCTGCCTGCTCCTCCCTCTGCTGTCTGTCCCCTGAAGCCCATCCTCTTGCTGTGCTCCAACTCAGGCAGATGGTCCCCAACCTTGTCCTTCTAGTGCCAACCTCCTGGCAAACGCCATGGAGCAGCATGAAATAATTTTGGAACGGTGAAGAGCTACAGCCCAGGCCCTGGACAAAACTGTGAGACAGGTGACATTGATCCTGGTGCCCCATCACCCCACTGTGCCCTTGGTCTTTCCTCTTGCTCATAAGATCTCTGTGCCTTGCAGTTTTCTAATCAAATCAGTTCAGCAAAAGAGCTGATCATTTTACGCTCTCATTCTAATGTGTTAACTCTCCCAGTCATTTGCATTTTTAAAGCCTTTTATCTCTCTTTGTGGGTTCAACTGTTGTTCCTGTATTGAAGAGTTTTCAGGCTTCATTTAGCAGATAGTGGGAATTTAGAGGGAAATCAGGACTGAAGAGGAAGGAGGAAGGTGAGCAGGTTTGGAAGGGGACCCTTTCTTCCCCTTGAAATGTTTTGAAGTTTAGAGCCAAGAGCAGAGAATAACAGTGCTGGGAGGGCAGAACTTGGCCTCTCTTGCCTCCTGCACATCCCAACGCCCTGAGCAGGAGCAAGCCATAACTGGGTTGCTGCAGACCTGTCCCTAGAGGCGCAGAAGGTGAGGACAGACTGGAGAGCTGGTGGCTCTGCTGGCTTCCTGCCACCCTACGCTCGGCGTGGCTGACCTCTTCCTCTTTCAAGTATCAGCTTAAATGTTCTCTCTTCCAAGCAGCCAGTCCTGATCACCATGCTTATGGGGGCCCTTCTTGGTGATTCTCTGCGTTTGGTAGTTTTCCTTCATTTCATTGATCATTGTTTATAATTATTTTATTTACTAGTTCTTCCTGTCTCCATTTGTAGAGTAAGGCTAAAGAGGGCAGAGACCATGTCTGCGTGTTCCCTCTGTGCTCATAGCACAATGCTAGTTCATAGCATATACTGAGAATTTGTAGTAGGAATGGCTGGAGAGTTACACCTCCACCACCAGGCGCTTAAGAAATAGTTCTTGAGCTTAACTCAACTCCCCTAGTAGCTATCCTGGTGCTGAAAGACTTGAGGCAATCAGAGAGCATTGTGTTCACCCCACTGTTGGGATGAAGTGGGGAGTGCAGGGAGGTGGCATCAAGAAAAGTTAGGGAAGACTTTGAAGTAGGCAAAAAGATTACTGGGTGTCCTGTCTGGAACTCTGTTGAGTTTACATTTTTATGTCTTTGAGCTATTTTACAACTTTGCACATTTTAGAAAACTGACAGTAATACAAATAATTCTTGCCCATGGAGATGCAAATGAATTTTTTTCTAGTGGAGGTGCAATTGATAATTGCCCTGTGGATATTGACCAGCTTTGCATCTATTCGTACATCCATTTTCACTTTCCTGATTGCCTATATACGTGTGTGCTTGAATTTTCCTTTGAACTGGTTGTAACTTCATACTGGTTCCCTCATTAATTAGTAAAATAAAATTTCTGACCCAGGTTAATTTTATATTTATACACAAGTCACAGTTTTTAAAAAATTGTTTTTGGCTGGGTGTGGTGGCTCACACCTGTAATTCCAGCATCCTGAGAGGCCGCTTGAGCCTGGAAGTTCAAGGCCAGCCTGGACAAACTAGGGAGACCCCATCTTTACAAAAAATAAAAAATTACCTATGTGCAGTGGCTCACGCCTGTAATCCCAGCTACTCAGGAGGTTGAGGTGGGAGGATCGCTTGAGCCCAGGAGCTAGAGGCTGCAGTCATCCGTGATCATGCCACCGCACTCCAGGCTGGGTAACAGAGTGAAACCTAGTCTCAAAAAAAAATAAATTATTTTTTTAATTGGACTGTATCAAAATCAAGAAGTTTTGTGCATCAAAGGATATTATCAAGAAAGTAAAAAAAACAACTTACAGAATGGGAGAAAATATTTGCAAATTATATCTAGAATATATATATCTACAATATGTAAATGTTATGATTTAAATGTGTGTGGCCCTCCAAAATTCATACATTGAATCCTAATCACCAAGGTAATGGTATCAGAAGATGGGTCTCTAACTGAGTACCCTCATTTTTCTAAGAGATAGTTTAATTATTGTTTTCTCTCTCTTCTTGTCTCTTTCTCCTTTTCCCCACTTCCTTCACTCTGTCACCCAGGCTGGAGTGCAGTGACACAGTCTTGGTTCACTGCAACCTCTGCTTCCCGGGTTCAAGTGATTCTCCTGTTAACCCCTTTCCTCTTTCTTCTTTTTCTCTTTTGGAATGGGAGTGTCTATCCTATGCCTGTCCCACCATAATATTTTGAAAACAAGTAACTTGTTTGCTGGAGGGGGATTTGCCTCAGGATGAATTGTACCTTGAGTCTTACCCATATCTGATTTAGATGATTTTTAGGTGAGACTTCTGACTTTTGAGGTGATGCTAGAATGAGTTAAGACTTTTGGGGCTATTGGGATGAAATGAATGTATTTTGTATGTGAAAAGGACATGCATTTTGGTGGGCTAGTGGTGGAATGCTATAGTTTGAATGTATGTGTGTCTCTCCAAAATTCCTATGTTGAAACTTAGTGAACAAAGTTACAACATTAAAAGGTGGGGCCTCTGGCAGATGACTAGCGCATGAGATCCCTGCCCTCATGAATGGGATAACGCTCTATAAAGGAGGCTTCAGAGAGCTTCCTTCTGCTTCTGCTCTTCTGTCACTTGAGGATGCAGCAAGGTGTCACTTTGGAAGCAAAGAGCAAGTCCTTATCAGACACTGACTCTGCTGGCCCCTTGATTTTGAACTTCACAACCTTCAGAATTGTGAGAAATAAATTTCTATTACTTATAAATTACCTAGTCTGTGGTACCTTGTTATAGAAGGAACAGACTAAGACAATAAAGAACTAAAACTCAACAACAAAGCAAAGAACCCAATTCAAATATGGGCAAAGGACTTGAATACTCATTTCTCTGAAGAGGATATACAAATGGCCAATGAGCACATGAAAAGACTCTCATTAGTTGTTGGGGAAATGCAAATCAAAACTACAGTGAGATACCACTTCACAACTACTAATATAGCTACAATAATAATTTTTAAAAGGAAAATAATAGGTGTTAGTAAGGATGTAGAAAATGTGAGAATGTAAAATGGTGCTGCTGCTGTGGAAAGGAGTCTGGTGGTTTCTCAAAAGGTTAAATCTAAAACTCCCACATGACTCAGCAATGCTACTCCTAGGTATCTATGCAAAAGAAAGCAGAGACTTGAACAGATAAGTTGTACACCAATGTTTATATAAGCATTATTCACAATAGCCAAAAGGTAGAAACAACACAAGTGATGTAGTTTGGATCTGTTTCCCCACCCAAATCTCACGTTGGAAATGTAACCCCCACTGCTGGAGGTGGGGCCTGGTGGGAGGTAATTGGCTCATGGGCAGTTTCTAATGGTTTAGTACCATCCCCCAGTGCTGTTGTCATGATATCTGATTGTTTAAAAGTGTGCAGTGCCCCCCTACTTCCTCCTGCTCCCACCATGTGAGACACCTTGCTCCTGCTTTGCCTTTCACCATGATTGTAAGTTTCCTGAGGCCTCCCTAGAAGCCAAGCAGATGGTCAGCATCATGCTTCCTGTACAGCCTGTGAAACTGTCAGCCAATTAAACTTTTTTTCTTTATAAATTACTCAGTCTCAGGTATTTCTTTATAGCAATGTGAGAACAGACTAATACACCAATGTTAGTCAACAGATGAATTGGATAAACAAAATGTAGTATATACAGGCCAGGCACCGTGGCTCATGCTGGTAATCCCAGCACTTTGGGAGGCTGAGGTGAGAGGATCGCTTGAGGCCAGGAGTTCAAGACCAGCCCGGGCAACACAGGGAGACCGTGTCTCCACCAAAAAAAAAACTTTTTTTAATTAGCCAGGTGCAGTGGTATGTGCCTGTAGTCCCAGCTACTGAGAAGACTGAGGTGGGAGGATCGCTTGAGCCCAGGAGCTCAAGGCTGCAGTGAGCCACGATCATGCCACTGCACTCCAGCCTGGGCAAAAGAGTGAGATTTTGTCTCAGAAAAAAAAATGTAGTATATACATGTAGTGGAATATATTCTGCCATTATAAGGAATAAAGCGTTGATATACAGTGCAACATGTATGGACTTTGAAAACATATGCTTAGTGAGATAAGCTACGCACAGAAGGACAAATACTGTATGATTCCACTTATGTGAAGTACCTAAAATAGGCAAATTCATTGAGACAGGAAGTAGAATATAGGTTACCAGGACTGGTGGAAGGTAGAATGAGGAGTTATAATTTAATGGGTCCAGAGATTTTTGGGGTGGATGATGAAAAACTTTGGATATAGATAGTGGTGATAGTAACACAACATTGTGAAAATAATTAATGCCACCGAATTGTCCATTTACAAGTTATTTAAATGATAAATTTTATGTTACATATGTATATATATATTTAACCACAATTTTAAAAACCATCTTTTAATGTAGAGAGAAACCATGGCCAGAATATGCTCTCGATGGCAACATGATTGAGGATCTGAAAGTCTTGTGGCGTAGTTCACATTCAGCTCACTTACAAGCTGTGTGACGTGAATAAGGTAGAATTGACTAAGTTGGGGCATCAGTGACTGAAAGGGAGGAGACAAAGGGAATTTCTAGGTTTCTGGCTTGAGCACCAGGGTGGATTGTGATGACGAGAGACTGGCAGAGGAAGTGTTACCAACCAAAATTGGGTCCACTCGGCCAGGGCAGCAAAGCCAAACACTGACAATGAGATTTGCAGCAAGAAAAAAAAGACATTTATTGCAGCACACCAAGCAAGGAGAAGTGGACAGCTAATGGTTAAGACCTGAGCTCCCAGATGACTTACAAGCAAGGCTTTTTACAGGCAAGGGTACATTTCAGGAAAGTAGAAGTTATGGGCAAAATCATACATACCTGGAGGTTAGACATTCATTTGGACCCAAAAGTGTGATATCTTCAAGCAAGAGCTTACAGGTCATAGGTGGATTCAGAGATTCCTTGATTTGCAACTGGTAAAAAAAAAAAAGCAAGGCTTTACCTAAAACCTTGGGGCCAGCAGAAAGGAATGTTAAGTTTTGGCCTGTAGGTGTGATGCTCTTCAGGCCCCTGAGGATGAAAATTAGAACAAAGAATGGCAGTCAGAGTATAGTCCTCAGTTTCCCCTTATCCAAGATCTACAGGAGGGGAGTCAGCATTTTCTATCTGATGGGGCTCCAGGTTTCTGAAAAACAATTCAAGGTGCTATCTTTAGTTTCTATAGGGAATGAAACATTTTGTGAGTCTGGCTTACTTGGATGGCTTTTTTTTTTTTTTTGAGACAGAGTCTTGCTCTGTTGCCAGGCTAGAGTGCAGTGGCAGGATCTTGCCTCACTGCAGCCTCCATCTCCCGGGTTCAAGTGATTCTCCTGCCTTAGCCTCCCAAGTAGCTGGGACTATAGGCCCCCACTACCACGCCCAGCTAATTTTTGTATTTTTAGTAGAGACGGGGTTTCACCATGTTGGCCAGGAGAGTCTCGATGTCTTGACCTCGTGATCTGCCCGCCTCGGCCTCCCAAATGCTGGGATTACAGGCGTGAGCCACCGCGCCTGGCCTGGATGACTATTGTTTAAGTTATTATTACCTTCTTGCTTTGTGGGTGATTCATTTACTTCTCTAATTGCTGGTTGAAAGGTGCCTGGAATCTGCCTTGAAGGGATTCAAAATTTTTCCTTTATCTCTACGCTGGGGTTTGGGGCCTAGTCTTGCAGCCTAGTTCACATTTCAGCTCAGTTACTAGTTGTGTGACCATGGAAAAGGTAGAGGTGACTGAGTTGGGGCATCAGTTCCAACTGATGGCAGGCGCCTAAGAGGGGCCTCTGCTCTGTCTCAGAAGTGGGGTTAGTTTGGAGCAGAAGGTAAGAGTTCAGTTTTTGTCATATTAAGTTGGAGACAGCCATGAGGAGATGTTAAGTGAGGAGGTGACTATGGGAGTCTGGAGCTCAGTAAAGACGTCTGGGCTGGAGGTATTAATATAAACTGGGACACATTGGCATGCAGATGGTCCTTTGAGCCATGGAAATGGCTGATAGCATAAGATAGAAAAGAACAACCAATCCCAGCCCCACAGAACAGCAGGGGCCTGAGAAGGCAGTCTCTGAAGAAGAGAACTGAGTGTGGGGACATGGAGGCCGAGAGGGACTACTGGCCTTACTCTTGCCCTCTAGCCACTCCCTGTCCAGTAACCTGGGGTCAATTCAGCTGCTACTTAATTTTTGCCATGTGAGAGGGCAGCACCCTATACATAATGGTTCTGGTCATACACAGAATGTTTTCAACAGCAGCAGCACGACAGCATGCTTCTTCTTCTTCTTCTTCATTATTATTATTATTATTATTATTTGAGACGGAGTCTCCCTCTGTCACCCAGGCTGGAGTGCAATGGTGTGATCTCAACTCACTGTAACCTCCACCTCCCAGGTTCAAGTGGTTCTCCTGCCTCAGCCTCCTGAGTAGCTGGGATTACAGGCGCATGCCACCATGCCTGGCTAAGTTTTGTATTTTTAGTAGAGACGGGATTTCACTATGTTGGTCAGGCTGGTCTCAAACTCCTGACCTTGTGATCCGCCCACCTTGGCCTCCCAAAGCGCTGGGATTACAGGTGCGAGCCACCACGTCTGGCCGACAGCATGCTTATTGTCAGAAATTTTGCTAAGTAGGATAGGATGCATAAGAACACTGCCAAGTAAAAAGCAAATCTGCACTTAGTGAGGACAACCTTTTATTTAAAAAGATTACTACAGGAGAGAAAGGGACTATTGCAGTAGGGGAAGTGTACTATTGCAATGGGGAAAATACTGAGACCTTAAGAAAGGGACTGTCTCTTGAACAGAGAAAAGTAACCAAGGCTAAAAACAACAGGGTGTGGGAAAAGGGAATGAAAGGGTGGCCTGATGGGATAGTAGGCCATACAATGTCTTACTCTGAGGCCAGCCTGTTCTCAGGATGGGCTGTGTGCTGGCTCAGGCTGGGAGTGGGGGTGGGCCAAAGTGCAGGGGCTTAGGGGAAGGAGAGAAATTGAATCAAAGTTTGGTTAACAAGCATTTTGTTCAATTGCTCAGTGGGGACAAGCAGTTCAGCTCATCATTTATCAGGTAAGGAATGAGAATTTGTTCGGTCTGTATCTAATTTTGCCATAGGTTAAACACAGGGCATCTGTGCATCTTATCTAAGTCATATGAGAAAGAGTCGTTCTGATGCAGAGCAGATGAGTCCCAAAATTGGGGCTTAGCAGGGGAGGGTTCTTGGCTGCACCCAGGAAAGAATTCAAGGGTAAGCTGGTGGTTTTAGACAGCAACTTTTATTGACACAGCAGGTTCCAGCATTGGCAGCAGCAGCAGAGGTACCAATGGCAGTGTGCCCAGAGTAGCAGCTCAAAGGCGAGTCTGCAGTCATATTTATACCCACTTTTAATTACATGCAAATTAAGGGGCAGATTATGCAGACATTTTTAGGAAAAGGGTGGTAGTTTCCAGGTCATCAAGTTGTAACTGAAAGGGGCTGTAACTTCAGGGTGTTGCCATGGCAATGGTAAACTGACATGGCACACAGGTGGGCGTGCCTTACGGAGAGGTGCTTCTGCTCTGTCCCTCTTTTAGCTAGTCCTCAATATGGTCCAGTGTCCAAGCACCACCTCCAGAGTTGAGTCCCACCTCCTACCTCAGTTTTTTGCAGTAAGCTGTTTTCTAGAACGTGCAAAAAAAGGTTGGTGTGGGGGGATGGGAGGGGTTTACTTTACCCATCACTGTCTTCCAGGAGCAAAGGGCTTCAGTGAAATTCAATATTGTCAACGTGCTCTGGGATGTGAATTCCATCCCTCCAGTCTGGGTGACACCTTCATCTTCTCAACCAGCACTGATATTCCTGCCCAGGAACTTAAGAACTGCCCCTTGCTGTGGTCTGGGTCTCAAGGCTCTTTTCCTGGGAGCTTAAGACTTTTGACTTTTCCCTTGAAGGTGTCCACATGCCTCCATGCCTGGCTTACCTGCAGCCTGTCTAACCCCCAAGAGATGCATCTGAGACAGCGTCATAACCTCTGCTTCCAAACCACCATCGCTAAAGGCACAGTCCTGAGGGAAATGAATCATCGCCTTGGAAATTTGCAACCTATGGGCTGAATTCAGCTCACAGAAGTGTTTTTTCCACAGGGTGTTTTGCTTTGATTTTTAAACTTGAATTAGATGCCTATATAAAAAATCAGGATATTGAATCTAAAAATCCAAATTTCTAAATCTAAAAATCCAAATTTCTAACTTCTCCTGAAAAGTAGATTGCTCCAGCAGTTCTGGCCTGTGTTTCTATTGTATGCTCCTACACTGTTCAACAAAAGTTCTGACAATAAAATTTGTTATTTAAAAAGTTCTATTTATGAATACAAGTATTTGAGTGCTGTTACTTTTATACAGCCTAAGTGAGGAGGAGTACAAATTCCATCTTCTAATCACCACTGTTCCGTGAATCTATTCAGTCTTTTATATTTTCTGTGGGTGTTTAAGTATTTCTATTTCCTACCACCAATTGTCACTTTCAGTACTAGGACAACTAGCCAAAGAGATTTTAGTTTCGGATAATTTGTTAATCAAGGCATCATTTAGAAAAATTACTTACTGTTTATTTCGAATTGCCTGACTACATAATAATCATGACATGTATCCTTAAACACATGACCTACTTCACTGTACATTTTACTTGATCATCCCAGCACACTGTCTGCATGGTCAACTTGGTGTTCATAAACTGTGAAATCATGTGATATGGTCAACTCCTACTTGGAGCTTGCTTATACCTTATATAGAGAGAGGGGCTGTGGGGCATCACTGGTGAGTGTGGGAGGCCTGAAAGGAAGTCCTATATCTCCCTCTCCTTTGGACGCAAAGGCAGCACAATTTGGAGCCCAGAGTTAAACTGTGGTTTCAGCATTGTGAACACAAGTGTAAAGTCCTGTCTCTGAAGCCTTTTCCTGCTCTCTCTTAGGATTAGGGGCTCCTCCCTAGTGTCCCCATAGCTTTCTGAGCCTGTTCCTATTACTGCCCACCCCATTGTATTGTAATTACTTGTTTCTGTGTCTGTGTCCTACCTAGAGGTGAGTCTTGAAGATGGGAATGATGTCTTTCCCATGATTATAGCCCCAGGCCCAGCGAGGCCTTGAGGAATGATCTAGAGACACAGCACTCTTCAACCTTGATTATTACAGTAGGTCTCCCCACTTTGCATTTTCCTAAGTGAAGCATGAAACCGTCATACCTGCAGATATTATATGACAGAAAATAACAGCATCAGTTTCCCGGTGATGTTTAGCATTCCTGGTTTCTGCCTCTCATCTCATCTGACCCGGTAAGTGTCTCCCTATCTCTTAATCACAAGGCTCCTTATCCACAACTGTCTCAGAGAGGGGTTTACCAGACATCCTGTCTCTGTTCTCATCTCCTGGGAGCAGGCCAAAAATGACAATCAATTCATTTGGCTAATTGGTATACTGCTGTCTCTCCACTTTTGCTTCCCAATGTCCATTCCAGGCACAGAATTTGTGCAGTGCAACCTCTCTGGCAGCCTGCTCCAGCCATTTCCACAAGCAAGGGCTTGACCTTTGGCCAGCTTGCAGATCACTATTGGGCTGTGTCTCTATTCAAGGACCGAGCTTTACCATGCAGGTGTGGAGCTACCTTCTTCCAGATCTGAGCTTATAAATATACAGAAAGTGCAGGCTGACCTTGCCAAGTGTTCAAGGCCCGGGAACTTTCAGTCCTTTGGATGCTGACTAGAGTCTTTCTCAGCATTTACAGAGCTCCCGCAGGCCTCTGTCTCAATGCCTACAGGAAATTTGTCTTTGAGTATGTAAGCACTTCTGTGGCATAATTTCCAAGGCCCCAGAAAATTCCACCTATCCACTTCCTAATCTGTTCTTTCACGCCTGAAGTTGCTTAAATCACCAAAACTTCCATTTACCAAAGTTTTAAAAACCCCTAGGAGCAATTAAGTTTTTTAATGTAAACTTTTTATTGACTATAACACTCATACATAAAAGTGCACAAATTATGGTTGTGAATGAACCACTCATGTAACCAATACCAGGACCAGAAACAGAACTTTGCCATGTCCTCAGAAGCCACCCCTTCTTCCTTGTATCCCTTTGTAGTCCCTTCCCCTCCCTCATCAGGGAAACCACTATCCTAACTTGGAACAAGATAGATTACTTTTGTTTGTTTGTTTGAATTGGCATATACAATTATAAGTATTTACCTTGTACAACATCTTGTTTTGAAGTACATATACAATGTGGAATGACTAAATCTAGCTAACTAATATATACATTACCTCACATAGTTGTCATTTTGTTTATTTGGTTTTGTCTTTTATATAAATGGGATTTGTTGTATGTACTCTTTTTCATATGTAATGCTTCTTTTGCTCAGCTCAATACTCATGAGATTCATCCATGCTGTTGCACGTAGTTGTAGTTTGTTGATTTTTATTGCTGCATAGTATTCCACTGTGCAAATAAACCACCTTTTACTTAACTATTCTAATGCTGATGGACATTTGGGTTGTTTCTGGATTTTTATATGCAAATAGAGCTCTTATGAACATTCTTGTTCAGGTCTTTCAGTGAATACATATACACTTCTCTGTTGGAAATACATTGAGGAGTGGAATTGATGAAACCTAGGATAGGCACGATCAGCATTAGTAGGTACAAGGTACTATCAAACATCTTTTCCAAGGTAGCTGTACCAATTTACACTCCCATCACCAGCATATAAGAGTCACAGTCATGCCACATCTTCTCCAACACCAGATTTGTATTTTCCATTTAGCCATTCTGATGGGTGTGTAGTGGTAGTGGTGTGCTTACTTGATATTTATCTGATAACTAGTAAAGATGCGTGCTTTGTTTTATGTGCATTGGCCATTTGGCTATCTTTCGTCTGTGTATTTTCTGGTCAAGTCTTTTGAGAATTTTTCTATTAGGTTTATGTCTTTTATGTAATAGTTTTTTTTTTTTCTTTGAGACCGAGTCTCACTCTGTCACCCAGGCTGGAGTGCAGTGGTGCAATCTTGGCTCACTGCAACCTCCACCTACCATGTTCAAGTGTTTCTCGGGCCTCAGTCTCCCAGGTAGCTGGGATTACAGGTGTGTGCCACAATGCCTGGCTGATTTTTGTATTTTTTAGTAGAGACAGCGTTTCACCATGTTGGCCAGGGTGGTCTCATGGAACTCCTGACCTCAAATGATCCACCCACCTTGGCCTCCCAAAGTGCTGGAATTACAGGCATGAGCAAACGCGCCTCTTGGGCTGTCTTTTACATAATGATTTTTGAAGATTTGTATATATTCTGATAATTTGTTGGATATACATATTGTAGATATTTTCTCCCACCCTATGTCTTAACTTTTCATTTTCTCAATAAAGTATTTTAAGTGAACAGAAGTTCTTTATTGTGTTTTCATTATGGTTAGCTCCCTGTGTGTCCTATTTAAGAAAATTTTTCTTGCCCTAAGGAAGTTATCATATCATGAAGATATTTTCCTACATTTTCTTTGAAATTGACTTTTGTATACAGTGTGAGGTAGAAATCAATATTTTTTACTGTATTATTCAATTGACTTGGGTCTATTTATTGAAAAGACTATACTTAACCCTATACCATTAATCATAGGACTATATTATATATATAGGTCTGTTTCTGGACTGTATTTGAGAAGCAGTTAATTGTTAAACTTTTCTAATTATTTTCTCAAGTAGGATTTATTACATACTTACTATGAACTAGGCATCACATTATGCTAAGCATTTCAACTGTATCATTTCATTTCAAATTTCATCAACCCTCTGTGAGATAGGAACTATTATTATCCCCGTTTATAGATGTGAAAATCAAACAAGTTGCCCAAGTTCTCCTAGCTAGTACATAGCAGAATGCAGGTCTAGTTGACTTTAAAGTATGGTTCTTTACTGTTTCGCAGAGCAGCCTTTGAGGGGGAAAGGAACGATAACATTTTGGGGGTTGATGGGGGAGAAGTGACGGACAAGAGTGAGGACCTATAAAAAGATGAACAGGTGAAGAATGAAGAGGTAGAGTATGCTAAAAACGATGTCTGCAAGCATCACACTTTTGCTTGGAAGAGGTATTTTAATTGTTTGTGTGTTTTGTTGTAGTGCCAAATCCCCATTTGAAGCCAACTTATCATTTCCCCAAGACAATGTCATTTTTTAGTCACCCCCTCCATTTCCATCAGGGGCACCTATGTTATTTCAGTGTCTTCAGCTTTGGAGGTACCTTTCACTTCTGTATCCTTTGTGCCCTATGCCCAATGACTCATATCTTTTACCACTTATTTCTTCAACTCACTCTTAAATGAAATTTTCCATTTCCATTCCCACCACTTCCTGTACTCTATCTATATTGCCTCCTCTTTAAAACAATAGTGAACATTTAAGTGAACATTTAGTGAACATTTAAGTCTTACCATGTGCCAGGCAGTAGCCTAAACACTTTAAATGCAACGTTTAATTGATTCTCACAAGAATACTGTGAAGTAGTTACTGTCATTATTCCCATTTTACAGAAGACGATGAAAATTTGAAGAACATTAAGTGATGCTCAACGCCACATAGCTGGTAAATGGCAGAGCCAGGATTTATATATAAATTTGATTTCAGATATCTACCAGTCCAAACCACCACTGTATTATGTACAATACTTCCCTAGCTCTAAACTAATCTCTGCACCCTAGCATTTAAGAATGCCCCAAATCTAGCTCTAATCTCTCTTTCTGATCTTTCTTTCACTAATCCTTTTCAAAAATTCTTCTCCAGCTCAAGTGAGCTACTCAAATTCCTCTAAATAACCTGTGGATATTTCCACCTCTAATCCTTTACCGAAACTCCCTTGCCTTGACTGCCCCCTCCTCTCCTCTCCTCTCCTCTCCTCTCCTCTCCTCTCAAGAGCTACCTTTAAGTCATAGCTTAAGTCCCACTTCCTCTACAAAGCCTTTCCTGCCTCTTACTAATCCCTCTGTCTCAATGTATGTGGTACCTTTCCTCCATAAAAAAAGTTTCTAATTCTTTTAAGTATCACAAACCACCATGGGCCTTATTGAAAGGCAATATGTATGGTGGTCAATAGCGTGAGCTTTGGGCTAGGTGCTGTGGCTCACACCTGTAATCCCAGCACTTTGGAAGGCCGAGGTGGGAGTATAGCTTGAGCTCAGTAGTGTGAGACCAGCCTGAGAAACATAGTGAGACCCTGTATCTACAAAAATCTTTTTTCAAATAGCCAGGTGTGGTGGCAGCAGCCTATGGACCAGCTACTAAGCAGGCTGAGGTGGGAAGATTGCTTGAGCCTGGGAGTTGAGGCTGCAGTGAGCCATGACTGTGCCACTGCACTCTAGCCTGGGCAACAGAGAGATAACACTCTCTCTCTACTTATCTCTCTCTATATATACATATATGTGTGTGTGTATATATATATGTATATATTTAGTATTAGTACTCACATTGCTATAAAGAACTACCTGGGACTGGGTAATTTGTAAAGAAAAGAGGTTTAATTCACTCGCAGTTCTACAGGCTGCACAAGAAGCACGGCTGGGGAGGCTTCAGGAAATTTACAATCGTAGTGGAAGGTGAAGAGGAAGCAGACATGTCTTACATGGCAGGAGTAGGAGAAAGAGAGCAAAGAGGGAGGTGTTACACACTTTTAAACAACCAGATTTCTTGAAAATTCTATCACAAGACAGCACTAGGGAGATGGTGGTAAACCATTAGAAACCACCCCCATGATCCAATCACCTCCCATTAGGCCCCACCTCTAACATTGGGGATTACAATTCAACATAAGATTTGGCTGGGGACACAGAGCCAAACCATATCACACACACACACACATATATATGGTGTGAGCTTTGAAGTCACTTATATTTGTGCCCCATTTGCTTACTCATGACTCTGGAAGTGTTATATAATTTTTTTAAAAAAATCTGTTTTCTTATTGTAAAATAGGGATAATAATAGTACCCACTTCATTTGTTCAATAAATATTCTGAGCAACTATCATGTGTCTGGCACTGTGCTGAGCACTGGGGATTCCACACTGAAAAAGAGAGGTATGCTTCCTGCCATTGTGGAGCTTGCATCTCAGTGAGGGAAACAGGGCTAAATTATTACTACGTATGTAGCTAAGTGCAATGGAAAGTAATGTGCATATTATCAGTAATCCTATCTAGTCTGTGGGAGAGATGCTCATGAAAGGCCTTTCCTTCACCTAAGTTGAGTTTTGAAGGATAAAGAGGAGTTAGGGAGGCAAACAGAAAGGGTTTAAGACCATTCCGGGTAGAGGAAATGGTAAATTTGAAGAGGCATGCATGTTGAAGAAACAAAGAAAGCCCAGCGTGGCTCCATAACATCAAATGTTATGGAGGTTAAGTGAGACAGCAGATGGTTCTGGATATTTATCGGTATATAACAAACAACCTCAAAGTCTTAGTGGCTTGAAACAATTATACTTATTCTGATTATTAGTCTGCAATCTGGGTGAGGCTCAGTGAAGTTACTTCATCTCTGCTCCACTCCATGTCAGCTAAAGAAGTAGAGTGACAAACCCAGGCAGAAGCTCTAACACCTTTTGCAACTTAGCATCAGAAGTGTCTTAGCATTACTTCTGCTATAGTCACTGACATGCCCAGATTCAAAGCTGTGGCCATAGGTATTAGCTTATGTTAGAGAAGTGTCAGCATCATATTATAAAAAGAACATGGAAAATGCAATCTTCTCAAAGACACACAGTATTAGAAGAATGCATATTCAGCCAGGCGCAGTGGCTCACCCCTGTAATCCCAGCACTTTAGGAGGCCAAGGCGGGATCACTTGAGGTCAGGAGTTCGAGACCAGCCTGGCCAACATGGTGAAACCCTGCCTCTACTAAAAATACAAAAATTAGCCAGGCATGGTGGCTCACACCTGTAGTCCCAGCTACTGGGAAGGCTGAAGCAGGAGAATGGCTTGAACCCGGGAGGTGGAGGTTGAGCTGAGATGGCACCACTATACTTCAGCCTGGGTGATGAAGTGAGACCCTGTCTCAAAAAAAAAAAAAAGAAAAGAAAAGAAAGAATGCACATTTGTTGGGCGCGGTGGCTTACGCCTGTAAGTCCAGCACTTTGGGAGACCAAGGTGGGTGGATCACCTGAGGTCAGGAGTTCGAGACCAGCCTGACCAACATGGTGAAACCCCATCTCTAGTAAAAAAATACAAAAATTAGCCGGGCGTAGTGTGCGCCTCTAGTCCCAGCTACTCGGGAGGCTGAGACAGGAGAATTGCTCGAACCCAGGAGGCAGGGGTTGGAGTGAGCTGAGATCACGCCACTACACTCCAGCCTGGGTGACAGAGTGAGACTCGGTCTTGAATAAAAAAGAATGCACAGTCATAGTTTATATCAGAATTATTACTTGGTATTATCACCACCATCATCACCCAACTTCCCTCATCCTGACCACATACTTAATATAGTATTTTGTTGCTTTGAGTTACATAGCATTGGTGCACATTTAAATTTTCATATCCATTGAAATAACATATTTTATAAATTAGGAACAACAGGTTCATGCATGTACTAGACACTTGGTATATGATAGAATATATTGTTGTAGTTATTCCACACATTGTCTGTCTTACTAGTCAACCTTCAAGGATAAGGAGTTGCTGTTACATACCTGTAACCCTGATGTCTAGGGCAGTGTCCTGCCCAGAGTAGGCACTGAATAAATGTTTGTGTTTTTTATTGTTGTTGAGCTATAATTGTTAACTTGAGATTTCCTAAGCAGGTGGGTTTTCTATCCTGTATTATTTCTAGTTCAGATCATGCAATCTATGCCTAATATATATTTTCTATTTACTCTTTTTCAGTAACTGCTGTCTCAAAGTAAAAAATGGAAATCTTTGCCTGAATGGACTGGTAGCAACAGATCTGAAATTCTTAGAAATGTTGGAACCAGAAGCTACTTCCCACACAATCCATGAAGTGGGGGAGAGAGAGACAGAGAGAGAGAGAGAAAAGAGAGAAAGAGAGAGAGAGAAACTGGGTCTTATAGAGAGACAGACACAAGTACTACCCAGTTCTCGACCCTCACCAGGTTTGTGGCTTTAGGTTCTGTGCCTCTCTTCCTTATGTGTAAAATGAGGCTAATAACACAGCAGCACAGGGTTGTTGGAAGAGTAAAATGAAGCAACAAACAAGAAGATGCTAGGGATGGTAGAAAAATGCTAATAAATGTCAAATATGGATAGAAAGGAAATTGGATATGAGGTATAGGTCTGTTTAGTTTTATTAACAATAAAATAATTATATATTTAATATATTTACCAAAAAAGAAACTGCTTGACAAAATAATTCCATATACTATAACGTCAAATTGTAAGGCTTCCTATTGCTTTCACTTTTTTTAGTAAAAGTTTTTATTGAAGTATAATCTGATTGCATTTTGGAATAAGTTAATTTACAATAATTTAATTTATCTTATAGCCTTTTAAGATCACATTCAGTGCAATGGATAAAGCAGAATGTATCTATAATTTATTGTCAGGGTTAGAGACTTGAACTGATAAGGATATCGTTATCTACTGTTTAGGGCAAAAGATGTAAAATGACTGTGCATTAAGTGCCAAGGTTTTCTCTAAAAAGGGCCCACTGTAAACGCCAGAAGCGTGCCAGTTCAATTCAACAAATATTTAATTAGCACTTGTGATTTCCAAGGCACCGTTTTGGGTACTGAGGAGGAAGCAAAAAATGAATAGCTGCTAATGCCAGCGAGAGACAAGACATGAACCAAACAACTAGAGTGGAAAGAGTGGGGCGTCGTGATGTAGAAAACGCAAAGCACAGGAAGAACCTAGTGGCGCTTAAAATAATCCAACTTTTCCTGCCTTTTTTCTTCTTCTTTTTAAGATTCTATTTTGGATCCCTTTTCGCATGTGCCAGGTCGCTTGTCGGCAGAGAATCCTCAACCCTGAGAAATCTCTCCTCCTATTCTTTCTTTCCTCACAAATTCGATGAGCTCTTCTGCCATCAGCACTGCTTTTGGAATGGTATCTATTGTGTGGGTGGCGAAACGATGGAGAGATATTTTTGTTCTAATTATGAGAACTGTTTTACTGGGGGAAGGAGGGAGAGGCTGATCTGAAGCGCTGATGAGCTGCTCTGAGAGGATCCTCCGAGGAGGCGTTACTAAGGTTACTAGAGAGAGGACGGCAGGTGATAGGCACGGTAAAACAAAATATATTTTCAAATGAGAGGCGTGGGCTAAGCAGCAAGCAGTGCCAGCGGTACTAGATGCCGGATTCCCTAGAGGGGAAAGGAAGGAGGCCCAGGGAAAAACTGGGAGCCGCGACTTGGCGAAAGCTGGAAGCCTCTTCGTCCCTTTCCGGGCCGTTTCTCCCGCTGCCCTTGTTTCCCGGAGCTGTTCTGGCTGTAGCACAAGGTCGGCGCACTCGGGGGACGGTGCCATTTAGATGTAACACGTGGCCGTGTCGGACCGGAAGTGGTGCCCAGTCGGGACCCGTAGGGAGAGGCGGGTTGCGGGCGGCGGCGGCGGCGGCGGCGGCGGTGGTGGTTGTGGCGAGGCTGTGCGGCAGGGCGCACGGGACCTGTGCTGCAGCGGCTCTCTCAGGCCGTGGGTCGTCGCTGCAGCTGCCGGGAAAGAAGGAAACGACGACTCCGGGGGCGAACTTGGCACACAGGGAGGAAGGGAAAGGGTGTGTGAGGAGGGCTGTGGGTATATTTGGCATCAGGGAGAAGGACCTCAAAACTTGTTTTTCATATAGTACTAGCTGATCGTCGGGTTTTTTTTTGTTTTGGTTTGGTTTTTTTTTTTTTGGATGACAGATTCTGGAGACACCTGGCATCTCCGTTTTTGAGTTTCTCCCCGCTCTTGTCAGTTGATTCGTAGGCCTGAAGTGAGTGAGAGCTTTTTAGTTCAACCAGTGAGTTAAGATAGGTATGGGTCGGATGGAGCGGCCAGCGAATAAAGAAATGGGAGAGTGGGAGCAAGAATAGGAAGTCGTGTCCTGGGGCGAGGGAAAAGATGATGATGATGATGTAACATTTACTGGGTTTCACTGTACAAGACACCGTTAAAACCCTTTAGATGAGGCAACTCTTTTAATCTCCATTCGTATGAGGTCAGCCATCTTACTAGCCTCTTTTTATAAATGAGGACACTGAGGCTTGGAGAGGTTAAGGAACAGGCCCAAAGAAAGACAAATGGAAAGTGCAGAGCCAAGCAGTGAAATCTAGTAGGCTGATCCTAGAATATATCTCTAAACACACTACAGCTGTCCCCCATCAAGATGTAAAGAACGTGAGGACATAGGACAAAGAGTGAGAGGACAATATGGCTTGAACAGATGTGGTAAGACAGCTGGAGTTGACCTAAAAAAGGGTGTAAAATCCAGGTGTGTAAGGCAATAACAGATGTAAGGGAGGGTAGAGTTGGAACTCGGGCTTTCAAACCTTCATCTCCAACCTTAACTAGCATCTTCCTATCTAGGATTTTAGTGGGGCAGAGAAGAGAGGTATATACCCACACACCTATGTTTGAAAATGGAATTACAGACTTTAAAGGTTATTTAAAGATTTAAACAACTTAAAGATTATTTCATGTAGCTATCTTATTTAATAGATGAAGTCCAGGGAGATGAAATGACTTATTCAAGGTAGCCAGGACTAGAAACATGTCGTTTACCCTAGATCCAATGCAATGAAGTTTAGAGAGTTCTTTCCTCTTTTTCCAGCTGCACTTGCTGTCGTTATATTAGTTTTAACAATTTGATATATCATTTAACCTGGACTGTTCCTTCCAGCCATGTAAATTAGTTATGTATGACATCAAATAGTCCATCCTTCCTTCTTAGTGTGTGTTCCAAATTCAGTGCAAAGCTGGAACTAGGAGCTTCTTCCAATACAATTGAGTGGCAACTGAGGTCTTCCAGCATTTCTAAGAATTTCAGTTCTAAAATGAAGTCCCAGCATTTTGGGATGCTGAGGTGGACGGATTGCTCAAGCCCAGGAGTTTGAGACCGGCGTGGGCAACATGGCGAAACCCCTTATCTACAAAAAAAAAATTTTTTTAAGTTTGCCAGGTGTGATTATGCACTCCTGTAGTCTCAGCTACTTGGAGAGGCTGAGGTGGGAGGATTGATTGAGCCCAGGAGGTTGAGGATGTGAGCCATCAAGGCGCCACAGCACTCCAGCCTGAGCAATAGAGCGAGACTCTCCAAAAATAACTGGATAAATAAAATGAAACAAGAGAAAGCTGACTAATCCAAAGGGCAAGGTGGTTTACCTTAAAGAAACTCAAAAGAAAATGGAAATCTCTACATATATTGAAAAAGATTACAGGAAAATTTTCATCAATTGATGATGTACTGTTCACAAATACTGTAATTCTCCTGGAATATAGTAAATCATATTCCAGAGAGGAAATTTGGAGTAATTGAAATTGTGGGCGCAGGAATCAAGTACAGCAGATTAGCCACTTACTGGATTTGTAAATAGATTTACTTAACTTTGATTACTTCATTCCTAAATGAAGATAACTTTCTAACTTGCAGAATTAGAAGTGTTGTTTGTAAAGTATTTAACACAATGTCTAGAACAAAGTTGGTGATAAACACACAGTGATTATTACTACTCTGAATCAAAAGTGAAGGATTGCTAAACCTTGTAAGCAGTCACTGCAGCTTTTAGGCCTGGTTTTTCAGTGAAAAGATCAAAGAGTAGCCTTCTTTGTTCACCTAATGATAATTAAGGGTGAAAAATGTTGATGCATTTCCTGAAAGGTATGTCTCTTATTTAAAAGCGAATGAAAGTTTTAGATGGCTAGATGGCCTGTGAATAGGAATCTGCCCACAATGATCCTTTAAAACTATTGTGGCTGTTTAAGATAACTTATTTTTGAATTATTGTTTCCTGGACAATTGGCAACATAGATTCTAAATAGCTGACTTTGTACTCCTTTACAGATGCATGGTCATGGAGGCTATGATTCTGATTTTAGTGATGATGAACGCTGTGGAGAATCCAGCAAAAGGAAAAAAAGGTAAGTAATTTTTTTTTATTGATCTATTTTTCACATCCTTTCTAGATTAATATGAAGTATAAATAAACAAGAGTGAAATTTTTGAATTCTGTTTACATGTGAAGACAATTGCTCTAGTGAATGAATTTTTGTTCATTAAGCTAATACATTGATTAAAAATTGGAGAACAATTGTGGGAAAAATAAAAATTAATTCTGCAAAGGGGTTTATTGAAAGGGAAAGAAGAGTTTCAGATTTCTGGAATCTTTTCAGAAATCAGTGAAACCTTTTCATTACATATATTTTTCATTCAACTGTCAAGGACTGTTTATTTGTAAATGTTGTAGCTCAGAAGGGGCTTGAATGGTGGTCTCTTGCCATTACTTGCCTTCAAAGTGAAGTTAATATGGAGGATGAAAGTATAATGCAGCACAGTTCTTACGCATACGTGAATGAGCAGACTAAGGTCACGGGAAGAAACTCAAGGAAGGTTTTTTTGAATTGCAAGAGACAAAAACTCTTAGCACATAAAGCCTGTGCGTTATAAGCAGGATACGTCTTGGTGGAGCTGCTGTGCGTAGGAGCATTGTTCTTAGCTTTCAGTGCATAGAAACTCAGTTTTATACTTTGACTCAGGAGTGGTTGACTGATGTATACTAACCAAACTTACACGGCTGTTGACTGATTTTTTTAAGCAAATGTATAGAAATTGGCTTATTATTTCACACTGAGAGCAATATATTAGGCATACTAACAGGTTCTGAACATTTTTATAGGATACTCAGTCTCTGCAATAAAGGATAGTACTAATTATAATAAATTACATTTTTGATGCTTTACATTTTCTAGATTTTTCATTCAAAAATACTACTTTGTAAGAATAGAATTTGAGCAAATCTAGTTGGATACTCTGCTCCAGGATTATATTCATCACTATAACTAGGGCTGACAGTCTATGGCAGGGTGTCCAGTCTTTTGGCTTTCCTGGGCCACATCGGAAGAAGAATTGTCTTGGGCCACGTACTACAGTGGAGCACACACAATTGTGAATCTGTTGGTTCACATTGTTGGCCTGAAGCAGTGCTGGGCCTGCGTAAAATACACTAATGATAGCCAATGAGGTTTAAAAAAATGTGAAAAAGTGTCTTAATGTTTTAAGAAAGTTTACAAATTTGTGTTGGGCCACATTCAAAGCCATCCTGGGCCACATGAGGCCCATGGGTTGGGCGAGCTGGATCTGTGGTTTGTGTTCTCTATAATCAGCCTTGCTTTTTGTGTATCATTAATTACCAAAAACTTCCTTATCACTATGTTACAGATAGAGAAATGAAGAAACAAAGAGATAAATAATTGAATCTTATTAAGATTAAGGTAGTAATTGACAGAATTAGGATTTGAATCAGGAAGCTAGGTGATATGACACTAGAGTCCATGCTTTTGTTAGTTTCATCTTCCCCGTGTTATAGGTATTAAAATAATGTTAAGGTATTAATTAAGCTATTTAAGGAAATGTAAAATATCTCATTAAAGATCAGTGAGTCTTCTTAAAGTTAAGACTTACATTCTTTAAAGTATATTCCAGTTATGAAAATATAAAGAATTAGAAAATAACCTTTGAAAAAAGTGAACTCTTATTTTCTTCTTAATATATCAGGACAGTTGAAGATGACTTACTGCTCCAAAAACCATTTCAGAAAGAAAAACATGGAAAGGTGGCCCATAAACAAGTTGCAGCAGAATTGCTGGATAGGTATGGTATTTCAGTGTCAATTCTATTTCTTGGTTTAAGTTGCTTCGGATTAGGGGATTTGATTATGTTAATTTGAATATAAACATTTTGAATTTTCTTAAAAAAATTTGTTTTAACAGGGAAGAAGCAAGAAATAGAAGGTTTCATCTCATAGCTATGGATGCTGTATCCTTTTTTTATTTCCAGATTTTTATAACTAGTAGAATATTTTAAAATCTGCTTTTTTGTTTTATAAAATCTTGTGAAGTCAAATAGGCTTTTTTATTTTTAAAGATAAGTATTTAGTGATGTAGGATTTTGCCATTTATACTTTTGGGTACAATTCTCTTTTACTAATATATAGGAAAGATTTAGAGACAAAAATAATAAAACATATTACTAGTACTCTATAAATAGGTTTATAAAGTACATGAATCTGCAAATATATTTTCCAAATTGTTTTTTCAAGCTTTCAACATTTCCTTTTCCTATACTTATCTTTAGTCTCATTTTAATTTATTCTCTTCCTACCTGGTTCTTTGCTATTTAAGGTCTCTATAAAACTTGTATTTAAAATTAGGTCTATCCAGTCTGTCCCTGGATCTAAGGAAAAAATAAAAATAAAATGAGGCCTGCCTGTGGACTGTCCTCAGGCCTGCCATGGCTTTAATTTTTAGGCATGACTTAAAGCTATCTTTAAGATAAACCCTGCTTCCTGGTTATAGCCATTTGTCAACTCAGTTTTTTAATAAGACTGGCTGATGACACTAACTGCTACGCTGGCCATCCATACTGCTGTTGAGAATATTGGAGAATTTAAGAGATACCAAGCAAAAACTGAAGTATTTTTGGGTATTTATTGCTGTGATCAGAATTGGGAGAAGGAGACAGTGTCAATTTGATACGCCCCCTACCTGTAATCATCTGTTTCACTGTGCTATTCCAATATTTTTCTTTTAAGTTATAGAAGTACCATTGTGTCACTAATTGATTTATTCTTCTTATCTCCTAACCCAATAGCTAGCTTTTCCATGGATCTCATCTGCCATTTGTTCCTTTAGCATTTAAACATTTGCTCTGCCTTCTCTGACACCTACTGCATTGGGGGCACCTAGTTATAGCCTGGTGAGAGTGAAAGTATGGGTACTCTTTTTTCTGGCATAGGAGGAGTTGGAGCCACAGTTTTTTTTGTTTGTTTGTTTTTTGTTTTGTGTGTGAGGATTTATTTTATTTTATTTTTCTTTATTTTATTTTATTACTTTAAATTCTGGGATACATGTGCAGAACGTGCAGGATTGTTACATAGGGTATACATGTACCATGGTGGTTTGCTGCACCTATCAACCCATCACCCTCACCCTTCCCCGCCCACCGGCTCCAGTGTGTGATGTTCCCCTCCCTGTGTCCATGTGTTCTCATTGTTCAGCTCCCATTTATGGGTGACAACATGTGGTGTTTGGTTTTCTGTTCCTGTGTTAGTTTGCTGAGGATGGTGGCTTCCAGCTTCATCCATGTCCCTGCAAAGGACATGATCTCATTCCTTTTTGTGGTTGCATAGTATTCCATGGTGTATATGTACCACATTTTCTTTATCTGGTCTATCATTGATGGACATTTGGATTGGTTCCATGTCTTTGCTATTGTGAATAGTGCTGCAATAAACATACATGTGCATGTATCTTTATAATAGAATGATTTATATTCCTTTTGGTATATACCCAGTAATGGGATTGCTGGATCAGATGTTATTTCTGGTTCTAGGTCCTTGAGGAATTGCCACATTGTCTTCAATAATGGTTGAACCATTTTACATTCCCACCAACAGTGTAAAAGTGTTCGTATTTCTCCACAGCCTTGCTAGCATCTGTTGTTTCCTGACTTTTTAATAATTGCGATTCTGACTGGGAACCACAGTTTTCTCTGGGTTGTTTGACAAGAGTAGAGTAGTTATTGTCTCAAAGTTGTCTTGCTAGGCTGACTCTTGGTCATTTGGTTAGAGAGAACAGCTTTTGTTGACGATTTTTTAGTCCGTGCCTGTTGGTGTTTCCGGGTTGTCACCTTCTTTACCTCCAATTCTAGGATACATGAGACAAAAAGAAAACCTAGGGAACTCGCTATCATGTCATACCATAGGTCTTCAGGAGGTCCCTAGCGGGGCGCCTTCTTCCTTCCACCTTTTAGAGTCTTTTTATGTTTGATATATAATGTATAAGGATTTTAGTTGTTATTAGTATGAGGAATAGGGAGAAGTACATCTTTGCCTACTCCATCTTCCCGGAAGCAAAAGTTACACCCACCACCTGTTCTTGTACATAAAATTATATTGGAATACAGCCATGCTTCATTTATATGTTGTCTTTGGCTGCTTTCATGCTAAAATGGCAGAACTGAGCATTTGCAACAGAGACCATATGGCTTGCAAAGCCTGAAATATTTACCATCTGGCCGTTTGCAGAAAATGTTTGCTGACCCCAGCTCTAATAGGTTACATGACTTGCCATGGTCATGTGACCAGTTAGTGGTAGATCAAGAGCTAGAATCCAGATCTCCAGGTATTTGGTTTTTCTGTCTCTCTCTTTTTTTTTTTTCCTGAAATATTAACTGGTTTGTTACAATATGGAAATACCATAATCTGATTAAATTGTCTGTTAGTACACATTATGATCAGTTAAATCACTATACATGTTTAATAGTCACAGAGAATATTGTAGAAGGTGAGGTTAGCTATTATGTGCATGTTTGGCTCTAGAGAGAGTGCTGTTGAGCTTTTTAAAACAAAAAGTAAAATGCTCATATATTTTGTTACAATGCTTTGAAAAAACATGGCATTTTATTCTTTGAATTTAAAAGACTATAAAAATTGATTTTTTATATTTGCTTTTTTGAAAGTTTAATGTTGGGATTTAATTATAAATTATAAATATAATTATAAAAGTTGCATCTTCTATTTAGAGGCTTTATCATTACTAAAATAGATAAATTATATTTTATGATAATGAAAGATAAATTCTCTACTTTTAGAAACTATAATTTTTAAATTTTTCATATTGTGATTATTAGAATGAGTGGTGGTAGGAGGCTATATGCAGTTCAGCAATAGAATAAGAAGCTCTATTTCTCCCCAGATGGAGGTATATTTTTATCACAAGAGTAGTATATGCTTGAAAAATAGTCAAAAGAAAGCCTGTACTTTACAATCTTCACTTTCAACAATTTAATATATACCCTTCTAGATTTTCTGAATGTGTAAGCATGTATAGTGTGTGAATATTTTTAAAAAGCTAAATAGACTCATATTGTGCTTTTTTTTACCACCAATCAGCAATATATTATGACACCAAACAGCTCCTAAGAGAATAAAATCCTTAATTTTTTGCATTTCAGTATCAAAGACATACAAAGTTCGTAAATGACTATATTTTATACTATGGTGGCAAAAAAGAAGACTTCAAGCGTTTGGGGTAAGTATCAGGAAGTTTACATAGAAGGGAATGTGGGTTATGGGAAACTTTAAAGACCCACAGCTACTGTGCCTTCTGATTCTGTCATTCTTCCCTGCTTTCTATTCCGGTGTGCCTTTTTTTTTTTTTTTTTTTTTTTTTTTTTTTAAGATGGAGTCTCACTCTGTCGCCCAGGCTGGAGAACAGTGGCTTGATCTCGGCTCACTGCAACCTGTGCCGCTGTGGTTCAAGCGATTCTCCTACCTCAGGCTCCCGAGTAGCTGGGATTACAGGCTCCTGCCACCATGCCTGGCTAATTTTTGTATTTTTAGTAGAGACGGGGTTTCACCATCTTGGCCAGGCTGGTCTTGAACTCGTGACCTTGTGATCCACCTGTCTTGGCCTCCCAAACTGCTGGGATTACAGGCGTGAGCCACTGCACCTGGCCCCAGTTTCTTTTTTATATTATAAGGTAGAGATACCATCCACAGCTCCTGAGTAGCTCTTCATGAATCCCATTTTTTTGGACAGGCCTCAGGTAGACTCTTTACCTGCTGAGCCGGGCACAACCCTGGTGATAAAAGAATATCTGAAGAATACTCATGTGTCTTCTTGGCAAAGATCTTTGAAATAAGGAAATTTTTATACCTTGATGTTTGGGATTGCTTTTTAAAAGATAGGTAAACAAGAACTCTCAGTCTAGCATTTCTTGCACATCAAAGTCCTTCCCATGTTTAAGGCTCTTCTATCAGAACTTGTTTTTTGTTTTGTTTTGTTTTTGTTTTTTTAAATTTTTATTTTTATTTCAATAGTTTTTGAGGTACAGGTGGTTTTTGGTTGCCTGGATAAGTTCTTTAGTGGTGATTTCTGAGATTTTAGTGCACCCATCACCCAAGCACTGTATGCTATACCTAAAATGTAGTCTTTTATCCCTCACCTCCCTTCTGGCCTTCCCCCACATTGAGTCCCTAAAGTCCATTATATCAGTCTTTTGCCTTTGCATCCTCATAGCTTAGCTCCCACATATAAATGAGAACATATGATATTTGATTTTCCATTCCTGAGTTACTTCACTTAGAATAATGGCCTCCAGCTCCATCCAAGTTGCTGCAAAAAGACATCATTTCATTCCTTTCTATGGCTGAGTAGTATTCCATGGTATATATAAATGGTGTGTGTATATATATATGGTATATATATATATATATGGTGTATATATATATGGTATATATATATGGTGTGTATATATATGGTGTGTATATATATATGGTGTGTATATATATGGTGTGTATATATATATGGTGTGTATATATATATGGTGTATGTATGTGTGTATATATATATATATATGGTGTATATATATATATATGGTGTATATATATATATATATATATATATACACACACACCACATTTTCTTTATCCACTCATTGGTTGATGGGCACTTTGGTCAGTTCCATAGCTTTGCAATTGCGAATTGTGCTGCTATAGTGTGTGTGTGTCTTAGAACTTCTTAGTTTTATGTGAGGTTTTTTTTTTCCCTCTAACAATTTTCTGAGTTGGTAGGACTCTGAGAAAATTTAGTACCACCTCATTTACCCCCAATTTATCTCACCTATCAATTTATCCTATATCTCCCAACAATCACTTTTTTTTTTCCTTTTTTTTTTTACCCCCAGACTGTTAGCATTTTATTTTGAAAGGTCAATCCCTTTGGCTTTCTTCCTCCTTTACTCAGTCTTCTACCTAGGAAACTAGTAAAATGAGATACGGAAAACTTTTCATATTTTTTAAAATTAAATCTCAGCAGAGTGGTTGGTTAGAATGAAACTTATTTTCATTCACTTTATTCATTTAGTGTTTAGTCAGGTTTCTCATTCTAGCTTTGGTAACTTAGCACCATTTGTATAATTGAAACCAATGCTACAGACAGATTCCTTATCCATTTAACTTGCTTCTGTAGTAGTATTTTTATAAGTGCCTTTTGAAAATACTGAAATATTTTTATAAATATGTGAACAAATTTATACTCACCAAAAAACTATCTTCATGTATTATATTTTTAATAAAATTTTCCAAAACTCACAGAGCTATTTAACCTAAATTTGACTACTTTTGTTTTTGTATTAAATTGAAAAAGTTCTGTTTTCCAGGGAAAATGACAAGACAGACTTGGATGTTATACGAGAAAATCATAGATTCCTATGGAATGAGGAGGACGAAATGGACATGACTTGGTAATTAGCCATCAGAGGCGTAATGCATCAAATGCTTTAGTCCTGTTTCTCCTGTTTTCTGAGTGGTTTTTTAGTCAAGGTGTTCAGCCCCTTCATAGAACAGTTCTGAATCAAGGACATAAAATCAAGCCTAGGATTATTTGGTTCTTTTGGTAATTTTTGGCAGTTTTAACTGACTTCTCATTGTTTGACTTAGTCTTCAAAAAAATAACATTCTTTTTTACAGTATTGTGTGTTATCTTGTAATATGTTATTATATGCTGCTGTTTTAGAAAAAAGTCATACCTGAAAATGTTTTTTTAAATCCAAACATTACAAAGGGTAAACAGTGAAGAGTGATTCTCCTTCTTATTTGTGACTGTCAGTTCTCCAATTTCCCTCCCTGAGTGAACCACTTTTAATAGTTAATATCCAGATATTCCATGCACATGTAAGTAATAGTTCTCTTAAAACATTAATATTTATGTAGTATGTATTCTTTGACATCACTTGAAAGTAGCAAACCATGGTTGAGTTTCTAAATGTATAATATTTATATTTTCATGGGTCTAGGGAGAAGAGACTTGCTAAGAAATACTATGATAAATTATTTAAGGAATACTGCATAGCAGATCTCAGTAAATATAAAGAAAATAAGGTATGCTTTCCACATATTTATGGAAAGAGGTTCTTATTCAAGTAAAATATTAACTTTTATTATACTGTCATGCCCCACATTATTCTTTTAAAGATGCTAATTCTAGACTCAGTTGTCCTGCGTTTATGATGTGTCATTTGGACCATTTAACCTCTGCAGCTGTGGAGTTTACAAAAGGCCTATGGAAATTTATGAAGGACAAGGATGCTTTTTTTTGTTTGTGAGCTGAGGCATGAAAAGTCTAAAATTAAACGCAAGTGGGTATTGGATCCTGTTTCATCCTGACTCTAGTCTAGAGCCTCTAGTGATTGTAATGAATGACTTAACTCTACAGAATAATGTCTTATTTCACAGATGATGTTTGAAACTGATAGATTTTAAAAATTGATTACCATTTATAGAGATCCAGATGCACATCTTCTATTACATAAATGTCTATTCTAGTAAAATTAACATTTCAATCAGTGCTAATTAGTAATGACAGATTTCCTTTCCCACTTTACATCTTACTTTAGTTAATATTTTTATTTTTGGTTGGGCGTGATGGCTCATGCCTGTAATCTCAGCACTTTGGGAGGCTGAGGCAGGAAGATTGCTTGAGGCCAGGAGTTCAAGACCAGCCTGGGCAATATAGTGAGACTTTGTCTCCACAAAAACTAAAAAAAATTAGCCAGGTGCAGTGGTGCATGCCTATAGTTCTAGCTACTTGGGAGGCTGAGGTTAGAAGGTTGCTTGAGTCCAGGAGTTTGAGGCTGCAGTGAGCTATGATCGTGCCACTGCATTTCAGTGTGGGTGACAGTGAGACTCTAAAAAATAGAAAGTTACTTTTATTTCTATCTCAAACATCAAATTATAGCTGGAAAAGGTGACCCAGGAGCAGATCTCAGTTAGAAATGTGAGAGGAGGGAATGTTGCATAAATATGTGTTATAGATACTGTATATTTGTATTAAGAAAAAAACCTATTTAAAAAGCTATCTTGTATTTATCTATCATGAAGATTTATTTGTCATTTAAATCATTTGATCTCATTAGAACCAGGGTTGATTTAATAATTTTTTCAGTAGTGCCTTTAATATGTGTGTTGCTTCACAGTTTCTTATAGAAAATAGTAATAATGTTCATTTTGTATACCCTATTTATAAACCCGTGCACTTAATTTATCCCCAGAACTGCTGTTTCTTATGAACTAGTTATGGACTCTGGTTCACAGCTGTCTTCTCTGTACCACATCTGGTTCAAAAAGCACCACAGTAATTGGAGTTACTTAAAGTTACTGTATTGTAAATCAAGTGTGAAAATTATGTCTTTCTAGGAGCATGTAACAAAGGAGATTTTTCAGCCCTGGCTTATTCATGGATTGTTCTTAAGTTGTTGTTTTTTTTCTTTTTTTCATTTATTTTTCCCCACCTCCTAATACCATCATAATTCTTCAGTATTTTGTTGTTGTTGTCAGTATCTATTGAAACTGGACTAGGTACTGTGGGTTAATACATGGTGACTACTTTTCAGAAAAAGCTAGTCTAGTTGAGGGGAGAAAATATACATAAATAAAAATTAAATATTTGAGTTCTCAATTTTTCAAAAATGGATACCACTAGAAATCGTACTTTAAAGAAAATAATCTTGAAAAAATGTGTATTTTCCTGCTAGAACATGATGAGTGATTGTACATGAGAGTAAATGCAGCAAGAAATCCGATATGACTCGCAGATTCTGACCATGGATGCTGAGAAAAATACAGAATTTGGAGGAGGATTTTTTTTGTGGGGGGAAGATAATGAGTTTGGTTTTGGCATACCATGTTTGAGGTGTTGGAGAAAGAGTAATGCCTTTGGTTCCCTCACTAGGATGCATTTTCTCTTCTCTTTATTTATACAAAGACAATGTATTATTCAGTTAATTAAAACCAGCTCCTAATATATATAGTAGATACTTTTAGAGCATTTTTAGTGAATTTCCACCTTTGCCTCTTACTCCTATTCCTTTCTTTATTGCATTTCCCCTTTTTAGTTGGATCAATGTATCAGTTAGGATTAGGTCCAGCTGCAAGGACAGAGAAGACTCCCCGAAAAAAACCACTGGCTTAAATGAGCTGGAAAGTTTATTTTTCTTATACATAAAAGTTCAAGTCGATGGTCATAAAGTCAGAATCCTTCTTGTTTACTGCTTGCGTACGTGACCTCATTGTGATGAGTGCAGAGTGAGAAGAAAAGGAGGCTCAGCACCAAATCCTGAATAACTTCAGCTTTAATCCAAACTAGGACATTTATGTCAGGAAATAATATACAGTCTTTAACTAGTAGGATATAATGTAATTTGTTTTGTTACATTTATTATTTCCTCATAAGATTATAATCTTGGTGACACACTATTTTAATAATCACTTTTTATCCTCAGTGGAATGCCAAGCCCAATAGGTAGTTGCTTAATAAGTTGTCTGTTGAATAGATTAATGAATGAAGAAGAAAGTTTGGAAACTATTGCTGTTACACTTGGCTGTGCTTCAGTAGACATCCTAACATATGTTGGATGGCAAGCAATCTCCACATACATATATAGGCTGAAAAATAGAATTAAACAGAGTTATCCTGAAATTTTATTTTTTCCCCTAGATTTGGAGGATTTTATTTTTGTTGGGTTTTAATCAGAGTATTTTGAAATATTTTGAGCCTTTATTTGCATTTAAAATACAAAATTGCCAAATTCAAGTAATAGATTAATGATTTTTTAAAAAAAATAATTGAAATTGCCAGGCACGGTGGCTCTTGCCTGTAATCCCAGTACTTTGGGAGGCTGAGGTGGGAGGATAGCTTGAGGCCAGGAGTTCAAAACCAGCCTAGGCAATATAGTGAGACCTTGTCTCTATAAAAAATAAAATTAGCCAGGCAGGGTAGCACATGCCTGAAGTCCTAGCTATTCGGAAGGCTGAAAAAAAAAAAAAAAAAACCCCACAACAAACTGAAGTTAGCAAGGCATTGAACACTTTATATGAATCCTCTGTCTTACTATAACAATCCGGTGAACTTAAGGTTGTTACTATTTCCATTTTTATACATGAAGAGGAAGTAGAGAAGTTAAGTAACTTTCCCAAGGTTAAGACCTAATGAGTGACAAGAGCTTCTTGAGTTGGGTACAGGTATGCATGTTTCTAGACTGGAGTGGTTTTTTATTTGTTGTTATTTTTTGTTGTTGTAGTTTTTGTTTGTTTGTTTTGAGACAGGCTCTTGTTCAGTTGCCCAGGGTGGATGGAATGCAGTGGCATGATCATGGCTCACTGCAGCCTCCACCTCCCAGGTTCAAGTAATCTTCCCAAGTGTATTTTTTGTTTGCTTTTAATTTTTAGAGCATTTTTAGGTTTACAACAAAATTGAGCAGAAAGCACAGAATTCCCATATACCCCCTGCTCTCATACATGCATAACATCCCCTACTGTCAGCATCCCACACCAGAGGGGTACATTTGTTACAATCAGTGAACCTACGTTGATACATCATTATTTGAAGTCCATAGCTTACATTAGGGTTCACTCTTGGTATTGTACATTCAACTGCTTTGACAAATGTGTAATGACGTGTGTCTACCATTATAGTACCATAGAGAATACTTGCACTGCCCTAAAAATCCTCTGTGCTCCACCTGTTCATCCCACCCTCCTTCCTAATCCCTGGCAACTACTGATCTTGCTACTTCCTCCATAGTTTTGCCTTTTCTGGAATATCATACAGTTGAAATCATATATATGTAGTCTTTTCAGATTGGGTTTTTTCACTTTGTAATATGTACTTAAGTTTCTCCATGTCTTCATGGTTTGATATTTCTTCTTACCACTGAATAATATTAATTGTCTGGATGTACCACAGTTGTTTATCCATTCACTTAATGAAGAACATCTTGGTTGCTTCCAAGTTTCAGCAATTAGAAATAAAGTTGCTGTAAACATCTATATTTAGGTTTTCATGTGGACATTAGTTTTCAGCTCATTTGAGTAAATACCAAGAAGCATGATTGTTGGAGTATACTAGTTACTATTCTAAGTGTTTCATATGTATTATCTCATTTAAACCTCTTTAAACCTCTGTGAGTACCAAGGAAGTAGGTACTCATATTTCTACTTTACATATATGAGGAAGCTGAGGCAAAAAAGAGATTAATTTGCCCAGTACTATACAACTGTTAAGTGGTAGAGCTAAAATGCAAATGTAAATAATCTGACTCCAAAGGCTGTACTTTTTTGTACTAGAATATACTACCTCTTTACTATACCATAACCTCTTTTTTTCTTGTCAGTCTTACAGAACAGGATATATTATTTGTTAACTTAGGTATCTTGTGGCCTGGCACCTATAACTTTTAAGCTATCTTAAAGTAGATTGTTCTTAACAGATAAATTGGTGATTGTTCAATGTATTTTCTTCAAATCCTATAAGAAGAGAAAAATCTGTCATGATGGGAATTACATTTATTTTTTAGGTTGGTGAATGTCATTGTTGGCTCCATGTTTAGATTTCTGTATAATTTAAATTTACATTGGCATAAATGTAATTTTTTTATTATCAGTTTGGATTTAGGTGGCGAGTAGAAAAAGAAGTAATTTCAGGAAAAGGTAATTCTTTAAAATTTTTACTTTTTAATAGGATAAACTTATTTTGTTAAGTTACTGAATTGGAGTCATTAAGATCATTCCTAACATATACAAGAAATTATTAGCTACAAAAGTAAAATTAGAGAAGGTGTATTCATGATACATTATTAGCAAAGGTCTGAATATAATGCTTTAATGATTATTACCTTTATACTTTTGCCTTTAGAACATTCAGTTGAATGTTCTGCATATTTCTAAGTATGTAGAAAATATTTTACAAATTAAAGATTTCATAGCAAGACAACTTTCAACAAAAAAGAAAGGTTTATTTTTTTCCTTTCTTT
This sequence comes from Homo sapiens, assembly GCF_000001405.40. Classification (NCBI taxonomy): domain Eukaryota; kingdom Metazoa; phylum Chordata; class Mammalia; order Primates; family Hominidae; genus Homo; species Homo sapiens. The sequence continues at coordinate 93,687,080 of NC_000010.11, read as the reverse complement.
ATTAATTTTTGGAATAATGAATTGGTGTTACTGTTTTTCAGCCAAATCCACATTTCAAAAGTAGAAGTTAAATATCACTTTAATCCCAATAGAATTTTGGGGCAGGCTAGTACTCATTTTTGGAAGTCCCTTATATTGAGCCCAAATACTTAGTCTAATAGCAAAAGACCAGACATTTGGTAGGCAATCAGTAAATGCTTTTTCTATGCATTATTGTAAATCTATTCATTAAATTTTTCCTGGAAATTGTGTATCTCCATACTGTCTCTTGCTATAAAATTAGCTCCTTACTGAGTAATTGCATTTTAAGTGTTAAAGTACTGAAAACTATATAGTAGCACTAAGGAAATAATTTTAAACTTACTTTAAAAAACCTTTTAAATGGAAAGATTACATTTTTAAATGATTAAATATTTATGCTATCGTGGCTCATATATATCTTCCATAAGTTGGCTATGTTAGGTGTGAAATTGCATATGCCATAAAACAACATTAAGGAAAAAGAATAAATTTAAAGCTATTTTAACTTTTCTTAGGGTTATATTTTAGTTTATGTTTTTATCTAAAATAATGAGAAATCCTGAAATGTCTATCACAATTTTAAGATGTACTTTTATTGAATGAGATTTTCAGGTGAGTTTATAATGCTACCTTTTAAAAAAATTGATGGGTAGTCTCTAAATTCATATAACTGAATAAAAGACTAGTTAGGAAAGGGAAAGAAAGCTGCTAATGTGATTTATGTGATTTCTTTTATAAAGTTATAATTTTGTTGCTGTTTTAACAACAAAGCCTTACCTACTAAACATATAGATTTAATAAAATATTCATTTGGAATGAGTTTAAAAGGCTGATTTAGAAATAAGTCTTTTTAGGATATAATTTTCTAAATTCATTTTGATAATTTCTTAATTTTTATGAAAAAGATTTGCTGGTTACAGATTTGCTTCTGTTAGTGCAAATTATTGTGATATAAATTAATAAGAGTTTGATCTTGTCTTTTTGCCAAAGTAAATTACTGTTGAGTTGTTTCTCTTTTTTTCTCTCAGGTTATCAGTTAGTCTTTTTTTGGAGGTTTTAATATATTGTGGACATGGTAATGTGTGTGATGTTAATAATAGTGTCAAGTTATTCTAAAATTTAGAGTATCAGGTTTGACTGCGTATTGTACTTCACCTCAAAGTGCTAGAATTTTTAAATGTGTTTTCAAGGCCATCTATGCTAGTATTTAAAATAAATGTCATTATGCTAATACTTAAAACTATTAACTATTATTACCATTAAATATTGAAAGGTTTCACCCAGCTATAAGTGTGTGTACTTTGGAAAGTGCGTTTTTTTTTGGGGGGGGTATTTGTGAGTATGTTGTTTTTTTTGTTTTTGTTTTTTTATTTGTTTTTCCTTAAACCAACTTTCTGAGAAATATGTCCATTCTTTAATACTGTCTTTCCAAAGTGTAAGATTCCCTAATAGGGAGTCGCTAAAATGTCTATCTAAATACAGTCTATCAAGCAAGAATTCTGTGACTGATTTTTTTTGGTAACAGTACTTTGATTTGATACTTGTATACAAGTTGGTTGAACATATTACTCTGGTCAGTTTTTAAAGGCTGACTATGGTTAATTTGCATATTTTAGAAGTACATTTTAGGGGTAATACTAGATCATATAGATAAATATTATCACCAACTACCATAGCTAATATTCCTTTCCTTTCTGCAGGTCAATTTTTCTGTGGAAATAAATATTGTGATAAAAAAGAAGGCTTAAAGAGTTGGGAAGTTAATTTTGGTTATATTGAGCATGGTGAGAAGAGAAATGCACTTGTTAAATTAAGTAAGTTGATTTTAGGGGGTATATGATTGATTCTTCCAAGTTTGTCTTTAATTTAAAAATATATAGACTTTAAAATTCAAATGCAATTTTTAACATATCTTTCTGGAAGTGCTCTTTTTTCTTGGAGCTTCCCAAAGTCTCAAAGAACTTTTCAGCCTCAGTTTTTTACATTTTTAGCATTACAGTGGTGTTTCAGTAAAAAGAATTCTAATGTCAAATGTAAACTGGTAATTTGTAGAGTGGGGCTCCGTCCCCATTAACTTGAGAATGCCACCACATTACATAGCTAAGAGGCACAGTATCAGAAAAGGCAGTGTAATCTCACATTAGCTGATTACTCAGTGATATCGTTGTAGCACAGATAATAAACAAATTCACTCTGTTTCACAGTATTAATAAAGAAAAACTTTAGGAAGGCATAATTGTTCTTGACCTCAGTCTTAAAACCATAGGGAATAAATACTCCAGAATACAGCAGTTTCCCTTAGGATGCATGTTTTAGAGTCTGTCATTCTTTTATTTATTTTTTAAGTTAGTCTTCATGTGTCAGCTGTTCCTCTAGCCTTCTCTGGGTCCTAAGTAAATGTGCCTTCAGAGTTTTCTGCTCATACCTAATAAAAGTCAAGAATGTCCCCACATGCTACGTATGCATGTCAATACAGACTGATTTCTGAGTTCCTTCTGGAAGTGCTCAAGAGGAAAAGTCAGCCAGTGTGAACTGAGATTAAGGCAAAAAAAAAAAAAAAAAGAGACCACAATTATGGAACTATTTGAAAAGCTCCTTTGCATTTGAAAGTTCTTAGAGCACTTCAGAGGAAATGACTATACTCACATTATTATTAGATATCTTTGATGTGAGACACATGTTAATGTGCCTGTGGAACACAGTTTGTTTTTGGAACAAATTGACAACACATTTTTCTAAAATAGTGTTATTTTCAATTCCTCAAGCTAATATTTTTATTATATGTATGTGTGTATATATTTGCATTTTTGAGGTGATGAAGGTCAGATTGTTTTCTTTGGATTGTTTGTTTACCCTCTTATAGTAATGGAATATAAAGAAAGTGCGAATTTATGATATTAAAAGTAGATTAGCAGTGTGGTTATTCAAAATCAGCCATTCAGTGGTGTCTTTTCTTTTTAGGGTTATGCCAAGAATGTTCCATTAAATTAAATTTCCATCACAGGTAATGTCTTTTAAAATGCCATTCTTAATGTTTAGTAATCCAGGATATAGTCATTTACCTGCACTAAGTATCTAAATGTAGACTTAGGTGGTTGATGGTTGAATTGGTTGATCATGTAGAAAATGTGGCATTGTCGTATGGCTACATAAACGAGGGGTTTAGAAGTCCGCTATGCCCTATTCTTGCCAAGCAGTTTTAAATGTAAAGGCCTATGTGAGGTGGTAGATGGATGTTAGAATTTTTAGTTTGGAGCCAATGTTCTGACACTTTAATATTAGAAATTATGTTGTAAAGCAGACTTCATAAAGCAGTTCTTGTGTCTCATTTAGACAGTGTTTTAGCTGGAGTTTGCCATTCTTACAAAGGATTAGACACCTCTATACTCATTTTAAATGTTAAAATCAAGAACAGGCGCGGTGGCTCATGCCTGTAATCCTAGCACTTGGGGAGGCCAGTTTGGGTGGATCACTTGAGGTCAGAAGTTCGAGACCAGCCTGGCCAACATGGTAAAACCCTGTCTCTACTGAAAATACAGAAATTAACTGGGCGTGGTGGCAGGTGCCTGTAATCCCAGCTACTGGGGAGGCTGAGGCAGGAGAATTGCTTGAACCTGGGAGGCAGAGGTTGCAGTGAGCCAAGATTGAGCCACTGCATTCCAGCCTAGCAACAGAGCAAAACTCTGTCTCAAAAAAAAAAAAAGTTAAAATCAGGCTTTTATTGAATGAGCTTTAATGTATCTGCCACATTGAATGTGTGGGAATACCAGTGTCCTGCAGTTATGGGGTTTGAAATCAGACCTCAGTTTTTAATCTCAGCTTCTCCGCTTACTAGGCTTCTTCTTGGGCAAACTGCTTAACCTCTGTAAGGCTTAATTTTATCACCTGTAAAAATGAGGCTACTCAGGCTATTGTGGGGAATAAATGAAAGTGCATGTAAAGTGCTTGCCACAGTACCTGGCATTAAAGATGTTCACACTGATTCTTCGCAACTTGCCTTTGTGATGGTCAGGTTTTATGCGCTGGATAACAGTTAAAAGTTCAGCTTTTGCAACTTTATAAAATGTATACATAAGCATATTAATTTTAAAATAGCTTTCTTTTTTTTAATCACATGGGTTGTCAAAAAATAACAGCTTTGTTATAAATGTGCCTATATAGTATTTTAGCTGTTAAAAATAAATGTTAAATAATATTTTTAATTCTTAAAATTAGCAGGATTATTTTTATTATTTTCATTATTCTTTATTTTTTTGAGACAAGGTCTCACTCTGTTGCCTAGGCTGAAGCACAGTGGTGTGATCATGGCTCATTGCAGCCTCAGCCTCCTGGGCTCAAGTGATCCTCACACCTCAGCCTCCAGAATAGCTGAGACTACAGGAGTACATCACCAAACCTGGATAATTTTTTTTTAAAGTTTTTGTAGAGATGGTGTTTCCCTATGTTGCCCAGGCTGGTCTCAAACTCCTGGACTCAAGCAGTCCTCCTGCCTCAGCCGCCCAAGGTGCTGGGATGATAGGCATAAGCCTCCACACTTGGCCAGAACTTTTTTGGATTACTGGAATAGCCTAAACCTTTATTTCCCCTTCCCATCAGTGATACTGAAAGAAAGCAGGGATTTGTTTTGACCTTGACTTTTGAGCTTCATTTCAAAATGGAAATGATTCTTACAAAATATGCAAAAGTGGTTAATGCATTAAATACTATTATAGCATTTAGTAGATGTACTTTAACTTGGAAAATCTACTGAACAAGTTTTTTGAAAGTAATCTTTTCCTTTGTCTCTATTCTCCTTGCCAGTCCCAATTTCAGCATTATCACTTTTTCCCATTTAGTATTTCTTTTCTTAACCTATTAAAATTAATTAATTGTTTGCCAACCTTGTAAACCTGCTCTAGAAGAGATAAAGCTGCAACAATAAGAGTATAAATTATAAGTGGCCTGATGTTGATATATGAATTAACAATAAGCCCTTTCCATTTTCATTCCATTATGCTTCTACTATATTCCTTTATTCTTAAGAGTAGAAATTTCTATTTACTGGTGGCTTAGAGCTGTTCAGCAGTTTCTTCTTCTTTGTGTTTTTTTAACATGTAGGTGGATATGGATTATGTGAAGGGAAATGAGGCTTTTTTTTGTAATTTAGTTTTAAATGGCTAAGTGATAGAATATAGAAAGAAAGAAACAAATACAATTATAATTTGTATTTACTATGGTCGTATACAGAACTTATAGAAAGTAATTATTTGTGTCAGTGTTAAGACTTCATTATCTTATAGAATGATTTTAATTAATATACAAGCATAAAATATTTACAGTCTCACTTAACGTTCCTTATTATATAAATCACATTTAAAAAATAAGTATTTTAACTGATTTTGGTTTTTTGTTCATATGATGGTTATTTTTGAAAAGGTCAGTTGGAAAAGTTAACTTTAATTTTATATTGTTTAACACAAAGGAGAAAAGAAATCAAGTCAAAAAAAAGAAAAGATAAAACCAAAAAAGACTGTGAAGAGTCATCACATAAAAAATCCAGATTATCTTCTGCAGAAGAGGCCTCCAAGAAAAAAGATAAAGGTAAAAGGAAATTAAGATAAGGCATCTACTCACATTTGTGAGCATGAAATATAATCTGCCATATTTCATTCATCTAATTGGTGAATGCATTGAGAATTTCATTTTATGGTAGTTGAGAGGAAACTGGCTGAGAATTTAGATATGAACTTAAAGTGACTTACAGGAGTTTTAAGAACTCCTCTAAATTAATTAAGGGTTAATTTTAGTTCATTTTTGGCAGATAGTATAATATTGCCAACAGTTTTCTAATTCCTGGCTTTGTCACCTACAGACTTGTTACTTTGCATCAGTCACTGAACTGCTTTATTTTTCTTATGTGTATAGGGGTGAGGTGCATACCTGGCCTTCATACTGGTCAAGCTTATTGTGGAAACTCAAATAAGAATGTGAAAGGGACTTTGATCAGTGCCTTTAAACAGTCTATAATCTATAAATCAATATAAAATTGTAACACTGATTTTATTTATAATGGCCTGTGTGACTTTTTTTACTAGTTTATGAGTTTCTAGAAATGAGAAAGATTGTCATATATCTGTGTTCTCAGAGCCTAGCATGGTGCTGTGCACCTATACTTAGAACTGCCTGCTTTTTCTTTAGCAGTCCTTAAGCTCGCTAAGACTCAATTTCTTCATGTGTAAAATGGTCTTGATTCCTTTTAGAATTGTTCAGAAGTTGAAACGAGATAATTCATTAAGCAGTTTGCATAGTACTTGGCACATATTAGCTATTATGAAGGTTACTTCTAGTTGCTTTTTTTAGCCCATAATAAAGTAGAGTCAATCGGCTGTAATTTATAGTGAATCAGACTAATCTAGATAGGTAATTGAATTAGATTCAAGCCAATGTTAATATAATATTTGGACAGGAGAGGGCTCTCTTGCTCCAGCTATGAAGATCATTAGCTATGTTGCATGCTTAGAAGCATTTACTTCTTCTTGCACATGGTAATATATTCATTATGTAGCAGAGTTTAAATCTGTGTGCCCTTGTGATACTGTCTACTCCCATAGCTTCAAGTATATGGTGTCACCAACCTTTAGACTTCGTAAAATTGATAGATGGTGAGAGGAAGATATTGTTATTTTATTGCTTATTGAGAGATGGCATTTGTAGCAGAATGCCTTTTTTGTCTCTATCTTAATTATTTTCCACTCTAAGGTAAATTTTAACCAATAAATGTTAAAAATATGTTTTGAGTTTTAAAAACTTATTTATCCTTATATGCTAGTAAAACATTTAATATGTCACTTAAGAAATTTGTTGCCCTCATTGTATTATATGTTCATTCTTATCACAACTGTGATACCATGTTAATCACTGCGTATTCCAAATGAAAGAACTAGTCTCTACTTTATAAAATGTTACTCAGTACAATCAAAGTAGATCAGGTAGATGAATGCTCAGGTTCAGGGCTAAGGTTGGACCCTTCGTATTATGCGTACATATGCACATGATCTTCCTTATAGACATTTTTCCCTTAGTGTTCTGTCAGTAGATGACACCTATGTTGACCTAAAAACTAATATCAGAAATCTGGGGATTATCCTTGATACTTTCTTTCCCCTTATTATTTATGTTTAATTTGTCACCAAGTCCTGTGAATTTTACCCCCAGAGTATATATTTCTCAAGTTCTCTCCACCCTACTACAAACCACTATATTTTCTCTTATAGGCTACTGTTATATTCTCCTTACGGGTTCCGCCTCTGTCTTGCCATCCCACCTTCCCTCCTCTTAATCCATTCTCCATAAATCAGTGATTTCCTGTTGTTTTTAGGCTGATAAGCAAAATCCTGGACAAAGCTAAAAGGTTCTCTGTGATCCAGAACTTGTGTACTATACAAGGCTTGTTTCTTACCACTCTGTACCTCACGTTCACACTCCCCCCATGTAGCCTTTCAGTTTCTGGAAAATGTCAAGCCTCTTTCAATTTTAGGGGTTACATGGATGCTGTGTCTTCTCTTCCTAAAACTCTCAGTTCTATCCCAGCTCATCCTTCAGGTCTAAGCTCTTAAATGTCATTTCCAAGGATCCTTTCCTGATTTCATCCCCCACCTTGAATCTAAATTAGGACTCTCATTTGTAATGCTGTCATGGCTCCTGACACTTTCCATTATTACACATATGACGATGTAAAAGCCAAAGAGGCAGAGATTCTGCCTGCTTTGTTCATTGCTATATCCCCAGCACCCCACTAGCTCATGTTCAGCATAAATAATAATCAGTAAAGGACTTTGAAGATTCTTCAGGGATAGAAGACCAAAGCAAGGTGGAATTGAGACATCTCTTTCTTATGTATTCTCTATTTAGAATGCCTTTGAAAGCAAAGTCTCTAGAAATATAGCTTTTTTACCCCCAACTTCTATGGTATATAACAGAAAATAACAAAATTTTAGCAAACTTTTAGGAAAACCATGTGGAACTCTTTAATATCTTATCTGGGATCATCTAGAATTAGCTTTATCATTGATTTGATTCTTTCTTGCCAGACCACCTTAATTTGGACCAGACTTGAAGAGTAATTAATAAACGCTTAACATCTCAGCTGCGTTTGGACTGTTGACAACTTCCTTTAATTTTATTTCTATCTTTCTGGCCTCTCTTTAGCTAATGCTTTTTTTTTTTTGTAAGACAGGGTCTTGTTCTGTCACCCAGGCCCCAGGCTGGAGTGCTGGAATACAGTGGCATGATCTTGGCTCACTGCAGCAGGCTTAACCTCGGAGGCCCATGTGATCCTCCTTTCTCAGCCTCCCAGGTAACTGGGACTACAGGCCTGCACTACCATACTCAGCTAATTTTGTTGTTGTTGTTGTTGCAGAGACAGGGTCTTGCTGTTTCCCAGACTGGTCTCAAACTCCTGGCCTCAAGCAATTCTCTCACCTTGGCCCCCCAAAGTGCTGGGATTACCAGCATGAGTCATCACACCCGACCTCCTTAGCTGCTTTTAACTGAAGTTCCTTCTCAGTCTTACATTTAGCTGTTAGAGTTCCTCGGGGCTCTTACCTAGATTTCTCTAGTTTCTCTCTGTACTCCCAGTGTAATCCCATCAACTCTCATAGCTTTAGGTTACCGTCTTAGAAAATGTTAAATAAGTAATAGATGGATGAACTAGATAGCTGAATGAATGGATAGAGAGAAAAAATAAGAAAGATCAGTAGCTGACTTTAAGGACCAGTCTGCTTTGGCAGGTATGAGGAGAACAAGATATTTAGGTAGACTGTCTTGGCAAAATGTTCAGAATCTTATCTGTCTCACCATCACCCCTTTCCCAAAAGCTACGTCATCCTTCAGGTTTCTGCTTAGCTCAATTCCTTGGAAAGGCCCTTCCTGACACCCTTCTCCTCACTTCTCCAAATAAGATTATGTTCCTCTTACATATTCCAATAATACCTGTCACTTCTCCTTTAGAAATACATAGTATCCTTGGAATAAATTGTTTATTTTCTGTAAGGGAAGGGACTGTGTGACATGTTTACTTCGTTATCTCTAATTCCTAATAGTGCTTGCTCCCATAGGAGGCATTCAATAAGTGTAGGTGAGTGAATCAGTGAATTCAACCACATTTTCTGAAAGTTGAAAGGAACTTCAGAGATCAGTCCTGGAATCATGACTGAAAGGATATTCTTTAATTTTGCTTTTCAAAGTAAAGTCCTCTGGGCAGCATTTAGGAACTTGTTAGCAACTCACAATCTCAGACCCTTCCAGATCTACTAACAAGTTCCCAGGGCGAATCATATGCACTAAAGTTTGAGAGAGGCACTGTTGTATATTATGTGATTGTTCTGCATTGGTTCAACATTTCCAGGGAAAAGGAACCCACTACTATCAAAAATAAAGCTTTACATTTTCAGGTAGTTGTATTTGCTAGCACGTTTCTCTTAACATTCAGCCAAAATCTACAGCTTCCTCCCTTTGGTTCTAATTATGTTCTTGGGCCTCCAAATTAAGCCTAACGTCTTTTTTACCTATGGACCTTTGGATATTGGGAAGCAGGTATCATGTTCCTCATTAGAGGATGACAGGAAAGAATACATTTCCTGTTTCCTTACCCTGTAGTTCTTATACTCTTCATCTGGTCTAAAGGGGCCAAAAACTTTGGGTTACGAGGCCTCCTATCCAGGAACATTGGAGGAATTGTTACTGTCCATCTGTCACCTGCCCTTTTTTACTTTATCATCCTTCAGAAATATTTTCCCTGAGGTCTTATTGCAGGAAGCTCTGTATCGTGGTGATTTTTTTTTTAAATTACACTGACCGATCTTCAGTGCCTTTCTCTCTCTCTTTCTCTCACTGGATGACCATTGTAGAGCTGAGAATTTTTGTTTTATGACATAATTGTGTTGTGTTCTTATCAGTTTCTGAGAACTAATACTTACCTGCATATATGACTTTAGAAAAGATACTGTAAAAAGCAAGTATTTATTTGTAAACTGCTTTCAAATGTTGAACATCTCTATAGATAATAAATTATTGCTTATATTGCAGCTAATTATCTGTGAGGTTTTCTTTTTAGCAATATGAGATTTTTTTTGCAGGTATTCATTATTTTTTGTTTTGTGCTGGCTATTACAGACCATATGAGCACATAAGATATGATCTCTGCCTAAAAGAACGTAACATTTTAATGAGGGAGATAAGACTAAGGAACATGAAAGATTAGAAAACAGTGAAGTGCTTATCTGTAAGACTATAAGCAAACTAGAATATTGCTAAGAATTCTGGTTATAGCTACAATGATTGCACTATTACAAGATGATAGTTAATAAATCAATGATGTTTCCTTTTCAGGACATTCATCTTCAAAGAAATCTGAAGATTCTCTACTTAGTAAGTAACAAGTGTTTATTTAATAAAAATATGCATTTGAGGTATTTGCAATTTAGATTTCCCATGAATCGTATCTTGCTGTGATGTGAATTATTTTTTGTTTTTGTTAATTATTTTTGTACATGAGAAAAACTGTAGAAAAAAGGCCAAAAGTGTATAGGATTTATTCCCCAATTAAGGGCATTAAGAAGTTTCTTATTTTAAGTATAGAGAGCATTAAAAATTTTTCCAGTAAATACAATGGATATATCTTTCAATTTCATGTTATAAAATGTGAAGGAAGAAAGATAAAGGGATGAGGTTGAAATGGATTTAAATTAGGCCTATGGTTTTCACTAGTTTGGATCAAAACAGATTGGATTTCGTTGAGTATTTGCTGCAAATTTTATTATTTTTTCCCTGCAATATTCCAAAAAGTATTCACAATGACTTATAAAAACATACACAATAAGTTTTTTTAAGGTTAAAAAAGTCAGAATAATGGAAAAATAAGGTAGAATAGCAATGTAAAACTACAGGTGAAATTTATACACACAAATGTATTCCAAAAAGTCCTGCATAATTGCAGAGATAGATCACAGATTTGTCAGTGTTCTTCCTAACAACCAAACCTAAGAGTGAAACCAGCAATAGAAAGATTAATTGTACCCATAAGATAATAATGAGAACTCCTGGAGTGTTCAGCTTTTTGCTGGCAGTTTTGAGAGAAGAGTCTTCTATGGGTTTATAAAAGGGTACATCCATTTGTGTCATAACAAACAGTAGCTTTGAATCTAAACAGTAATATAATGTTGAATTTTTTAAAGACTTGTAGTAGGCTCAAGGCCTAATAATAAGGTGTAGTTCAATAGCATATCTAATTCATTTTATACTCTCTGGACTTATCTCATAGAAATTTAGAAACTTGAGATTTCTAGGCTTACTTAGTTATTTTATTTTATTTTTTTGGAGATGGAGTCATGCTCTTTCACCCAGGTTGGAGTGCAGTGGCGCGATCTCAGCTGACTGCAGCCCCTGCTTCCCAGGTTCAAGTGATTCTCCTGCCTCAGCCTCCCAAGTCGCCGGGACTGCAGACACCCATCACTATGCCCAGCTAATTTTTGTGTATTTAGTAGAGATGGGGTTTCACCATGTTGGCCAGGCTGGTCTTGAACTCCTGACCTTGTGATCTGCCTGCCTCGGCCTCCCAAAGTGCTGGGATTACAGGCGTGAGCCACCACGCCTGGTCACTTGGTTATTTATAAACCTAAGAATTAAGAAAAAATTTTTTATGACTTTAAAATAATATTTATTGTGGCAAACTCAGGGAAAAAAGTTTGATGATTATTCTAAATTTCAAAACTCAAATATAAACATTATTTGCATTTAGTATAATTCTTAACAAGAAATTTTAAATATTCAATGATCAGAAATTTTGCACTGAGAAAAATAGAAATGTTAAGATATTTGTTGTTTAAAAATTTAGCAGAGAGGGAGATGTTGATGGAGGTATTCCTCTCTTAGGAATATAGTATATTCCTTATAATTATTTTGCTTGTACGAACTTTGTTTTCAACATATTTGAAGTGTCTTAAAGCACTGACTCTTTCTCTCCACGTAAATTCTAATTTATCAGGAGGTCCTTTCCTAAATTAGGTAAAATGTAGTGACAGTTTCGAAAATACATTCAAGTATAAGACCAGTGGACCAATGTTATCTCAGGATGAAATCATAGATACATACTTCAACAAAGGTGTACACAGGCTAAAGTGGGAGAGTGTATTTTAGTTTTCATCCATTTCCAACAGTGAGAGGTGTGAATGCTTATGCAATATAGAAAAAATTCCCCTTTTTCAGTTCTAATTTTTTATCCTTAAAAAGTCTTTTGGGGCAAATTCTTGAATCACTGATTTATATTATTCTTTTATTTCTTCTGCCTGCCTTCTCCTTCCCACTGTCTTTCACCCCCTGCCCTTTGAATCCTTCCCTGCTTCCTAGAAATAGCCCTTAATGCTCTTTTACCTCTCCTCAGCTAAGTCAAATTTTTACTAGTAGAAGCAGGGTGAATACTGTGAAGACTATATCCAATCTGAGAAACCCCTAGCTAATTTGATCTTGAAAAAACAAACTATCCACTTCAAGCTGACCTGCTGTTTGGCAGCCGGTACGCTATTTACCATAGCAAGCATGAAACATATACATTGTTATGGTATGCCAACCCCAGATATCCTCTCAGGTGGTCAGTCATCTGTATTACATGGTCTTGGCAATTTCAGACCTCACATTTTGCTCTTTATTTCCATTTGGACAATACTCAGTTACCTTCTTAACCCATTTGACACCTGGATTATTAAAACCAAATCCATGGAGAAAAACTCAATTTCTGTTGGGACAGTAACAAGTGCTTTAGATATGTTACCTCATTTAATCTTAATAATGTGCATATAATATCCTCGTTTTGTAGATGAGAAAAATCAAGACCTAGAGAATGTCTTTAAATGAATGAAGAAACTCAATTTTTAAAAATATATATATTTAAAGTATACAACTTGATGATTTGCTGCCCTCTTAACAAATTTCAAGTATTGTTATCTTTAGTCACCTTGCACATGAGATCGCCCAAGAACCAAAGAATTGAAGTAAAGTGCCCAAGGTCAAATAGTTAATGGCAAAGCTGGGATTAAACATAAGTTTATAATTCCAAAGTCTATGCCCTTTACCTGTATCATCAATCAATAACTGTTCATCAGTGAAATCAACTGTATGTCTATTCTTTATACCTCAGTTTTGGCATATGCATTGTACAGATCCACATTAAATGATTTGATCTATGTTTCACTTCTGTCTATAAAATGGGTATAAAGAGACCTACTTCGTTGGATTATTATCAGAATCAAATGAGAAAACATACATGTAAAGTATGTGCCTGACGCAAAGTAAGTCCTTGATAACCTGTAGCTATCATTGTTATCAGAGAAAAGAAAAATACAGACATATAAATCCTGTGTTTGTTCTCTAGAATTGATGAAATCAAAAGTTAAGTCTATAAAAATCTGACCTGTCCATTTGTTACCATGATTATTGGAGACATTTGCCATTTCTTCAGTGGTGCAAGTTATTAGTTACCATATAATATCCACAAAAACCAAGATGATAGACCTACTTTCATTATTCAAAACATGTAGGAAAAATTGTATATAATTTTAGGCACCACACTCTAAAGGGAACATTGAAAACTTGAAGCAGGTCAAGAAGAAAAAAACTGAGGTATGGAGAAAACTTGAAATTATATTGTAGGAAGAATGTTGGAGGAACTGCAGATGTTTACCTGGGAGAAGAGTGAAAGGATGGGAGGGAAGAGGTGAGGAAGTAGACATGGAAATTACTGTATGGATATTTGCAAGGCTGCTACTATGTAGGAGACTTATTTTTTATGACTCTGGGTTGGCAGAACTGCCCAAAAACAGATTTTTGCCTTAATTTAAGGAAAAACTTGTCCCTTAGAACTGTCTGACAAAAGGAATGGAGAAATGGGCTGCCTCTGGAGTAGCGAGTGTTCCAGCATGGACTGGATTGGCACTTATTGGAGGTGTTGCAGTGAAAGTTCATTCATTGGATAAGTGTTGGATTAAATGACCTCCAGGTTCCCCTTTCAACTCAGAAAGTCAGTGACTTAAATTCTGATCCCTACTTACCAATAATCACTGAATAGATTTGACAGTGATGCATTCTTTTGTGTTGCCTGTTCTTCCAATTGTTATTTCCTTAGTAACACTCCTCCCGCCCCTGGCAGGTTGTAACAGTTATGATAGCAATGATTTGTAGTGACTGCCAACCCTCAGGGAACCAGGATACTATAGATTCATAGGGTTATAAGGGACCTTAAAGGTCATTTAGTCCAGTCTTGTAGACTTGATTCTCTAGGGATATCTGGCCACTTTTTTAGTGGGTATTTTTTAAGACAGTTAGTTTATAATGTTACTCTAAACTGACTTGATTTTTTAGTAAAATTGACTGGTATCAGAAAACTGGTGTAAGAAAGCTGGCATGTGGGAAGTACTCTTGGAAGGGAACAAGATAACAGCTGTCCACTTCTAAAGGCCTTGTAGGTTTCGTTCTCTGGCATCATTAACATTAGCAGAGTAATACAATAGTAATAACCTTGCTAGGCCTAATTAATTTTTCTCTGCTTTCTTTATCTCATATTAATGAGTTTTCATAAAAATAAGAGAAGATTTTAATTCTTTTTTTCCCTCACATTATCAATTTGGGACACTGGCCATTCCAGTGATGGCTGTCATTGAGTCAGGAATCTTGTTTTCAAGATTAAAATTTTATCATTTGTATGTAGATCATTAGAATACAAAATGCCCTCCCCCACTTTTGCCATTTTTGCTAGAATTGGTGTCAGAATAGATTCAGTTAGGAGCAAAGTTCAGACACACATGTTGATTCAGGGATCAGAGTCCAACAGGTAAAAGGCTAGAACTACCGTAACAAATCAATGCTGTTTTATTTTTATGTTGTGTTTAACTAAAGGACATTCTGTATTGACAGGCCACATTTGTGCCATTTCTTTTTTAGACTAATAATCATTATTGGAGAGGAGTTGTCTGCTAATGTAACTACTTTGTGAGTTATAGTGTTATTGTCTGATAATTTTGCAGTATTTTTAAATTTTTAGTTGACTAATACAGGTGATTTATTTGAAACATATCTATTTTGTCATCTTTAATAAAATGTCTTTATTGTTTTTACTGATTTTGAAGGTAATTCATGCTCATTGTTTAAAATACAAACAATTTGAAAATGTTTAAAATAGAAAGTAAAAGTATTCCAGGCCCACAGGTAATATAATCAGTTAAATTTGGTTGGCTTTTGCAAACTTACAATACGTACATAAAATTACATGTATGTATATAATGTGCATATGTTTTTAACATATCTATTATACTATGCATACTTTTTGTAACTTTTTAAAAATTTGATATAGAATGGACATTTTTCTATTGCAGTACATACAGATATGCTAATGTTTTTAAACAGCTGTATAGTATTTATTTAACCAGTCCTTAATCCCTAATTGGTGGGGAATTAGGTTTTTTGTTGTTGTTGTTACACAGTGTGCATCTTTGTACATATGTATCAGAGGTGCTTATTTATGTATGTAAGTAATCAAATTCCTAAAAGCAGCATTGCTGGTCAAAGGGTATGCGTTTTAAACTGATCTATATTGCCAGATTTTTCTCCAGAAAAAGGTTTACAGAATTTTCACTCCCAGCAATGTGTGAGAATGCCAGTTTCTTCCCTGAAACAGGCTTCTTCTCATTATGTAATCAGCATTGGTTTTTTAAAATGTCTGACAATTTTTTTTAAAATAATTTAACTAGCTGGTCTTACATACTAGCTCAGTTCTTAAGGTACTAATCCTAATGTAAACATGTTCTCTACAAATGTAAATCTTAACTTGCGTGTCTTCTGTGTAACCAAGAAAAAGAAGAAACTAGATCAGAGACAACTATATTGCAAGAGATAATTGACTTACAAGAGTTAATATTGGAATTGCTACTTTAACTCAGTGTAACTTAGAGAAGTTTCGATGAGACTTAAAATCCTTGGCCTTTTTGCTGAGATTCTTTGGTAACCCTTGGCTTATTTATATATGTTTTAAAAGAATTTATTGTACCTGTGAGAGTGAATTAAATTTCTAGAGAGTCATAAAAGTTGAAGCTGAGTTAAATAAAAAGTTAATTGTATTGGCGAATAATTCAAAATGTGCTTTAAGTATAATAGGTTTTTAAAAATCATCTTTTTTAAATGAACAGGAAACTCTGATGAGGAAGAAAGTGCTTCAGAATCTGAACTTTGGAAGGGTCCACTACCAGAGACAGATGAAAAATCACAGTAAGTGCTGATATTAATAGAGAATATGTACCTTTTCAATCAGTTTAGGAAGCTATAACCACAGCTTTATTAATGGAAAAATACAACATCATGGTGATCTATTTAATGCCAAGGACTGCCTAGCCTGGTAAGATTAGAGCTTATTCCCAGCCATTGTCATAAGCAGCCAACACATCCAGCTTCCTCCTGGTAAATAAATC
The DNA here is from genome assembly GCF_000001405.40 of Homo sapiens. Taxonomy (NCBI): domain Eukaryota; kingdom Metazoa; phylum Chordata; class Mammalia; order Primates; family Hominidae; genus Homo; species Homo sapiens. The sequence continues at coordinate 93,670,569 of NC_000010.11, read as the reverse complement.
TTTCATCAGTTCACTTTAACAGATGAACCTCTGGTCCTTGCTTGGATTTCTTCAGAGATGGCTGTTTCCTAAGCTTCCAGAGAAGCCTATTCCATCATACTGTGATTATCATAAACCTATGCAAGGGAATCCCTTGCATGGGAAGTACACTTCTATACTGCTATCCCACTGGTCTTTTAAAAAGTAAAATAATAATATTTACTGTTACAAATACATAATATATTTACTATGCTCAGTGTAGTAAAAAAACTACAGCCTAAGGAGATTTACCCAATTCCCCTTAGTTATTCCCCAATATAACTTAGGCTTACATTTTTCCTTAAAAATAGTTTCTTTTTTATTCACTTCTTGAGCAGACTATAATTTAAAATGAGAATGAACAGAGAAGTTATAAAGTAAGCCCACAAAGTAAAGAGAAGCAATGACATTTCACAAGTATTTCAAAGCAAAATTTTAGGTAATACATTTAGGGAGAGGTGCCACCATATGAAATATTTTTATTTTAATCAATCTGGGTATAGTTATGATTATTCTAGAAACTAAGAATTATTTGATGGCTGAATCATGGCAATATATTGATATATAGCAGAATCAGCCAATATGTTGACTTAAAGTATTTTATTTTTATTAATCTCATATAATGTATCATGTAGTAATTTTTTTACTCTATTGATCTTAAGTATGCTTTTTTTTTTAAATAGGGAAGAAGAATTTGATGAGTATTTTCAGGATTTGTTTCTATGAGACGAGAGAGAGAAGCCTCCGCTCCTTAATGTGAAACTTCATGAAGTTTTAAACTTCATGCAATTTGAAATTCCATATAAGTTTTTATCTGCAAGTTACAGCTTGTGTGGTTTGTCTTTGGAAATAAAAATCCAGGTTCTCTCAGAATGTCAGAGGCTTTGGAAGTTCATTAGTTCAATTAAAGACTTTCCTGTCCTTTAAATATCTTTTCAATTGCTTATCTACAATTCTGTTTTATTTGTAGCTCCTAGAGGATAGAGCTGGACAGATTCCATTGTTCCTACATTTTGTAGGTTTTTTTTCACTGCCTTCATTATGTATCTTCTCTTGCCTTCATTATTTTATTTTATTATTTCTTCTTTTTCTCTTTTTTAGAGCCACCAATACTGGATTTGTTTGTTTTTCATTTTTTTCTTTTGTGGAAACGGAGTCCTCCTGTGTTGCCCAGGCTGGTATTCAAACTCCTGGCCTTATGCATTCCTCCCACCCTGGCCTCCCAGAGTGCTGGGATTACAGGTGTGAGCCACCATGCTCTGCCAATTATTTTAAATTACTAGGATTAAAGTATATTATGTATGTCTTTAACTTCTTTCTTTCCCATTGATAAACTGGCACCCTTCTTTTAAGTACCTGCTCTCCCATTACCACCTATTTCCAGCTGCTTTTTGAGGTTTTTTGCTTGCCTGTCTCTTGCTTCCTTCTTAACCTCTACCACTTAAGAGAGTTTGTTATAATCAAATTTGACTTCCTAGCCTGTGGATAATTTACTATTAAGTAAATTATTACCACAGGGAGCCAGTGAGGTCCCAGTAGTCTAAAACAGTTCATGTGTTCACAAAAATTGCCTCCCCGGCAGAGATTATGCAGTAAGATAATTTAACTGAATAATACTATGTGCATGTATCTTGCCTCAGATATACTCATGCAAATATGAATATACCTCTGATATGGTTTGGCTCTGTGTCCCCACCCAAATCTCATCTTGAATGTGTACTCCCATAATTCCCACATTTTATAGGAGGGATCCAGTGAGAGATAATTTGAATCAAGGGGGCGGTTTCCCCCATATTGTTCTTGTGGTAGTGAATAAGTCTCACAAGATCTGATGGTTTTATCAGGGGCTTCTGCTTTTGCATCCTTCTCATTTTCTTTTGCTGCTGCCATGTAAGAAGTGCCTTTTGCCTCCCACCATGATTCTGAGGCTTTCCCAGCCATGTGGAACTGTAAGTCCAATTAAACCTCTTTTTCTTCCCCAGTCTCTGGTATGTCTTTATCAGCAGTGTGAAAATGGACTAATAGAACTTCTATGCAGAAATATAAAATGTAACTTCTTAACATAAGGTCCTAGTCGCAAGGGTCTATGGAGGTGCTTCAGGAGATCCAAGCCTTTTTAGAATCTGTGCAAACTTCTGTGTATGTTTTTTGGAGGAAAAGTCCATAAATTTCAAATTTTCAAAAATCAGATTTTCAAAAGGATTTATTGATTTCTGAAAACTAGCAAAGATCTGCTTTTATAAAGAGCAAATAGATGGATAGATATAGGAGAAGATGCTTGACTTGATGAATAAGAGAAAGGACATATAGAAAATGAACTGAACATAAGCAAGTATTTTATTGAAGATATACTATTTTAAATAACATTTAAACACGGAATGATTGGCAATAAACTGCAAAATGAGTAATTTGGTATCATTTTAAAATGGTTATTATCAGAGATTTTCCTTTTATTAAACAGTTATTCATTAATTCCACAAATATTTATCAGGCTTCTATTATATGTGAGGCACTGAGCTGGGCATGGCTGTAAAGGAACCATCTAGGAAGTAATTATGCAATCATTTCTGAACCTGTTTCAGAAAAGTAAATCAGTGTTGGGTTTATCAGTGTTTAACATTGTTTGATAGTCCCCTCACTTCTTGAATAAATTGTTTTTTTTCACCTCACTACTTGTAGTGTGTAAAAATGAATCTGTATTTCCGGTGAAAAAGTGTTTGAAATGTCCAGCCGCAAGACTGATATTAGTAGTAGAATATATGCAGTTAAACATTCTTATGGTAAAAATATGTCCATTGTTTAGTGGTTGTCAGAAAGTAAAATTCCTGCAAAATTAAAATTAGGAATTTAACTAGGAAGAATATCTAAAGACCCTTTAAAAATAGATCAGTGTATTTGGTATTTCAAGTAGATTTATGACATCAGGCTCATTTATAAATTTATATAAAATCACAATACTTAATCCATGCATACACAGTGACAGATAATGGGAGTTATGTTTTTAAGGAGTCTTGAAAAGGCCTCTAATATGATGAGTTTAAAAAGTAATTCTCCTACACACCTATCTCAAACTTTGCTATAGTGCGGTCAGTGGTGGTCAGCAGACCACTGGTCTGGGGGTGTTGAAGTTAGGCCTTCTTATACTTGCTCTTATGCAGAGTTCATGTATTTGGCAGACCTTCAGTGGTGGACATCTCTACCCTCAATACAATTTCTGGTGACTAAGGAGGGGAAGTTGTTTGAGCTGACTGATGTTTTGGGGTCTAAAATTACATAGGGCTAAAGGAATAACGTTTCTTACGTGGTTTTTAAAATAATAGTGCTTCTGGAAGTGGAATTTCAAAATTATTTTAAGCAATGGAAATAAGGGAGCATGCATCACTTAGCTAAGTTGATTACTTTAATAAACAATACTCATTTGAGTGTACATATGACTTACTGTCATACCTTATTTATATCTGTTTGTTGTAACATTTATTCACATAGTATTCATTCATATTACTGAGTGCCTACCTTGTGCCAGGCACTGCTCTAGGTGCCGAGATAGAGCTGTGAACAAAACAGACAAAATAGACAAAATCTTTCCTCATAAATTTTACATTCTAATGTGAGAGAAGCAGTCTGACAATTCTAAGTACCTAACTTATAAAAATAAATGGCGATTCATTTCTTGGCTGCTCAAAATTGAACATTATCTTGTCTATTACAAAATATATAGGTTCATTGATGTTCAATTCTTTAGACTGTAGATAGCTTGTGACAAAAAAATTCTATGATAAAATATATGGCATAACTATATTATTCTATTTTCTAATTTTATCTATGATTATAGATAAGTAAAAGAAGAAATCTTAAATTTCTCGAATATCCAGACAGACATATACCATGCAGTCGAAGTAGTTGATTGCCCTTAGTTTGTCTTAACAATTTAATATTTAGAATGCCTGGTAGGTCTATTAATCATTTTTAGAAAGTCATCTTGGTTGAAGTTTTTCTGTACTATTTTTGATAAGGTTCTTGCATAATCCAATCACATGCTTCTTAACGCATAATATTCATTAGCTGCTTTAACTTGCATTATGATTATCCAGTTAGAATCTTGTGCATTGATAATCTTTTTAATGAAAAGAATAGTTCTGAACTGTAAAAAATATTCTTAGTTACACCCAAAATAATTGATTTCAAACTTTGAAGGAGGAGTGTAGGTCAAAGGCATAGTTTTAATAAATATTGCCAAAAAATAGTTTGGTCTTCATCATTCTATTATCAAGGGTAAAAGTAGAGAAAAGAGATAAGCATTTCAGATGGAATGACGTTGAATAAAATGACATCATTATTTTCTATATCATATTTACAACACTATACATTCTATACTGCGTTTACTCTTTTATTAAGATGTTGAGAGATTTTAGTTCGGGGAGTGGCTTGAGGTATGAATCACAGTTACGAATGTTATGGGTGAATTGTGTCTCCCCCACCCCTCACCCATTTCATATATTTAAGCCCCAATCCCCAGTACCTCAGAATGTGACTGTATTTGGAGATAAGGCCATTAACGAGGTAATTAAGACTAAAATGAGGTCACATGGGTAGGCCCTAATCCAGTCCTACTGGAGTCCTTATAAGAAAAGGAGATTAGGACACAGACACACAGAGGGAAGACCATGTGAAGACACAGGGAGAAGATGGCCATCTGCAAACCAAGTTGAGAGGCCTCCCAAGAAACCAACCCTGCCAACTCCTTGATCTTGAACTTCCAGCCCCCAGGACTTTGAGAAAATACATTTCTATTGGTTAAGCACCCAGTCTGTGGTACTTTGTTATAGCAGCCTTAGCAAATAAATACAATTAATGTTTTAAAAAAGAATTTGTGACTAGTTTCAGGATTGCATATTTTTTAATTTAAAATAAATTGGCACCAAAAATGTACCTATTTTTGTCATATTTTGCACTTTTGTTGAACTTTATTTTGCCCCTGGGATTTTTGGGCTAGCAATATATATTTTCTTCATAGTCACAGGGTAGTTTTTCTGAAGATCCTGTTACGTGATGATTTGTTGAAGTTCTTTTGAATGTTTTCTGGTTTTCTTCAAAGGTAAAATGATATTTGAAGTTTAGACCAGTTAGATAATATTACAACATTAAACATGTTTTGGACTTTTTGTCATCACCACCTCCTGAATCTTCAGCAGCTAGTAAAATCAAGGAAAGCAATATTATTAGGAGTTAGTGGATATACAGTGTTTTTATTCTAACATTCCCATGATAGTAGTGTCAACTTTGTAGACTAATTAGTCATTTTAACCTAGCAAGTACTGTGGGTTTGACCATGTAAAAACTTGAATTAATATTCAGAGTTGGTCCATTCAAAAAATAAAATCTGGGTTAGGTGCAGTGGCTCCTGCCTGTAATCCCAGCACTTTGGGAGGCTGAGGCGGGTGGATCCCTTGAGATTAGGAGTGCAAGACCAGCCTGGTCAATATGGTGAAACCCTGTCTCTACTAAAAATATAAAAATTAGCTGAGTGTGGTGGCATGTGCCTGTAATCCCAGCTACTCAGGAGGCTGAGGTGGGAGAATCGCTTGAATCTGGGAGGCACAGGTTGCAATGAACTGAGATCATGCCATTGCACTCCAGCCTGGGCGACAGAGTGAGTGAGACTCCGTCTCAAAAAAATAAATTAAATAAATAAAAAACAGAATCTGATCAATGGTTGGCCAGTTAACATCTTAGTTTCTCACTGAGACAATGCAGTCTGGAAATCTGAGCTTGATGCACAAAGCTCCATGCCTGGTGATAGAAAATAATGATCTTAGTCCACAAAGAATTCTCTATGTAGTAGCAAAAAAACTCAGAAGTAAATTTTTGTGCAAATAAAATACAGATCCATATCCAATGTCACTTAAAGGACCTGATCATCTCTTCATAATAAAGTTGAGATAAAGGTTAAATCTAATAGTACTAAGAAATACCCTCACTTTTCACTTGCTTGGTAAAAATCACTTATTGTTTTGAAATGCAAATCATATCTTACCTTAAATCTCTCAAATGACCCATGAACATTTTTAGCCCACCTTCAAGGCAATACAGTATCTGGCAGCTACCTGCACTACCAGCTTCATATGTACTTCGCACTCTTTACTCTCTAGACTCCAGCTATATCAGCTTAAAAATTTTTCAATTGCACCAAGCTTATTCCTACTCCAAGCCTTTGTACATATTTTCTTACTCTTCCTCCCCAATGCCTGCTTTCTGTGGTTAGCGTAAGCATTCTTCAGGAAAGCCTTCTCCATGGCCCATGTGCACACTAGTGCCTTCTTCGAGATCGTTAATTGTGCATTGGTTCACAATGTTTAGTTCCCCCACCAAATGGTAAATTGTTCAAGATAAAGGATCCCATCTTTCCCCAGGGCCTGCCTAACACCGGGCTTTATACAGAGAAGACATCTGATAAATACATAAGTGAATGGATATCAAGGAGTCAAAAACTCCTGCTTTTATTCTGAAGGACATCCTTAACTTTGTTAAGAAAAATATTTTCTCCTATGAATTATTTAAAATTTCACTAAATGCAATAGAGCCACCTAAAAGGAACATGTCAGGGCCTTTCCACATAGAGATGATTTCTTTGTTAAGCAATAACAATTGCTTACAAAACCTTCAGAGTGATAAACTTTCAAGACAGAAATTAGCATTCCACTTTCAAAATGATGTTTGGGCCATCTGATGAACTAATAGTTAATCCTAAGCATTTTAAGAATCCAAAAACAACATTAAACTTGACAAAGTGACTTTAGGAATAGAAATTTCATGCCAGAAAAAAAATGGCACAGGAATCTCATGCCAGAAAAACATCTCCCAATGAGACATTTGGGAGACCGGCAATTTCAGCCTTACTCTACATGTAGGGCTTCCTTAAGCTGAAGATCTGTAAAACCACCTCATTACATGGAGAAGAATATTAAACTCAGCGAGGTTAAGCAAGCTGCCCAAGGTCTCACAGCTAATGCATAATGTTGGGACAAAAACTTTTTTCTCACCTAACTCTAATCCCCCAGATTCTGTAGTTTACATATTATCCCTAAGCACCCAGTGTTCTGCAGAGGAGCCACCTTCTAGCAAGATGAAGAAGCCTAGCTCCAACCTCTACTTCAACTGGACCGGTCAATTCGATCTGGAGTTATACATAAGATGTTGTCTGTGGCAGGGCCAGGGGGACCTGAAAACCACTAATCGGCCTGTTAAAATGATCAGTCTGCACCAGTAAAGCAGGTTTTCTGTTTGTGGTGACTCTTTATGGCTTTGTCACATGCCATTAAGCTCAGCCTAGCTTCTGGCTACATTACAGGGAGCAAAAACAGAGCCCATCTAACCTTTTTCGGCTCCTCCTTCTTGCTTTTTTGCCTCCTCTTCAATGACCTTCATCTTTGCATCATACTCATCAGCTAGTGATTTCCATTCTACTCTGTTATTCTGAAGACCACTCAGCATAGGTGTGATTTCTTTGTGAAACCGTGAGAACTCCTAAAAGGAATTTTAGGTCAGAAACTACATAAATCATACAGTTAATTTTCAGGATCTTTCATATGCAGAGAGTGAGCTGTAAGGAATTGTTACAGCACTCAGAGCTGCTAGGATAAGTTTAACCACGGGCCTATGAAGTTTGGGAAAGAGACACGTGCTGTCTTTACTGCCTGCCTAAGGAAGTGTTCAGTTCGCTCACATCTGAGTTCCCTCCTTTTATTCCAGCCCTGAATGAGATTAGGGTAAAACCTCAAACTGCTTTGGAGAAACAGTGATACCCCAATGGCTTTCCGTATGGGTGACTTCTAAATTTTGGTGACAGTTTGAAAGAAAATTTCTCATCCAAATGTTTATGTATTTAATTCAAATAATTTGCTTACTTACCTTATATACAAAAGTACAAACAAAATCAATAAATCCAACTTGAAGTTTAGGTAATTCATCTCTTTTGTTTCTGTCCATCATAGGCTAGAAAGAGAAATAAATCCTTTAAGACAGGTTTCTAAGATGTATGAACAAAACAGACTGATTTGTCCTGATAACTTTTTTTTTTTTTTTTTTTTTTTTGAGGCAGAGTCTCACTCTGTCTCCAGTCTGGGTGCAGTGCCACAATCTCGGCTCACTGCAGCCTTCGCCTTCTGAGTTTAAGTGATTCTCCTGTCTCAGCCTCCCGAGTGGCTGGGACTACAGGCATGCACCACCATGACCAGCTAATTTTTGTATTTTTAGTAGAAACGGGGTTACACCATGTTGGTCAGGATGGTCTCGATCTTTTGACCTCGTGATCTGCCCACCTCAGCCTCCCAAAGTGCTGGGATTACAGGTGTGAGCCACCGCGCCCGGCCTGTCCTGATAACTTTTAATAAGTAATACATTTTTATGTCAAGGTCTTACAATGGGTTGTTGCTGCAACACTGTTCTCTCCAGATCTCCTTGTTCCCAAAATTCATTTGCAACCATAAGTGCTACCTGCAAATGAGAAAGGCTTGGTTCACTAAATCCACTTATGAATAGAGAACTTGCATTTTATTAGTACAAGTGACATTTAAGGATCGAGTTTACAGTCAATGTTTGAGGTGCTATCAAACCGTATGCTCTTAACTTTTAAAAAGAGGTCATTTACAGATTATATTGAAATGCGAAAGGGGAGCTTTTTCTTCCTACTTCAGTGTTCTAGGCTTATTCTAGGAGTATCTATCTCCCATTTACGATTGCCACCACTTCTCACCAACGAAAAGGAGAAATAGGAGGATTAAATATTATGCTTCAAGTTCTAACACTTCGCCGGTTGTTCTTTGTCCTGTCTATCTGTTAGCATCTAGCATATGTCTGTGAATGCACATGTGACATACACCCATTAGTATGTAGCTTTACCTAATTACAGTGTGAGGATATTCCAGCATTAATTTATATCACTAAAAAAAAACATTTATCAAGTTCATTGAACACCTGCTAGCTGCCTTTACATTGGCATGAGCCAGGCTTGCCAAGAGGAATAAGGGGTGATCTTTTTCTTTAAAATGTTCAGAGTCTAGCGAAGACAGTCATGTATACAGTGTGGTAAGTGCTGTAACAATAATAGTGTAAGTGCTATGGGTCAGGGAGAAGGGAGTAAAGATAAGTTTCATGAAGGAAGGAGGTGGCATTTATGTTGTATTGTGAAGAACAAGAGTAATTTTCCAGGAAAAGAGGAGGGGAAGAATATTTGCCGAGATAAAATGGAACGTACAAAGCTTCTGTGAGTGCAGGCTTAGAGTGTGAAGCAATGACATGGGAGAAGGTGATGGGAATTGATGCTGGGAGTGTGAGTTGAGGACAGGCAGTGACAGGCCATGTAAATTTTGCCAGGAAGCTTGAATTTGATTCTCTAGGCCAGTGCTGTTTACTCTTGGAGTCTAGGGTTCCCCTGAAGTGCTCTAGGGCCCAAGAAGGTGGAGACCAAGAGAGATGAAAGCTAAAGTAGCTTTGCTTTTTTCTCTTTTATAAAGTGATCTTTGGGCAAGTTTTGTTGGGAGAAAATAGACTTTACTTCTTTGGGAAAGAAGTTGGAAACCTCTGGCAATGGGGAGTATGAGCCTTTTAAGGAGTAGAATGGCTGAGTTGAGCTCTGTGTAGAGACATCCTGGCAGCAAGTCAGAGGATGACTTGTGGAGTTGATGTGAGCATCTATTAGGAGGCTGCTACCATAGTTCTGATAAAAGTCAGAACTGAGGTACTAGCGAGGCTGATATAAATGATTTTGAAATGAGGGAGATAAGCTCAAGCAGGACCCCAGGTTTCTAGCTTGGGTGACCTCATCGATAAAGAACAGAGGAAGAAGAGCAGGCATGTCGAGGTGGAAGGAGAGGAAGCATTTGGTTTTGGACTTGATGGTGACGGAGTTCAGGACACCCTGCCCCCAAATATTTTAAGGTGACGGAATTTGAGGAAACTAAAGCAGCAGGAAGATCAGTCTCACCTTCCCCCGACCTTCTCCCCTGAAGTAGGTCATAAAACCAGGTAAGGATTTTCTGACCTTCCCCTGAAGCAGATCATAAGACCTTCATTCAAGAGGTGCCCTCCCTATTCCTGGAGGAAAGGAGCCAGAGACACAAAGATGCCAAGAAGAATCTGAACAAATCGGCCTTGCTAAGCTGCCTCACGATTAGATCATACCCTCTTTGTTGAATTCTATTTCTCCATGACTATCTAATTCATCCAACCTAGCATAAAACATACAAGTTTAACTGTTTCTTAGGGTCTTTGTTTCCTCACGAAGGCTCCTGTATTACATGTAAAACAAATAAACGTGTACGCTTTTCTCTTGTTAATCTGTCTTTTGTTATAGGGGCCTCAGTCATGAAGCTAGGATGGGTGAGAAATAGATATTTTTTCTCCCCTACACTGAGTTCTAATTATTCTATCTTTTTAAAAAGATACAACCCACTTTTATAGTTAAACCCATTTAATTCTGGGCTCTCTTCTGCTTAGGGGTTTCCCTAGAAATTACTGGAGGAAAAAGGAAGGTTTTTTCATCCAATTAGTAAGAAAGCAAGTGGTAGACTAGTGCCTCCCCAAGGTGGGGGAAGAACTTCAGTGGAAGGCAACCTTAGACATCATCTCACAGTCAGTGCCTTCTTATAATTCACAGCACATTGAAGAAGAGACTATAGGAGCAAAAACACCCTTGATAGAGGAAAACACTAACGATGCATCCTGATCTTGTTCTGACTTACCTCATTGATATAGTTTGGCTATGTCCCCACACAAATCTCATCTTGAATTGTAGTTCCCATAATTCCCAATTCATGGGAGTGACCCAGTGGGAGGTAATTGGATCATGGGGACAAATCTTTCCCGTGCTGTTCTAGTGATATTAAGTAAGTCTCACAAGATCTGATGGTTTTATAAAGGGGAGTTCCCCTGCACACGCTCTCTCTTGCCTGCCACCACATAAGACATCCCTTTGCTCTTCCTTCATCTTCCACCATGATTGTGAGGCCTCCCCAGCCATGTGGAACTGTGAGTTCATTAAACCTCTTTCCTTTATAAATTACCCAGTCTCGGGTATGTCTTTATTAGCAGCAGCATGAGAACAGGCTAATACACTCCTCTATTTAAAAACTCAGACATTTCTTGGATAATTTTATATAAATTATTTACAGTGTTTCAATGTTAAAGAATTCTTTCAAGAAAGAATTCTCCTTCCAAAGTTCCTTCTATTTGCTTTATTCTAGGGCCTAATCAAATTGCCTACTGTCTCACTAATATTTGTAATTTTTCAGAATTCTGAGGTTGCCTGAGATCTTTAGGTGGACATTTACATGGGACCTAGGCAGTACCTGACAGTGTGACAGAAAAGAAAACTTAACTGGACTCACCTGACTTTGCACCTCCCAGGGCTTGGTAATAGCAGACAAGTCACATGCCGTCATCATCATTGCCCTTAGGAAGAAAACAAAAAATTTTAAAATAGAAATAAGTACAAAATAAGTTATTTTTACAAAAAACAAGAGAGAAATACAATTTCAACTACCTACATGATAATCTCTTTCTTGGTTGGATCAACAGTTACATATTTGATGGCTTCTTCTTCCGTTTGCATTTGTTCACAGGCATCAACAATTTTTTGAAACATGGTCCTCTTCCTAGAAAAGATACAGCTGTGAGCAACAATTTTAGCTTATGAAAAGAGAGAAAAAATATCTTAAATACATGCTTTTCAGATTTCACGTTCCCACTTTGCATTGTGATGTCCACATAGCAAAGTCTACAGGGCCAGAAAATACGAGAGCAGAGAATGGTGGTATAACTTTGGCTCAGAAAGGGTTTAAGGCAGAAAAAGCACAAACCATACAGAGAGAGAGAGAGAGAGAGAGGGAAAAACAAAACAAAACAGGTAACTTGGAATACATTACAACGAAAAAGTTACATATAAGGCCGGGTGCAGTGGCTCACATCTATAATCCCAGCACTTTGGGAGACTAAGGTGGGAGGATTGCTTGAAGCCGGGAGTTTTAAACCAGCCTGGGCAACAAAGCAAGACCCTGTCTCTTTAAAAATGAAAGTAAATACAAAATTACATATGAGAAAAGAGACCATAACCTAAAAATAAAGGCCCCAAACTATGATAAGATATCACAACACATATAGCCAACAAAAAGTTGGAACCCAAAACACACGGATGTCCAGCTGGTCTCACTACTAATCAAGAAACTACAAATTTGAACAATAAGATATTATCTCACACTCATTATATTAGCAAAATAAAATTTCAATTTGCTGAGTTCAAGAGTACTTCAGATGTGGTATTTTTCTTTTTCTTTCTTTCTTTCTTTCTTTTCTTTTTCTTTTTCTTTTTTTTTTTTTTTTTTTTTTTGAGACAGAATCTTGCTCTACCACTCAGGCTGGAGTGAAATAGCTTGATCCTAGCTCACTGGAACCTTGAACTCCTAGGCTTAAGGGATCCTCCCACTTCAGCCTACCGAGTAGGTGGGACTACAGGCATGCTCCAGCATGCCTGGCTAATTTTTTAATTTTTTTGTAGAGACAGTCTTGCTATGTTGCCCAGGCTGGTCTCAAATTCCTGGCCTCAAGTGATCCTCCTGCCTTGGCCTCCCAAAGTGCTGAGATTACAGGCATGAGCCACCTCACTCAGCTGGAACTCTTGCACACTGTGTGTGGGAGTGCTAACTGGCACAACTTCTCAGGAGTGCAGTTTTGTAATGTAGCATGAAATTGAAGACATGCAAATCCTACAGCATTGTCACTTTTACATTTCTTAGAGAAACTCTCATATATATATACAGGGACATACAAGGTAGCATTGTAGGCAATGATGAAAAATTAGAAACAATTGAAATGTCTATGAATAGAAGACTGGGTAAATTAATTATGAATATTCAACAGTTGAATACTCTATTCAGTTAAAATGGATGCATTGGAGCTCCATTTATTATCAATGATAAATCTTTGAAACACAATGTTGCATGAATAAAGCAAGTTGCAGAAAGGTATGTACAGACAGTATGATACCACCTATGGACAATTTGAAAACACACAACAGGTTGGGCGAGGTGGCTCACGCCTCTAATCCCAGCATTTTGGGAGGCCAAGGTGGGTGGATCACGAGGTCAGGAGATAGAGAGACCATCCTGGCCAACATGGTGAAACCCCATCTCTACTAAAATACAAAAAAAAAAAAAAAAAAAAAAAAAAAATTAGCCAGGCGTGGTGACGTGTGCCTGTAGTCCTAGCTACTCTGGAGGCTGAGGCAGAAGAATCACTTGAACCCAGGAGGCAGAGATTACAGTGAGCCGAGATTGCGCCACTGCACTCCAGCCTGGTGACAGAGTGAGACTCCGTCGCAAAAAAACCAAGAAACCAAACAAAAAAAACAACACACAACAATACCATATAAAAACATGGATGGAAATTATGAATACACATCAACGTCAGACGGTGATATCTTTGTGGAAGAAGGGAAGGGATTTTTCATAGTGGAGTAGGGGTGGAATACCTCAATTGCATCACTAGTTTTTTTCTCCTTATAAAGCAAAATCTGAGGCAAATATGGCAAAATTTCGCATTTGTTAAATTTAGGCTATAGATATTTGGATATCCATTTTATTATTCTTAGTATTTGTCTTCACATTGAACTATTTAATAATTAAATATTCAGGCCCAGTGCAACGGCTCACACCTGTAATCCCAGCACTTTGGGAGGGCCAGGTGGGCAGATCAGTTGAGGTCGGGAGTTCAAGACCAGCCTGGCCAACATGGTGAAACCCATCTCTACTAAAAATATAAAAATTAGCCAGATGTGGTGGTGGGAGACTGAAGTCCCAGCTACTCAGGAGGCTGAGGCAGGAGAATCGCTTGAACCTTGGAGGCCGAGATTGCAGTGACCCGAGGTTGTGCCACTGCACTCCAGCCCAGGTGACAGAGTGAGACCTGTATAATAATACATATAATAATAATAATAAATAATAAATAAATATTTAGTGAAGGATCAGAAAGGCATAATTTGACAATGCCCAAGCCACTGAATATTTCCATCCTATAACTAGTTCATCTTGTTCTAACCCATTTTCATCAAGCAACTTTATAGTTCACTTATGAGAAAATGTGGAGATACTGGGAGTATCTGGTCTCCTTGGCAATATTACTGTTGTAAATAGGCTGGCTCTCTGTTACGTATGACTCAGTTTTGTAAGTTTGGTTAATGTGTGTCAATGCCATCAAAATTGTTCAGCTCCCAGACTTTGACAGAATTAAATTTCTGAGGCTGAAACATTAAAATGCCAGATTCTGGACCATAGAGAATTCACCTGGACAAAAAGCCACCTTGAGAGGTCTCTTGGCTTCACTCTTTTGACAAGGCACAAACTTGGCTGCACATTCTGCAATTCAAACCTGTTCGGAGAGCAACCTACTTAATATTAGGAGCTTATGTTTTTAAAATATGTTCCCAGAGGTCTAGTAAATTTACTGGCAGGCATCTGTCTTGAAGATACTCTACTTGGTAATCCAAAAGGAGAGCAAATTTTGTGTGTATGTGTGTGTGTGTGTCTGTGTGTGTGTATGTGTGTGAATAAATGCCTTTTAACATTAATGCAACAGATAATTTATGGAAGGTAAAACCACACAGAGTATAGGGCATTCCACTGTGCAGAGTTATGTACTTACTTGAAATATAAAGCCAGGTCAGTTGCTATTATTGCGACCTCGAACAAATGAATAACTGTTTCAAACTGCCGCTTATTTAGGTTCTGGAAGATGTTTAAACTCTGTAAGATGAAAATTCACAATAAAATGCTATCAATAATTTGCCTCTGAACAAATGAAACTATGCTTAACAAGAAGAAAATCTAAAAGTCTTTCAACACTTTTTTGTTTGTTTTTTTTTTGTTTTCCTTCCTTTTTTTTTTTTTTTTTTGGCTTGCTTTTAGTTTTTATCTCATGGACTAAGCAAACCCCTCTACTATACTTTAAGTAAGATAATTTAATTTAAACTATAAAAATAGATACTGTTAGCCAATATTCATGTAATCAGTGTTTAACTTTTTGGAGTAAATAAATGTTTTCTTCTAGGACCATTAAAATAAATAACAATAGATTAAAAATGTGCTTGTATTAATTGAGAAGCTTTAATAAAGAATTTCTGGGAGAAGTCCAACTGTCAGACATGTTACTTTATCTACCAGGTAATTTTAGAGTGATCATAGAAACCACTGGTCTTTCAGAAATTGCAAATTACACTCATATTCGTGTATATGTAGGAAAAAATAATGAAATCCTTCCACATTATCCTGAAAATGTTTTCATGCAATTCTATTTTACCAAGACTTAACTAGACCTTTCTTCAAAGAGTTTCTCACTACATCTCTTCACATAAGGATCAGCTTCATTTCTTAGCATTCTAGAAAATGAGAATATAGGCCGAGCATGGTGGCTCATGCTTGTAGCACTTTGGGAGGCGGAGGTGGGTAGATGGCTTGAGCTCAGGAGTTCAAGACCAGCCTGGGCAACATGGTGAGACTCCTGTCTCTACTAAAAATATGGAAATACAAAAATAGCTGGGTGTGGTGGTATGTGCCTGGGGTCCCACCTACTCAGGAGGCCAAGGTGGTAGGATTGCTTAACGCTGGGGACTGGAGGTTGCAGTGAACTGAGACTGTGCCATTGCACTCCAGCTTGGGTGACAGAGAGAGACCCTGTTTCAAAAAAAAAAAAAAAGAAAGAAAGAAAGAAAGAAAGAAAGAAAGAAAGAAAGAAAGAAAGAAAGAAAGAAAGAAAATGAGTATATAAGCTGGGGGTGGTTTCTTAAAGCCCAGTTATTCCAAATAGACCATTTTAGTCATACAGGCCAAATGACAGATAGATAGTGATTTTGCCAAATGAATTTGACAGTTACAAAATACAGAAAAACTCCACTGGAAAGAAAGAGGAGATAGTCTATCAAACTATATAAAGAGAGAAGTAGCATAATGCCAAAAACAATACTGTCCTGAACACCAAATAATAACAGTAAACACTTACTTAGTTCTTACTACCTACCAGGCTCTAAGTGCTTTGTGAATATTCTTAATCTCTTCACAACAGACCCCAGCACAGAGAGGTGAAGTAACTTGCCCGAGGTTAAACAGCTAGAATGTGGCAGAACTGGTGTCTAAGCCAGTGCAGCATGGTTCCAGAGTCTGTGCTCCTAATCTCTGCACCACACTACATTACCTCTCAAGAGGGAACCCAGGTTCATTTCCTGGCTTCCCCACTTTGGCAGTGGTATAATCCTAGAGACTTCACTTAACATCTGTATTTGTTTTCTCATATGGGCATAATAACAGCTGCCCTGCCTAACTGCCTAGCACTTAGTCTATGCTCAATTAATATCTGTGGAATGCTGAATCAAATGAAATGACAACTGTGAATGCATTTTAAAACTGTAAATCGCTGTTAAAATTTATTGTTGTATCATTATTATTATTACGTAAAGTTATGAGGCTAGCTCCTGGTAGAAATAGAATTGCAAACCTAAGACCAAATATGGCTCAGTCATTTCAGAAGATTGAAATATTAGAAAGCAATAATTGGACAAGAACTCAAGTTTTAGACACTACACTATGCCTTATATAAATCTTCCCTTAAGTCATCTTTTTATAACATTTTCTAGGACAAGAAAAGTGGTGTTTTACAAAGCATATATAAGTAATAGAAGGGAAAATTGTGATTTGTTTTGTCAACATAATGAGTTCATCATAGCAACTATAGTTAAACTTTTAAAATAGCTAGAATGAAGCAATGGGTGTTGACCAGTCTAAATTACAAAAACAAAAGAGAGATTATCTGGATCAAAATCAATGTTTTTTTTTGTTTTTGTTTTTGTTTTTGTTTTTGTTTTTTTTTGAGATGGAGTCTCACTCTGTTGCCCAGGCTGGAGTGCAGTGGCACAATCTCAGCTCACTTCAGCCTCTGCCTCCTGGGTTCAAGCGATTCTCCTGCCTCAGCCTCCCAAATAGCTGGGATTACAGGCACCCACCACCATGCCCAGCTAATTTTTGTATTTTTTAGTAGAGATGGGTTTTCACCATGTTAGCCAGGCTAGTCTCAAACTCCTGACCTCAAGGGATCCGCCCATCTCGGCCTCCCAAAGTGCTGGGATTACAGGCATGAGCCACCGTGCCTGGACCCCGAATCAATTTCTTACTTGGGACATTTCACAGAAGTCTATTGTACATATCAGTCCAGAATCTCTGAATCAAATCTGGATACAGGTTATTTTCAACCTGGTCTGGATTACCAGGGAGGGGAAAAGTAAGTGGAGTCATTTTGATCCCACTTAACCTGCCCCTGATTTTGGAACAATGGTGGCCTTCCTTTTGGACTTGGGGTGATCCAGTGGCATACTGACATCAGGGAATCACTGCCTTTATTTGTTCACTGATGAACATTGCTATGTTCCCAAAGTGATGTTTATTATGTGACTCAGATACATACTTGGCAAATTAATAATATTTGAAGCCAACCTTGATTGCTATACTAGGAAAAAAAGCAGGGGGAGGGGAGGAATGTGTGAAAATGCCTTAAACTTTTAGACAAGTTAATATTTATAGCACATTAAGTCATTTAAAGAAGCAAATCAGACTGCTGAATTCAGAGAAATAATTCCTTGGGACAGAGACTTCCTCGTCTCTACCAAGTGTCAGATTGTGCAGAGTATATAATCTACAACAAATCAAATACATCAAATTTATTATGCACCAATTGTTTTAGTGCATATTGCTTAATGTAAACCTGGACACTTGTTGCTATTTAATAGACGTGAAAGAAAACGCTATATATAAAGAAATATATAGAAACATATGTGACAAATACTGTTTACTCTTATACCTTTTTCCAATCCAAAATAATAAAACAACTGTATTAAAGTTGATAGATTATCAAAAACTATCTTACTTTTCAAAATGAGTCAATACTGGATTTTTAAAAATTGATATAATGAAGAAAAAGGGTTTATAGTCACCATTTCAGTACTGCTTCTTTTGCATATAGCACTACATATCTGCATTTCATTCATACCTTTTTCTTCTCACTCATTTTCATTTTTATCTAAAAACATGTACAAGCCTCCTAATTGAAAAACTCTTTCTTAATTCTACATTCTTTTAGATTTTCTCTGTTCTCCCTTTCACACCTGAGGTTCTTGAAAGAAGAGCTTCTAATTGACTTATTAAGTTGTGGATATAGATTCATATAAAAGATCCCATTCCAGTTTTTGTATTAGTTGCTAGAAAGCACTTGGCCAAATTTGTGGCCTGTGTCTGATAAACGTTTTGGCCAAATTTGTGGCCCATCTCTGATATACATTTTGGGTATGTATGGCCTTTACTATGCTCACCTCGTTTTTCTTATTTTTCCATTAGTCCTCATTTTCTTTTTCTTTAGTGTTGTATGTATTCTTCGAAGCTCCATCAAATCCTCTTTGGAACAAAGTGGGACATACACACACACAGGCACACACACACACACATGCACACACACACTTGCACACAAGTTGGGTTTTTTGTTTGTTTAGTAAGTAAACACAGACTCAGTGATTCTTTAATTAGAGCAAGAGGTCTCAAGATGTGCCCAGCGCACAGGAGAAGCAAGGAATTCCTTTCAAGACCTACTTTGACAACACAAAACAACAGCAAAAGAGGAGTTGATGGAGAAGTTATGCTGATGTACATTTGTATTGACTTCTGATATTCAATCTCCTAGACCAAAGACATTGTCATAGGTAACAAGAAGTGAAGGAGGGAAGGCAGACAGCAATGGCCAGATCCCAAATAGAAGGCCTGGAGCTTCATGGGCTTTGCTCAGTGTGAGCTTTACCAACTTCCGGAAAACAAAATCAAAGAGGTGTTGATATGGCTCTGTGTCCCCACCCAAATCTCATCTCGAATTGTAATCCCCAGGTGTTGAGGGAGGAACCTGGAAGGAGGTGATTCAATCATGGGGGCAGTTCTCCCACGCTGTTCTCATGATAGTGAGGGAGTTCTCACAAGAGTTGATGGTTTTAAGTGTGCCACTTCCTCACTCTTTCTCACACACTCTTGCCTGCCACCATGTAAGACATGCCTTGCTTCCCCTTCTCCTTCAGCCATGATTGTAAGTTTCCTGAGGCCTCCCCAGCAGTGCAGAACTGTGAGTCAATTAAACCTCTTTTCTTTATAATTACCCAGTCTCAGGTAGTAGCTTTACAGCAGTGTGAAAACAGACTAATACAGGTGTGCTCCTTAGAATTGGTGAGAGAATGTTTGAGTCAACAAATTGGAAGCTGAGGATTTCCCCAGCTCATTCCTGCCCTTCTTCCATGGTACTAGGCAGATAGTTGGCTCCACTCAGGGATGAGTAATTTTCAGAGGGGAACAAGTGCAAAACCTATGCATATAATGACCACAAGAACATAAAATAATCCATAGAGCGAGTAGAATTCCAACCAAAATACCAACAAGTTTGTGTATGTGTGTTTGTAAATTGACAAATCAATTATAAAATTTATATGAAAATGTAGAGTCAATAAGTACTGGACTCAATTAAAAGTTGAATTAAAATAAACAATAGTGGAAATTACAGAGCAAAATGTAATTTTATAAATATTGATAATGGTAAAAAAATATATCATATAAAACAGACATGTGGGAAAAAGTATACCAATTCCTTCATATTTCATAGAAGGGAGTTAGTAGATACTGTAAAGTTAACACATATAGCTTAAAAATGTCAAACATCTAAATGCTCAGCTACAACTTTTCATAATTTTTCATAGTCATTTGTTATTCATTTTAGAGGGCTCTTTAAGAGCTAACATTTCTTGTGATAAGGACACCATCATGTGAAGTTCTGCAATTCTTTCCATTTCAAAAACATTTCTTCTGTTAAATTCAAATAAAGTCAAATGCAATACCTTTTATTTAAGATAAAGGGATTCTACTTAGCAATGAAAAAAAATGAATTGACTGGGCACAGTGACTCACACCTGTAATCCCAGTGCTTTGGAAAGCCAAGGAGAGAGGATTGCTTCAGCTCAGGAGTTCAAGACCAGCCTAAGCAACACAGCAAGAATGCATTTCTACAAAAAATACAAAACATTAGCCAGGTATAGAGACTCATGTCTGTAGTCCCAGCTACTTGGGAGGCAGAGGTAGGAGGTTTGCTTGAGCCCAGGAGGTTGAGGCTGCAGACAGCTATAACAGTGCCACAGCACTCCAGTCTTGGCAACAGAGCAAGACCCCATCTCTAAAAAAAGGAATGAATCATGGATATACACAACATGAGTAATCTAAAAATTATTATTTTGCGTGAAAGAAACCAATGCAAAAGAGTGTGATTGATTGCATGATTATTCTATTATTGTGCTAATTGTGTGATTGCACTTATATAAAATCTAGAAAATGTAAACTAATCCATAGCAACTGAAAACATTTCAAAGGTTGCCGCCTAGGGCTGGGAGTGGACAGTGGGATGTGCTGTGAAGGGTCATGATATGAGCAATTACTTGGATGATAGAAGTGTTCTGCATCTTGATTGTGGTGCTGGTTTCCCAGGTATATAAAATAGTCAAAACTCATGGAATTGGGCACTCTAGAGATGCAGTTTAGGCTAGGCATGGTGGCTCACACCTGTAATCCCAGCACTTTGGGAGGCCAAGGTGGGTGGATCACCTGAGGTTGGGGGTTCGAGACCAGCCTGGCCAACATGGTGAAACCCTGCCTCTACTAAAAATACAAAAATTAACCGGGAGTGGTGGTGCATGCCTATAATCCTAGCTACTTGGGAGGCTGAGGTGTGAGAATCTCTTGAACCCAGGAGGCGGAGGTTGCAGTGAGTTGAGATCACGCCACTGTACTCCAGCCTGGGCAACAGGATGAGACTCCGTCTCAAAAATAAAATAAAATAAGAGATGCAGTTTATTGTATATATACTTCAATGAAGTTGATTAAAAACCAACTCTGGCTTAAAAAAATAGCTTGGGTAGTGGGAACACATGGAGTCCTTTCTCTCCATGCTTCCTGTGTATATCCACAGGGTGACTGCAATGAGGTTCATTAGACGTTAATGAAATATCGGTTTCTGGATGGTAGGATTTGAAGCAATTTAAGAAATATTTGTCTTTGATGTTTTCCTATCGTTTGAATTTTTATAGTGGGCTTATGTAACTTTTGCAACTATTAATGAACATTGAATACATGTATAAATATGTAATATTCCATTTGTTTTCGAGCATTGTGTTGAAGACATTTTGTGGAGACAGGTGCACTAGACAAGAAAGGAGACCTACTTCCCAGCCTCTGGCCACGGGCCCTGACTTGCTCAGCTGCTTTCATTTGCTCACGGAAAGAATCTTTTTTATTTTCCCTGACTATTAAAATGGCGATAGAACTATGAATTCTGCATAGCACACCCCAAACAGGTAGAAATGGCTTTAATTCATTCAGATCGTGGCTCTCGAGCTAGCTGAGGCCAGGGAAAGTACAGGCCGTTCTAGTCTTCAGCATGGTGCCTATGACGCCCGCAAGAGAATATTGCCAACATGTTCTTGCCTTGCTAGTGCCAGTACACAAGGTATTTGATTTCTCCTTCACATTTCTATGTGTAAAATGGGGCAGGCTGATGCGGTTGATATGAAAAAGCATAAATAAAATTATCATACGCTTTGGAAAGAGATGTTCTGAATAATAACAAGATTTTGTTATTTATGCTGAGCAATATGTTTTGTCATTTCTACAGTATATTCTAGTATTAAAATTTATACTTGTGCAAATTTGGCTAACAAGTTTTCCACTCATTCATTTGGGTTAAAGCATTGATTTCTGTCTGGTTTAGAGTACAGGCAGTTCTATTCCTCAAAGCAGTGAATCCATCTCTGCTAGGATAGAAGGACATTGCCGTTCAAAGCCTTATAATATGCAAAACAAAATGTCTGAGTAATGCCCACAGATGCTGAAATTACTGGATAAATCCCAAGGATTTCCCTTATTTAAAAAAATTAAAATTTTTAATGTGTGTATTTTCTTTAGAGAATGAAAAAAATACAAGAACTACATTGTCTCCCCAAAATGTAAAAAGAATATCTGATAGGTAACAATCTTTTTGTGTGTGTGTCCAATTTGACTGCTCATAAACAGGCTCTGTGTGACTGCATTGCCTAGCGACTCTATTGACAAGGCTTTAAAAGTCTGCAATTAGCAGGTTGAATGGTATTACAGAGAGGTCCTTGAAAAGATGGTATAGATTACTGAGATGCAATATTCCTTTTTAGAAAGAATAATAAGTCTTTATATAGCCATCAAAGCCAGTTCAGACTGCAAAGTAAATAACATTAAAAAAAATTCAGATGGAAAACTGTAACTCTAAACTGCCAAATCCCAGAAGGAAAAACATTTAAGAAACTAGGAGCCTTCCAGTGTTAAGCATGTAGATATTTGGCAGCTGTTTTAAAACAGTATTTTGTTTTAGTAGGTGACTGTATGATTATGCGATACATGACATTTGATGCTACCTCACTGTGGTATCATATAAACAGTGGGATTTACAGAAAATTCTTACTCAGAAACCAAAGATTGTCTCAACCAGCAAAATAAAGACTTATAACAAATTAGGTAATAACAATTTACTCTTACATTCCTGAGTTATTTTCAGTTCCGCTCCTTCTTTTAATTCTCATAGAACAGGTGTTACCTATGCTGTGAATTCTGCTGCAGGGAGAGATTCTGTCTGCATATCAGAATTAAAAGGGTTCTGGTTCAAAATACAGATTCCCAGGCCCAAACTCCAGAGAGTCTGGTCAGTAAGTGGAGAATGGGGCCCAGGATCTGTGCCTTAACAGCCTGTCTGCCCCCGCCCTGTTAAATTAATGAGTCTGAAAGAGTTGGTCCAGGTACCCATGTCTGAGAACCACCATCTGGACTTATATGAGGTTAGTGCTTTGCCAAGAGCATAGCGGAATTAGAAATGCCACAGCAGGTCTGGGATGGCAATGGTGTTGGGTGCTGTGTCAATCACAGACTGTTAAAACAACGCAAGCAGTTTTCTTCTTTTTCCATTTTTCTGCCCAGTTGCTCTGCCTTATGAGATTTTCCTGCTTGGCTTATGAGGACCATCTTGGATTTTCATTACCTAGAAGAATTTAGTATTCTCTCTAAACTTGGATATCTTTCTGTATATTCTCCCTGAGCTTTTAATAAAAGATTATTATTGAAAGTGAGAAAAGCCCACTCTCCAGAGGGCTCATGTATCCTAATGAAGCATGTGATTCTGAACAAGTTCACTGCCTGCGACAAAACAGTGCTCCCCTCAATCTAATGACTCACCTTAATCATTTTTGGTTTGGAACGTTCTTAAGAAAGTATAATTAGACAACATCCACAACTTTCCACAGGCCCATATATCCCTTCAATAAAATTGATCAAGGGAAGAAGAATGACTACCCTCTCTGGAAGATTAGTAGTACGTAATATGTGCAATTCACAATGAATTCAAGGGGCTGAGCCGCTCCTGCAGAAAGCCATCTCTGATCCCACCCTCTTTGCCCCTTTCCGCTGCCACTGTCTTCACACAAATGTGGTTTCTCCCTTTGGAACTCTCAGAGCATGGCTCAGTGCCTCTCTGATGGTGGCTACGTCATGCCTACCTCCATGATATAGTTTGGATCTGTGTCTCCACCCAAACCCCATGTTCAGTTGTAATCCCCAATGTTGGAAGTGGGTCCTGGTGGGAGGTGATTGGATTTTGCGAGCAGTGTTTCTTATGAATGGTTTAGCCCCATCCTCCTTGGTCATGATACTGAGTGAATTCTCATGAGATCTGGTTATTTAAAAGTGTGTGGTACCTCCCCCGCATCTCTCTTCCTTCTGCTCTGGCCATATGAAGTGCTCGCTCCCCCTTCAGCTTCCACCATGATTGTAGGCTCCTTGAGGCCTGCCCAGAGGTTGATGCTGCCGTGCTTCCTGTACAGCCTGCAGAACCGGGAGTGAATTAAACCTATTTTCTTTATAATTACCCAGTCTCAGGTATTTCTTTATAGCAATGCAAGAATGTGTGAATACACTCCACTATGAAAGCTTGACTTTCTTAAAGGCATAGACCATGCTCTAAAGCATATGCCCCATGAATGAATAAGCAAATCAGTGACCATGTAGCCTCCTTTCCTCTTTACATTTACATATGCTTGGGGTGCACGGAGCCCTTTTGCATCCACCATAAGCTTTTTCTTCTTTCCCTACAGACCCACAGAGATTCTGTGACTTTCCATGGCTCTCTTCACCTGTCTCAGCTACTTCCAACTTGGCTGTTCAAAAACTAGTTCAATATAGCAATTTCTATCAATTGACTTCAACAAGGGTATACACTATCAACTGCTGTAACTCAAGGCCACCCTTTTTCCAAGCATTTTCTGTGGGTTAGTGCTTTGATCCAGAATTTGTGTTTAGCTGTCCTAAAGAGAGGTTTACGTACCTCATCCTGCAACAGAGTCTTACTGTACTCCAGGTGGTGCCTCTCCAAAATAGAAGAACCATGAAGTCTTGCTAATGGAGACGTGGATCTAGAAGGAAAACAACATGCCATGATTCTAGCTGTTTAAAAATTACACATAGGTTCATACAATTCAGGATTTTTCTTAATGTCTCTCTTCTCCCTCCTCACTCAATTATCTGTGAAGTGGTCAAAAATAACATATTGGAAAAGATTTTCTAGATTTAGAAGATGAGAATATGCTCTTTTGGAAAAAAAAAACCTTAATTTGTTGAATGCATAAATGATTTAATTGTTTAAACTAAGGAGTTCAGCTCCTTGTATCTAAATTCTTTAAGTTCCCTGGGGCTTATGGCGGTGGACTATGACTTATAAAACATATAGCAAACATGTGGAGGCCCATAGGTTATCTGCATAGAACCAAGATGAAAAGCACTATAAGGTAACATTTCTCTCCTCCCCCAAGACAGTGAGATAAATGTATCTCCCTGTTCCTTCCCATTTATTAACAATTAGATCACAGCTTTATATAAGTAGGGGCCCCAGTCTTTTGTACCCTGTTTTTCTTCAATGCCTTCAGGGTAAAAGAGGCTGATGTCAAAGGTCTAGAGATTATGTGAAGACTCTCATGAAAATATAGAATAAATAATTTTAAAGAAAGAAGAAATAAAAAACATGGCTGGTAGCCTTAGTAGAGAAGCTTTATTTATTTCATGGAGAACAAAACTTTAGGCTGGGAGAGGTCATTGCCAGGTTACTGGCAGGTCAGGGAAAGCAAATACTTTAGTTGGGGAATAATTAGGCCATATCTGATCAATATTACAATCGATCATAATTTTAACACATATTTAAACAACTACTCTGTGTTGGCATTAGAGATTTTTAAAAAAATGAGTAAATCCCAGTTTCTATAACCACCAAACTGCTTTCTATCTTCTGAGATCCACTTTTGAAGCCTCCATATATGAGTGAGAACATGTGATATTTGACTCTCTGTGCCTGGCTTATTTCACTTAACAAAATAATCTCCAGTTCCATCCATATTGCTGCAAATGACAAGATTTCATTATTTTGGTGGCTGAATAATATTCCATTATATATATACTATATCGATATAGTGTATATATACTATATATACTATATAAATATACTGTATATGTACTATATATATACACTATATATATGTACTATATATAGTATATATATAGTACTATATACATACTATATATATACTATATATATATATATACACGCACCACATTTTCTTTATTTGAAGATAGAGAGTAGTTTGGTGGTTATCAGAGGCCAGGAAGGGTAGGGAGGTGGGAAGGATGAAGACAGGTTGATTAATGGGTACAAATATACAGGTAGGTAGAAGAAATAAGACCTACTGTTCAATAAATTAACAGAGTAACTATAGCAAACAACAATCCATTGTTATTTCAAAATAGCTAGTAAAGAATAATTTGAATATTCCCAGCATAAAGAAATCATAAATGTTCAAGGTGATGGATATCTCAATTATCCTGATTTGACTATTGCACATCATATGAATGTATCAAAATATCATGTACCCCAAAAGTATGTATATCTATTATGTAGCAATTTAAAATGTATATTTTTAAAAATGAAAAAGCTCAATTCTAGTCAGAAAGGAGTGGTATCTTTAATTCCTTTAGGTTTAAAAACATTAGTTAAAAAATGTTATTGGGAAGCTAGATATTAATCTGATCTCAAACTAACGTTTCACGTATTACTTATTAATTGCAAAGGAGAAAATGTTCCTTTACATAAAGAGATCTTCTGGACATCGCCCATAAATAAAATTGATATCATGGGCTTCTTGACACAATGCATTGAGAAGGACACAGCATCATCTATGTAGTATTCCTGCCAAAAAAATGTTTAGTCTGAATTTATTAATCAGGAAACAAGTGGTTAAATCCAAATTGAAAGATATTCTGCAAAATAGTTGGCCTAGACTCTTCAAAAACATCAACATCCTGAAACACACAAAAAGGTTGAGCAACTACTCCAGATTAAAGGAGATTAAAGATATTTGACAACTAAATGCAAAGTGTGCTCCTTGATTAGATCTTGAATTAGAAGGAAAAAATAGCTATAAAGGACATTATTGTGGTAATTGGAAAATTTTTAAAAAACACTTTATATTAGGTAATATTATTGTACCAATACTGAGGGTGATCATTGTATTGTGTTTATGTAGGTGAATGTCCTCCTAATTCTTAATAAATATATGCTGCAATATTTAGGAATGAAATCTAGTATTGCAGCTGACTCACAAATGATTTAGTGAAAAAAAAAAAAAAGAATTAGTTGGCCACATACAGTAGCTCAGGCCTGTAATCCCAGCACCTTGGGAGGCTGAGGCAGGAGGATTGCTTGAGCCCAGGAGTTCAACACCAGCCTGGGCAACATAGGGAGGCCCTGTCTCTACAAAAACAATTTAAAAGTTAGCCAGGCATGGTAGCATACACCTGTAGTCCCAGCTACTTGGGAGGCTGAGGTGAGAGGATTGCTTGGGCCCCAGAGGTCAAGGCTGCAGTGAGCTGTGATCATGCCACTGCAGTCCCTGGGTGACAGGGTAAGACCCTGTCTCCAAAAAATATATATATTATTTATATACACACACAGACATTCACACACACTGACAGTCTGCAGTCAGGAAGCCCTTCCATCACCACATGCCCATACAGTTGAGTTTACAGAGGAGGAATGATGAAAGAAAACCAGGCCAATGCAGAGGGCAGGGTGTGGCTGCATGCATCTTTCCTGCAAACCTGGAGGCAAGATGGCAACTTCAATCCTGCTACTTCCTATAACCTAGGGAAGGTTTAACTTCATCTTTTGAGCTCATCAGTTAAAGTGGGGGATACTAGTACCTCCTATATGGCACCTCCCTTCACTGTGCTGTGAAGGTTAAATGAGGCAGTAGGTATCAAGTCCTTACTAGCACACAATAGATGCTCAATTTGTTTCTCTGGAACTGAATTGGCTAGTATACTACTGATCAAGAAGGAGGACGAGGACTTCAGTGACTGTCAGGGGACTTGCATTCTGGAGGAGCGAGCGGCCAGTGTAGGCTGGAACCTTTGAGATGAAGATGTCTCTTGCCTCAAGTCTGGATGGAGATCATCTTTTCAAGACAAAGCCTAATAATAGGTAGAATTGCTGAAGATGAGGAGTCACTGCTTACAAAGTGCTTTTCGCTCAATGAAATTATATATGTGAAACCTGCCTAGCAGGCACTTTCTCAAGTAGGTTTCACATATGTAATTTCACTGGATTCTCACAACAATCTTTGAGAGGTCAACACTTTATACATCTCATGGCTAAGAAACTGAATCTCAAATAGATTAAATGACTTGTCCAAGATCCCCCAACCAAGAAGTAGTTGGTCCCCACAAACCCAAGACTCCAAAGCCCATTCAGTCTGTCTACAACACTTCACTACTTCTGGAGAGGGGTAGTTCATGTGTCAGAAATGAGAATGAAGTGTGGCTAAGGCAGATAGACCATCTTAAAACCCATTATCAAGGAACTGGGCTGGCCATGAGCAATACTGGTGAATGAATAGTCCAATGACATCACAACAATAATAGTAACCATAATAATACCTGAAGTTTATTTATTTATTTATTTTCCGAGACTGAGTCTTGCTCTGTCACCCAGGCTGGAGTGCAGTGGCGTGACCTCAGCTCACTTCAACCTCTGCCTCCTGGGTTCAAACAATTATCCTGCCTCACCCTCTCAAGTAGCTGAGACTGCAGGTGCACGCCACAATGTCCGGCTAATTTTTGTATTTCTAGTAAAGATGGGGTTTCACCATGTTGGCAAGGCTGGTGTCCAACTCCTGACCTCGTGATCTGCCCTCCTCAGCCTCCCAAAGTGCTGGGATTATAGGCGTGAGCCACCGCACCCAGCAATCATACCTAATATTTATTAACTGCCAAGATCCTACCATGAGTTGAGGGCTTTATATGCATGATCATATTTAATCTTTACAACAACCTTATGTGCTGGGTACCATTACTATAATTCTTACTTCCCAGATGAGGAAATTGAGGCTTAGAAAGTTTAAATAATTTGTGACCCAGTGAATCCAAATCTGCCTGAGCCCAGAGCTTGCACCCTTCTTATTGTACTTCCTTTCTTGGGGCAAGAGAGAAAGATGGCATCGATGTTAAGATGGAAGACCAGCTGAAGGAGAGTTTGGCAGAAGCAAAAAGACCAGGGAGGTGAAGGGTAGTGAGCCCAGGGGTAGTATTCTCTAGCCTGAGCTGGGGAGTGCTCCATAGGAGTGTACAAGTGTAAGCCTAACATTCATGTACCTTATGTACTTGTTTTTTATTTTTAATTTTTTTCGAGACAGAGTCTCTCTTTGTCGCTCCAGCTGGAGTGCAGTAGTGCAATCTTGGCTCACTACAACCTCTGCCTCCTGGGTTCAAGTGTTTCTCCTACCTCAGAGGCACACGTCTACCTCCTATAGACATGTGCCTATAATCCCAGGTGTGCCACATCCGACTAATTTTTGTACTTTTAGTAGAGACAGGGTTTCACCATGTTGGCCAGGTTGGTCTTGAACTGACCTCACTTGATCCGCCCGCCTCACTCTCCCAAAGTGCTGGGATTTCAGGTGCGAGCCACTGTGCCCAGCCAGATTCATGCACTTTAATATAGGAATTCAATACTCTGATTAAACAAAGTTGAGAGAAGAAAGCCTGAAGGCCTATAGGAAGAAGGCAGAGGCACATCTGGAAATGAAAACAGAAAGGAAAGGGGGACGCAAGAACCTAGGGAGAAAGAGCAACGTTATCGTGAAGGCGGAAGCTTGGGAGGGAATAGAATCCAGCCCTGGAATTTCCAACATGGCAAAGAGGCATTGACTGGGCCAAGGAATAGGGAGAAGCGTTTTTCTCACCCTAAGTACTTTCCAATGTCCACCAATACGTGTCAACATTGGACATGTGTTCACTTACTTCATCTGGTACAAATTATTGGTGCCTCTGTGGTCAATATCATGGCAGAAAGCAGCAGCAAGCATGGCAAAGGCTTCGAGATCTGTGTAGTACTTCTTTAATCTTCCTGTCTAAAAAAATAACATATATATGCATATCTATAATTTATTTGAATTAATATACCTCTATACCAAGTGCAGCCTGCAATAGAGAATAGGCCCACTAGGTTTCTGGAGCAAGTTCACTTTATTTGTTGTGAGTATTGTAGTACTGTGGGTGAAGACTGAACCTTCCTTTAAGAAGGTAAGTGTGTGAATGTCTGAATGATCATCCCACCGGTGCTCAAGGATACTGGGACTCATCTGCAGCGGAGAGGGGTTTGTGCCCTGAATTTTTAAATTACTGATCTAAAATGATGGACCATACCTATTTCTCATCATGCTCAAATGGGAAATCTGCAGGTTTACAAGGATTTACAGCCCTCTGTACCTACCATCAGCAAAGTAAACATGGTCTGCCCCACGTTGAACCCATGCCGCCAATTGTGGTAAGTGACAGCTCGGTACCCTTTCCTCACAGTGTACATCCATCTGGTAAGAACCTAAAAGAAGATGACACCATTCAGACTTTGGAATAGAATTCTAAAGGTTAGAAGGTCTGTGGCAATCTTATCTAAAAAGATGTGTTGGTCTTGTAGATAGGGGTTAAGCTGATGTATTTAGAAAGTTAATAATAATTTAAAATTCAAACTGAGTCCATCTTTTGAACCACAGAAAACATCAGTGAAGCAGAGCCACAGAATCACACAGTATTTTAAATTAAATACCCTCTGACCTCTACAGGTACTTTGAATTTCTCCACCACATTTATTTCAAAAAACAGTCGTATTCCACATTTAATCAATCCGTGCTCTGTAAGGGGGAAGTCACTGAAGCGGAATTCGTACAGTTCTGCTGAGCGTGGGTCTGGCAAGTCCTCTTTCTGTTGAAATAAGGATGGGTTGTTTCAGATTACATTCATCTGTTTTCCCTTTCCACTCCCATAGCCAACATTGGGTGTAAACCAAAATTACAATAAAAGAACACAATGTGTGATTCACTGAACCACCATGTGCCAGGCACTGGATGATGCAGTTTGCACAGATTATGCTAACGGCAGGCCTACACGATTATCTCCATTTTACAGGTGATGAAACTGAGACTTGGCCATATTAAAGACTTTCTAAGTGATGGGTTACCATTCTAAATCCAACTCCAGTAGCTCTTTTCTTTCAATGATGCAAAATAAAATGTTTAGTTACAAAAGCCTTACTCATTTTTGATACTCAACTTTTTTTCTGTTCAAGAAATATTCAGTAAACAGTAAACGACTGCTTAATTCAATTCTCTTGAATTTTCTTTATGTGCTCAGTGACAGTTTCCCACTAGAATGTGAGCTCCCCGAGGGTGGGGATCATCTGCTTATTTGCTGCCATATCCCAAATCTGCAGGTCCTGTCCCATGAAGGTGCTCAGGAAATGCCTGTTGAATGAATGAGTGGATGGATAAACCAATGATTGCCCTGCAGTACATAGGTATACTTGCAGACATTTCATTTAACTCACATCTGGTTAGGATTTCGGATTATGTGAAAAAATAGCCAAGTAGACACATGGCATTGGTGCGACTTGAGAAATAAAAATATGTATCTTGCCCTTAAGGAACTTAACTTATTAAAGTGGCTATAAAATATATACGAGTGAAAAGTAAGCACTTAGAATAATCAGAGAGTATGGCCAGTGCTCCATGCCGAGGGAGAAACTGAATGTCCTTGGACAGGTGGGGAAATTAAAGGAGGAGAGATGCTGGAGGGACATGCATGCAGCTGAGCTGGCAGAAGGAAGCGGAGAGACGATTCCATGTGGGTGAGAAAGTGCTAAGAGGCAGAAATGAGCAACAACTATGTGGGCCTACCAGACAGATCTGCAGGAGAGATTCAGTTCAATGGGTATTTATTTGAATGTGTAGTATGTCCTTACTAGTGCACTGAGGAGGACACAAACATAGGGAAAGGGAGGTCACTCCCCTTAGTAAGTTTAATGTTTTTCAGGGGACAGCCATGCTCTATTTACACAGATTTCAACACCGAATGGTATATAGCTATTTAAAACAAAATTACGGTTTCTGGTTCCCCCAGCCCCTGAGCCTGGGCTGACCCCTCACACTCTTGCACAGAACTGTTGCTACACCCAGAAAATCAGCTGAGCCTTCCCTGGAGGTAACATGAAAGTGCAGGCCTGGAGAGAGACTCAGGTACGTGAAGATGGACAAATAATTACGTAGCTGGGAAATGATGCCAGGATAATTTTGGAGAACTCCTCTGAAATATTTGTTACGTTCCTCAATTTTATGCAACAATGATTTGGGATTTGCCCTGAGTAGATTTTACATTCAAAATAGGCTGGTTTTTTAGGAAGTCTACTGGTTCTTTGTCCACTTTATTGCTTCTACAACATAAGATCCTTCTTCCTTTAAATAAGAAATTAGAGAATTTCTGGTGACACGGATGTCAATAAAAGTTTTGTTTTCCAAGAAGATGCCTATTGTTGAGGGCAGGTGGGGAGAAGAAAGGGTGGTCTTCTGGGCCAGGCTGAGAGGATGGTGCCAAAGGTGGAGCCAAGCAAAATGGGAGAAAAGGGAACCTCAGATGACATGAAAACACGGGGGTGGGAAGTAAGCCCCAAAAAAGGGTCAAAGACCAACAGTCTTATGGTAGCAGAGCAAAGGCCCTGGGTGGGAGGACAGAGCCCACAAAAGATGGAAAGGGAGAAGGTGAGATAGTCGATGTGTCTTAGTTTAGAAAGAATGCTCACATCACAGATCGGAAAGAGATGGTGGAAAACAGGTTATAGCAGTTAGTAAGGAAATTAAGTGTGATATTTCCATTTCAATCAGAAGGAATTCAATCCTCTGAAATTCAAGGTCTTGGGGTCTTCGTAAATATCCCAGGATTTCATGGATTCCAGAGGAGCCACTTTCTAGAAACAAGGGCTCCACCCTAATAGTAGGAATAAAGCCAAAAAAGATCATTCCAAATGAAATCTAAAACAATTCTCTCACCTGCCAGAAGAAACTCTAATGCTCTTTGCAGAAGGATAATATCACTCAGAGCCCCTACACGTTTTTATCTACAATATCTGATTTTTTATTTTAAAAGCATAAGGCATGCTTTAAAACAGGATCAAATGACTAGAACCCAGGTGTAAAAATAAACAGTAGAATCAGATCTACAGGTGATTCTGGTATTAAGATGGGTACCTTAAAATAATACACATCAATACATTTATGAAAATACAGGGGAAAATAGTCAAAATAGATCAAATGATGAAAAGTTTTAACACAGAGTTAGAATCTTAACAAAAGAATTAAATGTACCTTCTAGAACTGAAAAAAATCTCTGAAATTACGAACTTATTGAGCGAGTTTAACAGTTGATCGGGCACAACAAAAGACAGAATTAGTGAAGTGGGAAAGTTAATTTCAAAGAAAAATAATAGGGATGGCCTACTGGCAACAACACGAAAGAATGGAGCCTTCAGACTCCAGAAGAGAAGCTAGAAATGGCAGGCGGTGCCAGTGCCTAGAAAGATCCATGCTCCACGCTAACTCTGTCATGTTCTCTGTGGTGGCCATGGTGTCATCCAAAGCTATTAAAATAAACTGTGCCTTGATATCCCTAGATTCTGTGCCTGAAGTCCCCTAAGCAGTAGTCTAGGCTACCTACAATTGTAAATTATCTGTATGAATTGGACCAGAGGCGACAAAGATGAAGAAAAGCAGGGAATCAAAAGATCAATCTTTAGAAGAATTCTTTCTTTTTAGCCTTGAGAAATATCAGGAAAGAGAAAACTCAACATTTACTTGAAAAACAAGAAAGCATGTCCTAATATATTATTGATTTATAATGCCTCTATTTAACAGGCATTAAGGTTAGAAAGAAAACACTTACCAAAATTGCAACAAGTTGTTTTTCTTCACAGTCGTCAATTACATCAACATTTAACTTCTCTTGAAATTTCTAAAATGTAAAAGCAATTGAGGTGTGAAATTCCTAAAGGAGAAGATTTCCATCTGATTCCTCTACTATTACAATCTTAGTTAAGATATATTTAAAATATGTGGGAGGAAGAGGCGGGAAGATCCCTGGAGCCCAGGAGTTGGAAGATGCAGTGAGCTATGATGGCACCACTGTAATCCAGCCTAGGTGAGAGAGTGAGACCCCATCTCTAAAAATAAGTAAATAAATAAAATATACTACAATGAGTTCCATGGCAAAGATGCATTCTTTGTCATGGATACAAAGACCTATAGCACCTGATTATGAAGACTTTTTTCAAGAAATAATCTAATATATTTGATTTTTAAAATTCCCCCAAAATGATTACAGTAGCTGGTTTTTTTAAAGAGGTGTGGGTTGTTTGCATGTAGGAAAGAAAAAATGAGTGGCTTACATTTATTTTTGTATTAGCTTATCACAGTTCCTTTTATTACCCCCAGATCTTCTCATCTTTAACATCTCAAACTATCAAACTGAATTACACTCAAACCACTCGGCAAAACCAAAAACCAACATGCTCACCAAAACCAACCCACTCCAGCAAAACTACACACACACACACACACACACACACACACACACACACAAAGCCAGGGAAATAAAAGAAATAGAGATGGTGGGCACATGATATTTTCCCTTCATTTTGTGGTGATTAGAACATGGTTAGCAAATATCCACTTGCTCCCCCATCATCTATAAGGTTGGTCTTCGTGATGTGGCTTTCTTTGGCCAATGAGCATTTTGGTGAATGTGATGTGAGCAAAAACCTGAAGTATGCCTGCACAGTTAGGTTTGCTCTCTTGCACTTCTGTCATCTTTGTGAGAAGGACATCTATCAGGTAGCTCCTGGTCCAAGAAGGATGAGAGACACATAGAGCAAACCAAATTCATAGCTTGGAGCCAAGTCCAGCCACTGTCAATCAAAGCCTGGTCAACCCACAAATGTGAGTGAGAGATAGAGGTTCATTACTGCATGACACTGAGGCGTTAGGGTTGTTGTTATGCAGCATTATATGACAATAGCTGACTGATACATTTCCCTTCCTAAAATATATATATTTTTTTCTTGCTATAGCTCCCATAGCCCCAGGGCTGTTTTGAACAAAGTGCTATTCCAGCCAAGCAGCTGTACTTCCAGTAAGGGTCTCTGTACACTGGGCCATCCATGTCTTCTTCCAACCCCTCCTTCCCTGTCTCTCTCTCTCAGCCCAGGAGTAAACCATTTGCATTTGTCAGACCCCTGGGTAATTAGATGACTTCTAGAATATGTGGTTAGGTAACATCTTATGTCCACAGGACTGAATTTCCCACTTACCAAAATGGACTTAATTTCTTCAGGAGTGGCTTTGGTTTGGTTCATGAGCATTTCCTGAGCAATGTCCTTTCTGTTTTCTAGCTTATTCATCTTATCGTAGGTGTCAGTATTTAAAAGAGACCATCCAAGAAATTGTGTGAGAGTCTGAAATGGATAAAAGGTGATTCTAATTCTCTTCAGTGAAAGAAAAATTGGTTTGGAGGCAACAATCTGCACGCTTTTCTATCCATCTCCCTTCCATCATCAACCACCCCATTCCTTCTTTTAATTTAAGAAAAACATACTAATAATCAGCTTCAGACAATAAAACTGGCTGAATTATTGCTTTTTAAAGTGTACCATGCACCATGAATAGAAGAGAGAGGTGTTACCAACACCAGTATAGTCAAGCAGGACCTAAAAATTAGGCAGGGGGCTGGGCGTAAGAATAAGAATAAGAATGAGAGGGAACAGGAAGGAGGAGTGGGAGAAAGAAGAAGAAAATCCTCTTTCCTGTTTTCCGAGTATTATTACAAATTTTGGTTAAGCTAAAATTTTATACTTTGGTAGAAAATGTTGCAGTTTATAGAAGTCAGGAAATAGAAACGACAAAATAACAACATATTGGTTACAGCTATGTGTGACTCATGTCTTAATGGCCCTTCAAAATATCATTCCAGAATAACAAATAATTACGTGCCCTCTCTTATTTTGTGAATTGCATTGACTTCCATTATCTTATTATTGCACTTGCCTCGGTAATGTATTCATCATGCTCATCGAAAGGTTTTCCATCCTTCCTGTTGTAAAATGTAGCCACTCCCACAATATCTTCTTTCTTGTTGACAATAGGCAGGGACAAAACATTCTTAATGACCCAACCAGTTTCGTCTACAGGTCCTTTCTACAAACGAGAAGGGACCTCAAGTTATTTTTTTGCCTTTTTAGTTTGAAATAATCATAAATTCACAGGATATTACAAAAGAAATGTACAGAGAGATTTCAGGTACCCTTCACCCAGTTTCACACAATGGTAATGATGGTTAGACAACTACAGTACATTTTCTACCATCTTGTGTAACTATAGTACAATATCGAAACCAGAAAACAGACATTGTACGATCCAGAGCTGATTTGGATTTTACCAAGATTTGTATGCAGTTACTTTTGCACATATATGTGTGTGTGTACATATAGTTTTATGCAAATTTATCCCTTGTGTAGCTTTTCAACCACCATTAGAATCAAGATACAACACTATTCCATCACTACAAGACTGTCCTGTACTCCTCCCTTCTAGCTACCACCCAACCACCTGTCACTTAGTTTATTTTTAATTTAAAGAAAAAGGCTGGGCACAGTGGCTGGAGCCTGTAATCCCAGCACTTTGGGAGGCAGATCACCTGAGGTCAGGAGCTCGAGACCAGCCTGGTCAACATGGTGAAACCCCATCTCTACTAAAAATACAAAAATTAGCCAGGCGTGATGGTGGGCACCTGTAATCCCAGCTACTTGGGAGGCTGAGGCAGGAGAATTGCTTGAACCCAGGAGGCAGAGGCTGCAGTGAGCCAAGATCGTGCCACTGCACTCCAGCCTGGGCAGCAGAGTGAAATTCCATCTCAAAAAAAAAAAAGAAAGAGTAATCTTTTGGTGTTAGATGTGCAATTCCTACTTTGTGTCAGAACATGGCTAGGACCATACAGCCATTATATGTACTCTAGCACATCCAATAGAGTGAACTAGAACCAAGTGTCTGTTTTCTGACAATTCTAACCTTTTCCCTTTCTTTCCCAAGCCTGAGTGATGGGAAGTGCTTCTTACCACTATGTTACCTCACTGTTCCCTTTACACTTTTTCTATCTTCTAACACCTGTTTAGCTAATTCCTTAAATAAAATTCTCCCGTTAAAATACTAGTGTGGTTTTTGTTTTTCTGACTGATCCATGAAGATAGTCTTTCATTCTGTGGTGTGTTGAGTTGAGTAAACATTTGTCAAGCCTCTGTGGTATGCCAGGAACTGGGGCAGTTGCTGAAGGTACAAAGAATAAATCACAGGTCTTGCCCTCAAGATGCTTAGGGTCTAGTCGAGGGATGCAGGCACAAAAGTTTAGGAGTGTTTCTCAAAGTGTGGTCCAAGGACCATGTGTAACAGATTTGTTTTAGCTTGTTTATTTTTTTTTATTTTTTTTTTTTTTTGAGACAGGGTCTCACTGTGTCACCCAGGCTGGAGTACAACGGCACAATCTTGGCTCACTGCAACCTCTGCCTCCCAGGTTCAAGTGATTCTCCTGCCTCAGCCTCACGAGTAGCTGGGATTACAAGCATGCCCCACCAAGCCTGGCTAATTTTTGTATTTTTAGTAAAGATGAGGTTTTACCATGTTGGCCAGGCTGATCTTGAACTCCTGACCTCAAGTGATCCGCCCGCCTCAGCCTCCCAAACTGCTGGGATTACAGGCGTGAGTCACTATGCCTGGCCTGGGCATGCATCTTCAATAAGCTTCCCAGGTAATTCTGATGCCCTCTGAAGTTTGAGAACCATGATGTAGCATTTGCACAGTATGTAGCTAAGGCAAAGATAGACAAGCACTCAACACACCACATTATTTGTTCTTGAAGACTTCCCTTGGCTTACTTAGTCATCCTTACAGGCCCCTGTTAAGTCTTGGCTCTCCCATGAAGCCTTTCTAATTTTTCTAACTCATAAAGAACTTTTCTGTTTTGGAATTCCAACTGCACTTATAGCCTGAACCACAATTTAACATTTAGACTGAGCATGTAATAAGTGCTCAATCTAAGTAATTTGTTACTACTCTATGTAGTCATTATACATGCAATGAAAAGCAGAGGAACCAAACCTCAACATCCGTCTCCTGATGGTCAAAGCTTTAGAAAAAAGATGCAGTGCATAGTGCTTGCAAAGCCTGCATCTTTGGAAAACAATAAGAAATATTTATGTACTTACACCATCATACGAACCAAGGACAAAATCAGTAATAGAGAATATATCACATGCGTGTGAAAGAACTTCATGCGTATTTGTTAAAGCTTCCAAAATAAGCTTTGCTGACTGCTTCTCAGTGTTTCAGGAAATATTCATTTGCTACCAGTTCATATTCTTGTGCTTTGCCATTAGTTAGACCTTACTGACAGACAAGTTACAGAAGGAACCCAAGGTTTAAGAAAAATTAGTAGGACAAAAAACTGAGGAAATTCTATACACTTTTCCTCCTGTGAATTAGGACCACTTTAATTGACGTTAAAGGAAGACCCCTTAGTCCACTTCGAGGAACCCTATGGCAGGCAGAACAATGGCCCCCAAAGATGTCTATATCCTAATCTCTGGAACCTGTGAATATGTTATCTTACACAACACAGGGGAACTAAGGTTGCAGATAGAATGATGGTTGCTAATTAGCTGGCCTTAAGATGGGGAAATTAGCCTGGATGTTCCAGGTGGACCCAATGTAATTACAAGGATCCTTAAAAGTAGAAGAGAGGTTAGAATCAGAATGGGAGAAGGAGCTATGATGACAAAAGCAAGGTCAGAGTGATGGTGCTGCTGGCTCTGCCAGGGGAAGGGTCACCAGGCAAGGAAGGCGGGAGGCCCTGAGAAGCTGGAAAAGGCAAGGAGATGAATTATCCCCAGAGCCTCCAGAAAGCAAGAGTCCCACCAGCACCGTGATTTTAGCCCAAGAAGACTCATTTTGGAATTCTGACCTCCAGAACTGTGAGATAATACATTTCGTGTGGTTTTAAACCACTCAGTGGCAATTCGTGACAGCAGCAATAGGAAATGAATCCATTATGCCCCCAAGAAACATAGTGTGAGAACCACTGCCTTTGCAGGTTTGCTCTGATGGCAGTTCTTTTTATATCATTGGCTTGTCTATCAAACTTCTCAGGTGCAAAAAGGAATCGTAAGAATCAGGGTGGGGCCTGAGCAGGGAGAGACAGAATCAGAAGACGGAGCACAAAAGGAGGGTGGTGGTTTGGGGAGGGCGGTCACCCGTCCTAGTCCGCTGTGCGGAATGATGCACAGGTGATGCCGTTGAAGAGCGGCGGGGAGGGAGGCTGGGGGTGCTGAGAGAGACATCAGACAGAGATGCAGTCCCGACCCTTTGCAAAGGAGAAACGGAAGGATGGAAGGTTGAGGGGAGCCCCTTAGACCACCGTGCTGTTCTGAAACTGTTTGCAGAGCTGTTAGGCATTCCTAGGGCCCAAGCTGCCTGGCAGGGTATCTGGCTGTCTTCCAGGAGCAGGCCTGCTTTACTGTCCCTGCCACACTTAGTTACCAATTGGGAGTGGCCTGTGGAGCGTGTGGCCTCAGCACAGATGTGACCATGGATTTCAGGCCAGCAGCCATTGCACGGCTACACTTCCCACAGGTGGAGATCTGAGAAGCACATTTTCATGGGCACCACAATGATGTTTCCCAGAGAACTGGGAAATCCCTGTGGCCTGGAGGTTTATCCCACACTGGGGACTCCCCAAGGCCCCGGGGAGGCCCCAGGCCTCCTCTCTGCCCAGGCCATGAGAGCACATCAGAGCAGTAGCTGCAGTGGAGCATGAGAGAAAGCAAAGGGCCTCACATTTCAGAGCAGCCTGCATTCTCCTGGGCCAGCTCCATTCCCACTCCCTGTTTAGACAATGACTGCTTAAGGTTCAGACTCTAGAAAATCATTGTCGCCCTTTTGCTGACATGCATCCTATTCTGACATCCACGTGCCATAAATATAGGGGTCAGGCCTGGGCACAGCATGGTCACAAATAAGCTTCAATTGCAAGGAGGAAGGAGCTAGAGCAGCCATATGGTGTTTACATGTTTTCCATGTCAATCGGCAAAGGGAGGAGCAGGCAGATGCACGTAACGAAGCAAGTGTGTACAGCTTTCCCCAAGGTGTGGTGTGGTTCTGCCGCTAAGGAGGCACGCTGCAGCCTGGGGAAGGCTGGCTTTTCCTAAAAGGCAGAGATGGGGCTCTGTATGTGAGAGAGACAGAAAAACAGACCCCAACGGTACCCACCGGGGAGGGCAGTCTCTATTTGTGACTGAGATCAGGGCTCTAAGGGGATGTTTTTTTAAATACAGGACAGAGAATAACAAGTGCCCAGAGGCAGAAAATAAGAGGCTGTGGAGCCAAATGCCAGTTTATCTCTAACAGTCAGGTTGGGAGGAGGTGACAGGTGGGGAGTGGGTGGCAGAGATGACAGGTGAGGAGGGATGGGCAGGTAGAGAAGGGAGTGGCAGAGATGACAGGTGGGGGGTGACAGTTGGGGAGGGGGTGGTGAAGATGACAGGCTGGCCCTTCTGGTGGGCTGGATGAACTCGGGGGGCGGGGAGGGATCAACTCGGGTCTGCAGCCAGGTTCCAGCAGGAAGCCCTGATGGGGAGAAGTGGGTCAGGTAGAGTAGCACATACAGAAGCTGATTCCTGGGAGCATCTGGCGGTGAGTGGAGGCAGATTCCCCAGGCAGTGGGTCTCTGCACAGTGGAGAAGGAAGGATACAACCGAGTCTAACAGCAGGAGAAGCTCTGAAGACTCAGTCAGAATTGTTGATTTTCCTGAGAACAGTTGCAATAAGCTGCAGGGAAGGGCTGCTGAGAAAACCACCAGGAGAGCAGGATTCAGGATGTAGGAGGTAGCCAGCCATTCATGCATGCAGAGAACGTTTATTGAGCATGAATGCTGTGTCAGGAACTGTTGAGCCCTTAGATCAGGGGTCCCCAATCCCTGGACTATAAACCAGTACTGGCCCATGGCCTGTTAGGAACCAGCAGGTTGTACAGCAGGAGGAGAGCAGTGGGTACTCGGGTGAAACTTCATCTGTATTTACAGTCACTCCCCATTGCTCACATTACCGTCTGAGCTCCACCTCCTGTCAGATCATCAGCAGCATCAGATTCTCATAGGAGTGTGAACCCTCTTGTGAACTGCGCATGTGAGAGATCTGGGTTGTGCCGTCCTTATGAGAATCTAACTAATGCCTGATGATCTGAGGTGGAAGTTTCATCCCAAAACCATCTCCCACCCCACCCTCATTCTGTGGAAAAATTGTCTTCCACAAAACCGGTCCCTGGTGCCAAAAAGGTTGGGGACCACTGCCGTAAATGACCAGGAGTGTGAGCAAATGGAGGAGTGGCAGGTCCCCTCCCTGGCCTTCTGTCTTAACCTTCTTTTCTTCCTTCACTGAAGAATCTGCTACTTGCTGGCCCAGCCAGGGTGAGTGGGAGATGGACCCGTGTGTGCCTGTGGCCACACCTGAGCATCAGGCGGACTCTGGGGGTGGAGGAGAGGCGAGAGCATCCACTCCTCTACCCCAGCCCCAAGAGGTGAGGTCTGACCCAGAGTGCAGTTACCTGAAATGTGAAGTATTCATCCGCAGGGGCATTCATCATGTTACAGATCTGGAAGGCAAGAGGAGACAAATGGTCTGAAATATTGTGTAGTGGAGCCCTCTTGATCCACAAAGCAGAATAAGAAAGAACGCATTGGGAGTGAGGATTTTCTACACGGCTCTTGACTGCTTGCGGGCAAATGGACCTCAACTAGGCCACAGCTGCTAACAACTCATTCAAGATGGCTTCCCTGCTGCTAATTAAATCACTGGAGGATATGTGGTACCGTCTCTGCCCCTTCCCACTCCCCCAGACTCCAGGGAATCCCCTTCAAATTCAAAGCAACAGGCTGCTCAGGCCAAGGGGAGGAGAAAGCTGAGAAATTCTAGCTCTGCTACAGCCAGTATGAGCAGCAGAGCTAGGATTGCTTTTTTTCTTCTTCTTCTTCTTCCTAAAGTGAGATTTGGGTTAGAAGATGATGGTTAAGAGGCAGGAGGAAACAGCCAGATAAGTTTTTAGTTACACCAAAGTAAGGATTCAGTGAGAGATATCACTTTACTTAGTGGAATTCACAGACTATTGCTCACATCTATAAGGACAAGAAATCACTCAACTTTGGGTCATTTTAAGTTTTCTGTACCTTGGGTCATAATCACAAATGGATCTTAATAAAAGACCATGTCTTTCCAAGAGATAATTAAAATCATAGCATTTTATTTGATTTTATTTTTTATATTTTATGAGATGGAGTTTTTGTTCTGTTTCCCAGGCTGGAGTGCAATGGCGCGATCTCAGCTCTCTGCAACCTCCACCTCCTGGGTTCAAACAATTCTCCTGCCTCAGCCTCCCAAGTAGCTGGGATTACAGGCACCCACCACCAAGCCCAACTAATTTTTGTATTTTTAGTAAAGACAAGGTTTCACCATGTTGGCCAGGCTGGTCTCGAACTCTTGACCTCAGGCAATCCACCTGCCTTGGCCTCCCAAAGTGCTACGATTACAGGCGTGAGCCACCACACCCAGCTATCATAGCATTTTAAAGCCAGAAGGGATCTTAGCAATTAAGTTCATACTTAAAAAAAAAAAATGAACAAATGGAAGCCTAAAGAGGTTAAGTGATTTGTTTAAATCTATGGGATGGAACTAGAACTGTGAGCTCCAGAATGGGTGCTGGGGAAATCAGCTCTCCTGGCTGGGAATTGGGGAAATCCTTGGCTTGTATCAGTTGCCAATTTCCATGGTCCCAATTCTCTTGCCATGGGAGATTTCAAGCTGCCAACAGTTTAACAACTTGCTCACAAAAGTCCTAAAAAACTAACAATCTAACAAGATCTAAGTGGGCTCCCTCCTTAAATCCCCACCTCACCAAACTCTGCCTGCCTCT